>NC_000006.12:166646166-166961242 GCF_000001405.40 Homo sapiens | reverse complement strand
CAGCCAAAATTAACTGTTAATGTAATATTAAACTATTATTTGTAATGCAGAAGGGCTTATCTAAAGTAAAGCAGCTCAGTTATGTAGTAAAATCTCAGAAGTCTAAAATGCCTTGCTTATCTTTTTAAGATAAATAATTGTAAGACAGCTCAAGTAAGCAGCCTAATATCCACGTGTATAGGAGTATGTGTGTGCATGTGTGTGTATGTGTGTGCATGTGAGTGTGTGTGTAAGCTCATGGGTTTTTTTCTTTTCCTTTTTCAGAGTAAATATGCTTTGAAAATTTGACATCCATGATTAAATGTAATATATTGCTTTGCTTCACATTTCATAATAGCATGCTATTTGATCTGATTTATTCTTATTGTCTAGTTCCAGAAAGTTTTTTCCCTCTGGTTCCATCAGTTAAGTCACACTTGAAGAACAAATTATATTGTGAGAAACACATGACTGGTCTTTTCTGTTTCTCTCCTGTCCTCCTTTTGTCATGGCCACAGCTCAGAATAAAAGAGTTCCACAAAATGTGTACCACAGTGGCCAGGCTGGCATGGCAAGGCCAGAGGTGCTGGGACACCCTGACCAACATGGTCAAACTCCGTCTCTACTAAAAACACAAAAATTAGCCGGACGTGGTGGCACACGCCTGTAATCCCAGCTACTCGGGAGGCTAGGGCAGGAGAATTGTTTGAGCCTGGGAGACGGAGGTTGCTGTGAGCCGAGATTGTGCCACTGACTGCACTCCAGCCTGGCTGACAGAGTGAGACTCTGTCTCAAAAAAAAAAAAAGAAAAAGAAAAAGAAGAGAAAGGGCAGGGAAACACCCAGCAGCTGGCCTCACTTTCTCAGCAAATAAGTAATTCAGGATGGAAAGGAGTTTTTAAGGTGAGATTCTTTCAAGTGTGACAAAGCTCTTTAGAGCATGAGAATCCTAAACTGTGTAGTTGTGCCACTGCTCTGCCATTGGAATGGCCAGCACCAGATATGGGCTGTTCCTACCGCCTGGGTTCCAGAGTGAAAAATACCGTGGACCACAGTGGCATCTGACGCATAGCCAGCATGGAATATGGGCAAATGAATGATAAATGATCAACTTCCGTTTAAGTGAGACACTGAGATTTGGGGGCGGTGTATTATTGTAGCATAACCCAGCAAAAGCTGGCATGGAAACAGGAAACCTGGAGCTAATGCCAAGAAGAGGTTGTGTGGTGAAAGTATCTTGGTCTCTTCAGAATTAACAAGGATTTAAGGATGTCTGTTCATAGACATGGCTGTTGCCATCCTGTCCCCCTCCCCTCTCCTAAGGACATGTTTCTATACAAGCCAGCAGCATCTTTTAAACCTCATAGTTTGTACCCTTTTACACTATGTTGTGTGAGTCAATGTAATTCCCACTCTGGCCCCTGCCCACCTGCTTGATGCTGGAGCCCTCTTTGTTTTCGTAAAGCTGGGCGGCTTCCAGACCCAAATCCAGCCTTTACAGCCACTGCCTCTTCCCTACGTAGGGTTCCGTTTAGGATCCTGGTAGGTGGACAAGTAGTGAACAAGACAGATGACAGATGCTCCAGGTTCACATCCAAGTTTTGGGGGGTTGAGAGCTTTTCCATTTGGATGTCCTTCTTTAAGAACAAGAAGGTAAAATTGTGAATACGGAATGAGATATGGGGTCTTGGTGGGGCCCATGCCAGCAAGGGGCCTGAAGCTCCTCATTAGCTTCCGATGTGGGGGTGGGGGAGTAGAAGTGGGCAGTACAGGAGGAAGTGACAAGAATTCTCAGGGGTGGGGAGAACTGTGTCGAAAATAAACAAGGAAGTGCAACAGGAAATGACTGGGTGGCTTCTTCAGGCTGGGTAGGACGCTGCTGAATTTATCTGATAAAAATCTCCTCTCTGTGAGTTGTGGAAAGTGGCTTGCTGCGAGAGACCCCCTTCTTCCCCACATAACATAGGTAAGAGTGATAGAAGTGATGCAGCTGGGCGCTGTCTCCAAAAAAAAAAAAAAAAAAAGGAAAAGTGACGGATGCTCCCCTCACTCCACCCCCTACCCATTACCTAGGACAAAGCCAGACACAGATCCTCCAATTCCCATTCTTCACCTCATCAATGATGAGCCAGTCAATAGAAATAACACACTTGTTAAGCAAACTTGGTGAGGCTCCTCTCTTCCCCCGAGGCTGAGGACTTTTGGCCTCATCTTAGCCTGAGTCAGTCCCCCCTGAGAACAGGCTGGCCACGGGGTCAACCTTCTCTGATCTAATGTCCTATGAAGGCAGGTTCTCATCCCACTTCTCCATTCCCAGTTCATTCTTTCTCTCTCTTTCTTTTTCTCTCTTTCTTCTTTCTTTCATTCATTCTTTTTGTTGTTGTTGTTGACCGAGTCTCACTCTGTCGCCCAGGCTGGAGTGCAGTGGCGCGATCTCGGCTCACTGCAACCTCTGCCTCCTGGGTTCAAGCGATTCTCCTGCCTCAGCCTCCAGAGTAGCTGGGATTGAGGGAAGAGAGAGACCCTCTCATATTGTTTTATATTGTTTTATACTCAGTACCTGTTTTAAGAAAAAAACAAGGAAGTGAAATCAAAGACAGGCAGCCCGGCGCCAGGCCCAAAACCGGACCTGGGCCTGCCTGGCCTAAACCTAGTAGTTAAAAATCAACTCATGACTTAGAGACCGATGTTATTCATAGATTCCAGACATTGTATAGAAGAACATTGTGAAACTCCCTGCCCTGTTCTGTTTCTCTCTGACCACCAGTGCATGCAGCCCGTCACGTACCCCTTGCTTGCTCAAATCAATCACGACCCTTTCATGTGAAATCTTTAATGTTGTGAGCCCTTAAAAGGGACAGAAATTGTGCATTCGGGGAGCTCGGATTTTAAGGCAGTAGCTTGCCGATGCTCCCAGCTGAATAAAGCCCTTCCTTCTATAGCTCGGTGTCTGAGAGGTTTTGTCTGCCGCTCCTCCTGCCACAGGATTACAGTCGCGTGCCACCCCCGCCCAGCAAATTTTTGTATTTTTAGTAGGGACAAAAGGCCCCCAGGCCCCTGCAATAATGGTCCTCATAACACCACTCCTCCCCGAGTCCAGATTTGCTTTATATTTGGCAGTGGTCACAACAGCCCTCCTTGACAAGGGGCTGTTTAAACACACCGGACTGTGATTTAAAGGAAAATGAGGATTCTGGGAAGCACTTTTGTTTTAAGAAAATTATTTTTTTAGCTTAAAAGAAAAGAGAAAAAGAACTGTGGCGTGTGCCTATATTCTTGAGAGGAAGGAATGAAAGGAGCCGGAAAGAAACAAATAAGTCGTTAGGGAAAAGGAGAACGAGAATAACACCATGACCTGTAGGAGGTCCTGGAGGAGCTAAGGAGGTGTCAGCCATTTTCCCCCCCCATCTGTTCCACAGGTGGCATTTTATTGAGCACCGACTGTCCCCCATCCACTGTGCTCAGTGGCAGGGACTCAAGGTGGGCAAAATAGACATGGGCCTTGCCTTGCAGTCTAGTGGGAAAAACAGATTAATCATTTAAATATTTTGTTTCAAAGAATGGTAATGCATGCAGGCAAGGTCCAGGCCTGTGGGAGAGCAGGCTACAGGCCCACCTGCTATTTAGACAGTTACCAGTGGCAGAGGACCCCGAGGAAGGCGCAGTTTACTCGACGTGTAAATAGGAATAGCCTTAACTAGCTGTGGGTGTGCGGACAGGGAAGGGAAAGAGGAGAAACATCTGCAGAGACAATGCCGGGTGCACAGCCCGTGGGCGGGGCCGCGGGTGCAGGGGAACCCGTGCCTCTGAAGGGCTGGGAAGGCCAGGGTGTTGGGGGAGGAGACCGGGCCTATGGGACTGGCCCTGGCTACGCCAAGGTGGGGCTGACATGAAGTCCCCTTCATCCGTGGGGGGTGGCCCGTCCCTCTGGGAGGGGATCCCTCACAAGATGACTTCCCAGGTCGCGCCCCGAGGCGGCTCTTTGCTGCCCCCACAGAGATGACTTCCGGGCTCCTGGGGCCCGCGGGGAGGGGCAGGTGAGGCCCAGGGCTGGGTGAGGGCCAGGCCCTTCTAGGAATGTTGGTGCTCCCAGCACCTAGCACCGGGAGACTGGAGAGGTTTCCAGGAGAGTGACCCGAGTAGGTCCCCTCCTAATTCTGGAGCCGTCCCTCGGGCTGCGCAGTGGAGCGCCGAGGTGGCGGGAGGCTGCGGGGAGCCTGGGCGGCCAAGCACCATCTGCAGTCAGGAGCTCCCGGGCAGCTTGCAGGGCGCAGTTTTTGAAAGCGGGTGCTGCGTGCGGACCGCGGGCCTGCAGGGTGCGCGGGTCGGGCTGGGGGCTGTCCCTGGAGAGTAGAGTGGCCCTGGGGCCCGCACGCCCACTTGCTGGCGGGGGATGGCGCAGACACGGGCGGTCCCCCCGAGGGCGGTCCTCACGGGTGGTCTAGGTTAGCTCGGACCCGGGAGTGTGGGAGTGGCGCAGAGCTGCGGGAAAAGGCGCGGGGCGCCTGCGTGGCGAAGGAACACAGCCGCCTGACACGCCCTCAAGGCCCGCGGAGCTGCTCCTGCCTCGGCCTCTCTGAGCCAACCACGGGGCGGGGCGTGAACGCCGGGCGGGGACGTGCCGTTCTGGGGGGCGTGTCCACCGGCGGGGGCGTGCCGTCCTGGGGGCGTGGCTCTCTGCTCCGGTGCAGGCCCGCAGGGCGCCCTGGGCTGGGAGCAACGCGACTGACCGTGGTCGTGGGCGGACGGCGGCTGCAGCGTGGAGGAGCTGGGGTCGCTGTGGGTCGCGAAGCAGAGCCCGGGACGTGCGCGCTTGGTGCACGATCCTGAAGGGGAGCTCCGAGGGGCCCGGGTCGCCAGGGCTGCTGCGGCCATTCCCGGAGCCCGGCGCGGGGCCCGCGAGATACTGGTTTAGGCCGTCCCAGGGCTCCGGGCGCACCCGGTGGCCGCTGCTGCAGCGGAGGGAGCGCGGCGGCGCGGGGGCTCGGAGACAGCGTTTCTCCCGGAAGTCTTCCTCGGGCAGCAGGTGGGAAGTGGGAGCCGGAGCGGCAGCTGGCAGCGTTCTCTCCGCAGGTCGGCACCATGCGCCCTGCAGCCCTGCGCGGGGCCCTGCTGGGCTGCCTCTGCCTGGCGTTGCTTTGCCTGGGCGGTGCGGACAAGCGCCTGCGGTGAGTTACCTTGCGAGGTAAAGTGGGGAGCGTGGGAGCCGGGCCCTAGAGCTTTCCACTGGGTGAAGGCTGCAGCTCTCGGGGTCGGCGGTCGCTGAGCCCCGGGCAGCGACTGGGGAGGGCGGGGGGAGCCGAGCACGCTCCGGGGTGACCCCTGGGAAGAAGTTGGGAAGTTGAGCACGCCTCGGGGTGACCCCTGGAGGGAGTGGGTTGGGGGGAGCCCTTAGCACACTCAGAAGTGACCTCTGGGAAGGAGTGCGATGAGGGGAGTCCTGAGCACGCCCCGGGGTGACCTCTGGGAAGGAGTGGGTTGGGGGGAGCCCTGGGCACGCTCTGGGGTGACTCCTGGGAAGAAGTGGGTTGGGGAGCCCTGAACACTCCCCGGGGTGACCCCTGGGAAGGAGTAGGGGGTAGGGTGAGGTCCTGGGTACACTCCAGCCTGGAGCTGGACTGGAAACTCATCCCACAGACTGCTCCCAGCCTAGGACGCGACAAAGCAGGTGGCAGGCTTGGTGGAGCACTGTTCCTGCACTCGAAGTTCTCTCAGAGGTCGAAGAAGTCGTGGAGGGGACACTTAATTTCAGCTTTCACTGCGGCGGGTGGTGAAACGACGGTTCTTCCTCTTTTTGAGTATCCTGTTCTGAATCCCTTCCCTTGGCTCGCCCTCCGCGTGTGTGTGTGTGTGCGCGTGTGTGTGTGCGCGTGTGTGTGTGTGCGTGTGCGTTTGTGTGTGCGTGTGTGTGTGCGTGCGTGTGCGTGTGCGTGCGTGCGTGTGTGTGCGTGTGTGTCGTGTGTGCGCGTCTGTGCGTGTGTGTCGTGTGTGCGCGTGTGTGTGTGTGCGTGTGTGCGTGTGTGTGCGTGCGTGCGTGTGTGCGCGTGTGTGCGTGCGTGTGTGCGTGCGTGTGTGCGTGTGTGTGTGTGGCAGCCGCCCAAATTAATTAGGGGTAAACAGGCGGTGCTGCAAAGAACTCCAACTTTAATTCTGTGGAAGATACCAATATTTGAATACCATATTATTTCTTTCTATTTGGGTAATGATCGGGTTAATAGGATTTCTTACTTACATAGTAGGTGTGGAAAAGGTGGGTTTTACTTATTTATTTTTTTTTAGACAGTCTTACTCTGTCACTCAGGCTGGAGTACAGTGGCGTGACCTCAGCTCACTGCAACCTCCACCTCCCGGGTTCAAGCGATTCTCCTGCCTCAGCCTCTGAGTAGGTGGGATTACAGATGCACACCACCACGCCTGGCTAATTTTTGTATTTTTAATAGCCAGGCTGGTCTCGAACTTCTGACCTCAGGTGATCCGCCCGCCTCGGCCTCCCAAAGTGCTGGGATTACAGGCGTGAGCCACTGCACCCGGCCAGGGTTTTACTTTTTAAACACCTTAGGTATATATTTTTAATCATGTACATTAAAATGTAGCATTATATTTCAGTGTTCCGGAAAGTGTATTTTCTGAAAAAGAGCTACATTTATGTCCTTATTTATTGGCCATGAGGTTCAGAGCCTCTCACTGGGGAAGTCTGTGGCATGCTGGCCCTTGCTGGCTGAGTGGAAACTGCTAGTTCACACCCAGGTGTGGGACCTTTGAGCTCTCTATGCCCCAGTTTCCTCATCTGTAAAGTAGAAATAGTAACAGTCAGCCTCACAGAGTTGGCTTCAGGAGAAATCAGTTAAGGTACAGAATGTAACTTGGAATGATGTCTGGCTGGAAGTAAACATTAGCATAAAACAGGCTGTCATATGTGGATCCCCCACCCCAGCCCATAATTCATGCAACTGATATGATCGGACAAACTTGAGCAGGCAAGATTTGCGAGAACATGGTTGATTCAGACCACGAGGGCTTCATAGGTCAGCGGGCATTTTCCCAAGTTCTAACTGGTTTTGAGACCTTGGTGATTTTTCTTTCTTCTTTGACTTTCTTTAGCTTCTCCATTACTTTCTCCGTGAATAGGGGAGGGGGGCATCTGTGTGGGAGGGGGTCTCCTGCAGTCACATCACTCTGCCTGGTTTTAGATGGAGAGTTTGTTACAAACGTCTGAGTCTTGGTAGTTTTGTTGTAAGCATATTGATAGTCTCATCTTCCTGGGTGTTGCTAAGCTTTCCAGCCTCAGGTTCCGACTATGTAAAATAAGGTTTTTCACCCAAGGGTAAAAAATGCTTTACCAGCTCCAATTCTCACCCTGCAGCTCATCCTTTTTTTTTTTTTTTGAGACAGGGTCTGGCTGTGTAGCCCAGGTTGGAGTGCAGTGATGTGATCTGGGCTCACTGCATCTTCCACCTCCTGGGCTTAAGCTATCCTCTTGCCTCAGCGCCTTCCAAGTAGCTGGGACTACAGGTTCATGCCACCACACCTGGCTAATTTTTGTAGAGACAGGGTTTCACCATGTTGCCCAGGCTGGTCTTGAACTCCTGAGCTCAAGCAATCCTCCTGCCTCTGCCTCCCAAAGTGCTGGGATTATAGGTGTGAGCCACCACGCTTGAACCCTTTTTTCCTTTTATACTGAGAGCTTGCATAATTAGTTCCAATGTACAACTAAGTTTTCATACCATCTTAACTGTAAATTCTATACAAATTCAACAGGACTCAATTATTTACAAAAGCTAATGTGTGACAACTTGATCTTCTTACTTGGAATCTTCCCTTCTAAAATTTGATTTATCCTGAAGTGTCTGCTTGACTTATATCCTGTGTTGCTGCTGGCTTTTTCCATGTGCATTTTTTGCAAGCTGCTCTTTTTACTTCAGTCTCGTTAAGTCTTGCAGTTCTGGCTAGAGGCCTACTGCCATGAATAAGCTGCCGCTCCACAGTGGCTTCTTTGAAGTCTTAGAGTCAGATGAGTTTCACGGTGTTCAGGTTTGTGATCCAGTGTGGCCCCAGGTTCTGGGTAACACGTGTGATGCAGTGCTGTGTGCATACCATGTCGTGAATAACATTCATGATGCAGTGCACATACCGTGTTCAAGTTAACAGTCCTGGTGGCATCTGAAGTAGCACCCTAAAATCAAATGACACAAATTCTGCAGAGAAGCAAGTGAAGTCTAAAAACTGAGTTGGGGTAGTAACGATAAATAGCGTTATGCTAGTTCAGGTTATGTTTTGTTGCCAAATGAATTACAAAAAACTACCAGGTTTCAGGCTTTTATGGGTTTCACGAATGCAGGGGAGGGATCGTGGGTCTGCATTTCTCTTGAGCATCCTTAGGAGAAAGGTGCTTCGTGGCTCAGTGGCTTCCCTTCAGTGAGGCCCTCCCTGGCTGCACTCCTAGCTTGCCCTGCCTCCGCTTCCCCTCCTCTCCCCTCCTCCCCTTATCCTATTCATGTTCTCCGCCACTCAGCACTGGACGCCACCACACGTGCCTTCTTAGTGTAGGGGTGTACCGCCTTCCTCACGGGAGTGTGTGCAGCAGCAGGGCAGGCAGTGTTCCTCCTCCCACAGCACTCAGTGCTGAATGAATGATTGAAGGGATGGATGGGTGGATGAATTTTTTCTGTAACTTTAAAAAAAGTTCTTGAAAAATAAGTTTCTTATGTTTTAACAGTGACAACCATGAGTGGAAAAAACTAATTATGGTTCAGCACTGGCCTGAGACAGTATGCGAGGTGAGTGTTTCTGCCTTGACGGGCCCTGGGGCCTGGGGAGCCCTGTGAAGAGGGGTTTGTGTGCACGTGCCCGTCCAGGGCACCCACGCTGCTGGTGCGGGAGGTAGGCATCGCTCTGGCGGGTGGGCGGTGTCTCCTGCAGAGACTGCCTCCAGGAGGGCTGTGTGTGAGCTTCCCAGGGCTGCTGTAACAAAAGTGCCACAAGCTGGGTGGCTGAGAGCCTCAGGAATTTATTCTCACGGTCCTGGAAGGGGAAGTTTCAACCTAGGGGTCAGAAGGGTTGGTTCCTCCTGGAAGGCTCTGAGAGAGTTTGTTCTGTTTCTCTGCTAGCTTCTAGTAAGGACCCGTGGTCCTCTGCGTTCCTGGGCTGACCCATCACCCCAATCTCTGCCTTCTCCTTCACGGTGTGTTCTCCACTTTGTGTCTCTCTGTCTCTTCTGATGAGGACACCAGTAATTGGATTTAGGGCCCACCCTAATCTGGTATCACCTTTTCTTGATGACATCTGCAAAGACCCTGTGTCCATGTAGGGTCATGTTCACAGATGGGAGGAGGGGTTAGGACAGGGATATATCTTCTGGGAGGACACGGTTCAACCCACAGCAAGCCTCAGTTTGTCTCCTCCCTCTGTGGGCGGCAAGCCACCCAGGTGCCAAGGCAAGAGACCGAGGGCATAAGCTGTTCCAGTATAATAAAGAAAATATATAAAATGAGAACAGTTATACTAGAAATAGATTATAGATATGATGATATATGAATATTATTAATCATCAGTTTGTAGCATTGCTCTTTATTCCAATATTATAATAATCCTTGCTCTACAATTACAGCCTAGGAAAAACCAGGCCATACAGAGATAGGAGCTGAAGGGGCACGGTGAGAAGTGACCAGAAGACAAGTGTGAGCCTCTGTCACGCCCGGACAGGGCCACTAGAGGGCTCTTTGGTCTAGTGGTAACACCAGTGCCTGGGAAGGCAACCATTACTTAGCTGACCTCGGTCTAGTGGTAGCGTCAGTGCCTAGGGAAGGCACCCGTTACTCAGCAGACTGGGAAAGGGAGTTAGAGCAGACTCTGCTTCACCATACCTCTTGTGGATAGGCCTCATATCAGTCAGGCCTGCCCACAGCCATCTGGAGGCCTAACCATCTCCCCGTGATGCTGTGCTTCAGCAGTCACACTGCTGTTTCACTTTCATGTTCCACCCAGTACACCTGGCTCTGCCTTCTAGATAGCAGTAGCAGAATTAGTGAAAGTACTAAAAGTCTTTGAAATGCATAGAAGAAATAATGGCGTAAGCTGGCCTCTCTCTCTCTCCGCCTCCGCTGCCATACAGGGAAGGGCCCTCTGTCCAGTGGACACGTGACTCACGTGACCTTATCAGTCATTGGAGATGACTCACACTCCTTACCCTGCCCCTTTTGCCTTGTATCCAATAAACAACAGTGCAGCCAGGCATTCGGGGCCACTACTGGTCTCCGCGTCTTGGTGGTAGTGGTCCCCTGGGCCCAGCTGTCTTTTCTTCTGTCTCTTTGTCTTGTGTCTTTATTTCTACAATCTCTCGTCTCCACACGAGGAGAAAAACCCACAGTCCCTGTAGGGCTGGTCCCTACATCCCTCCATGTATTGGACATTTTATTAACATGTCCTGTGAGTGAAGAGGACCCAAGAGCTTCCCTGCCTCCTTTGCTGTGCTTGGCACCCATGGCACTCACGGCCCTCCGGGCTGGCCCCTCATCATCTGGCTGCGTTTTGCTCCATGCCCACATCCCTTCAGTGCGTCAGTGTCCAGGCCCTTCTCATTGGAGCACCCAGAGCCAGGACACTGCCTGGATCTGCACCTCAGGGCGTACCCTGCTCGGTGTGTCAAGCTGACCCTGGTGTGCATTGCACACTTCTCAAGTGTTTGACCGTGTTGCTGAGCTAGCACCACATTCTGTCAGGAGCACGCAGGCTTTATGTTTTGCCTCTAGCACTGAGTGGTAGTGACTTTCGCTTCTACTTCCTCACTGATTTTTCTGATGACAAACGAAAATGAAATTTTGCTTATCTGGCTCAAATTATGCTCTTGCTCACTTCTGTACACGAGATTGCCCCGTTTTCAGTTTTGCAGACTTAATGTTGCGCTCCTGCTGCTGTTTCCTTGCCTTGGGTTGGGGCAGTGGACAGAAGGAGCCGGAAGCTGCCTGGCATCAACTTTCAATTGTTGGGAGTGTAGCTGGCATTCTGAGATAGGGAGGGATTGCTGGAGTCCTTGGTTCCTACGGAAGAAGGACCGTGGAGGAGGAGCTGGAACTTAAGCACTGTCTTTGACCCACACTGAAGGATCTGCCTCCAGGGCCTGAGACCAGGCTGCTCTGCATTCAGGGAGGCATTTACATGACAAAACGTGGGTGTGTCCCTGCACACTGAATGTAAATATGGGTGGAGGCACATCTTTGCCTTGAGGCTTTAGAAACAAGATTTAAAAAAAAATCTGTAGCAAAATGTCCTTGTTAAGGAGTGTATTTCCTACTGGGCAGCCATGGTGAAGGGTTCTGTTTGAGCCCAGGTGTCCTCCTAGGCAGTGAGGGCTGTCCCTGGTGCCCCCTCTGATGAGATGCTTGTGTCAAAGATGCTCAGTCTGCCTGTCGGGTTCTCAGTGTTCTGGGCTCTCCCACAGCTCCATGCAGGCAGGCCTGGGAACTGAGTGCTGTGCAGAGCCCTCAGAGCCCCGTGTGGTGCAGGCTTTGCTCTCTGCATTGCCTCCAGGAAAGGAGCCCAGCTTCTGGCTTTGAACTGGGTTCCCTGAGGGATAGAGTTGAGTGGCAGAGGTGAAGTTACAGGTTTTGGCCTCTGACCCTCTTTCTCCAGCACTGAGCAGTAAGGACTTTCTGTTCTACTTCCTCAACTGATTTTTCTGTTGACAAATGAAAATGCAGTTTCACTTATCTGGCTCAGATTATGCCCTTGATCATTTCTTTCTTTTTTTTTTTTTTTTTTTTTTTTTGAGATGGAGTCTTGCTCTATCACCCAGGCTGGAGTGCAGTGGCGCGATCTCGGCTCACTGCAAGCTCTGCCTCCCGGGTTCAAGCTATTCTCCTGCCTCAGCCTCCTGAGGAGCTGGAACTGTAGGAGCCCACCACCACACCTGGCTAATTTTTGTATTTTTAGTAGAGACAGGGTTTCACAGGTTGGCCAGGATGGTCTCGATCTCCTGACCTCATGATCTGCCCACCTCCGCCTCCCAAAGTGCTGAGATTACAGGCGTGAGCCACTGTGCCCAGCCTTTTTTTTTTTTTTTTTTTTTTGGAGACACGGTTTTTTTCTTGTCACCTAGGCTGGAGTGCAATGGCATGATCTCGGCTCACTGAGTTCAAGCAATTCTCCTGCCTCAGCCTCCTGAGTAGTAGTGACTATTAGCGCCTGCCACCACGCCCAGCTAATTTTGTATTTTTAGTAGAGATGGGGTTTCACCAGGTTGGCCAGGCTGGTCTGGAACTCCTGACCTCAGGTGATCTACCCGCCTTGGCCTCCCAAAGTGCTGGGATTACAGGCATTAGTCACTGCGCCTGGCCCATAAAAACACCTGTTTCTGTTAAGTCAAATATTTGAGGAATGGCTTAACAAAAATGGCTGTTTCTGTTAAGTCAGTTGTTTGACGTTTGGCTTAGAACATCCAGCCCTAGTGTAGCTTCCTCATGGATGTGTTGTTGTAAGCAATGTATTGTGAAGTAGCCCTGGCTTTAGCTTGTGTTATTAGTGCAGTACCTGTATCTCGTTGGCATATGTTGCAACTAGCTGCTAAATGTATTTTAATAGGGTTCCTAAGTGTATTTGAATAAACAAAGAGCCAATCATTTTCTTGTTATATTTTCTCCCTAGAAAATTCAAAACGACTGTAGAGACCCTCCGGATTACTGGACAATACATGGACTATGGCAAGTGTCTCACACAATTAAATCTTAGGCAGAAGAGGCTTGCTGACTGGGAACCCTAGCTTGAATGTGGTCTTAATATTTATTCTTGTTTTTTATTTTTAGGAGTTTATCCAATAGACTAGATTCTTATTTAAAAATATCTTTAGTCTTTCTAGCAGAACCCTGATTCTCTTGTTCTTTAATTCTGTCTTCATAGAACAATAACACTTTTTTTTTTTTTTTCTGAGACAGAGTCTTACTCTGTTGCCTAGGCTGAAGTGCAGTGGCACGATCTTGGCTCACTGCAACCTCCACCTCCCAGGTTCAAGTGATTCTCCTGCTCCAGCCTCCCAAGTAGCTGGAATTGCAGGCACGCCCCACCACACCCGGCTATTTTTTGTATTTTTAGTAGAGACAGGATTTCACCATGTTTGTCAGGCTGGTCTCGACCTCCTGACCTCAGGTGATCCATCCACCTTGGCCTCCCAAAGTGCTGGGATTACAGGTGTGAGCCACTGTGCCCAGCCAATAACACTTTTTAAAATAGTGTTTACAGATTCTCGGTACATGTCAGGGTCACTACATTTTAATTTTCTCATTTTGTTCTTCTCTTGGGGTTTATTATAAATAACTACATGAAAATACATAAATGCACGTCTCGTACACATTTCAGAGACACTCAAATTTATTATTCTGGTTTTGTCTGCGTTTTGTTCAGTTAATTCTTTTCTATGTAACATGGACATACTTGTGACGCTGAACTGTGCACATTAATCGCCCCATCTGAAGGACCCGTTTTGTCCCACTGCCTCGATGCCGGGATTGAAAAGGGCCCTTTTAGCTTAATTGGTGCCTCCTGGCTCCTTAGGAAGAGGGATTGGTGGAAAACAAGTTAAACTGGGATGTAGGTACTTGGCTTCGGGTTTCACTTTCTTCTCTGTCTGGTCAGATAACCTTGACCTCCTGTCTCTGGGGCTCCTGGCTTTGCTAGACTTTGCGTGGTGTCCTCTCCCCTGCTGTGACCAAGTGCTCTGAATGTACCTCTGCCCATCATGGCCGTTTCATTTCTGAGGCTGGAATGAAGCTTTGCAATGCTGTCCAGTCCAGCGGATAGAATCAGGCAGGTTTCACATGCTGGTCCAGCTGTTGACCCTGAAGACACTCTCCTCCCTGGCCTCTTTGGGGCTCTGAGGGGTCGGGGTCTTAGGAAGTTAGTGACCTTGTGGAGTAAGCAGCACTCAAGAGTCAGAGTTGATAAGTCCAGAATTAGATGTGTGAGGATGGAGTTAAAGTTCTAGACAGTGTAAGTGCGTTTGCTACTGAAAATGAAATGAAAATCCTACTAGCTGATCTTCTGCCATACGCCAGGCACTTTCTGACATGTTTTATCTGTCATCTCCTGGAGTCCTCCTCACCATTGAAAGGAACAGACTCTCGCTGTTCTCATGCTGGATCTGTGGTGCGGAGATTGGCCGGGGGTCAGCTTACTTAGGTCTCGGTGCTAGGGAGCAGCAGAGGTTGCCGTCAACCCAGCCGGGGCTGACCCCAGAGTCCCCGCTCCTCGGTGCTACTAGGCTATCCATTGCACTTCCTTTACTAAGCAGTGGCCTGTCTGCATTACTCCTGGACGGTTTAACACAATTTCTTTTCCCTTCTAAAGAAATTTGAACTCTGACTCCTCTTACCTGCATCTTCTTTCTTAAGCATCCTGCCTGGGATAAGGAATTCCCAATTAGAATTTCTCTTTTTATTCTTTGCAGACTTCAATGAAAGTGTTTTCTAAGGTCATGTAGAAGCCACCCCAACCAAGCCTAATATTTCTTATTTTCTCTTTTAAATTTGAATTTCCAGGCCCGATAAAAGTGAAGGATGTAATAGATCGTGGCCCTTCAATTTAGAAGAGATTAAGGTATTGACTTTTAATTATATTTCTACTGCAGAGTGTTGACCTAGATTAACTCTTTTCTTCACAAGCGTACCTTCAAAGTCATCTTTAAAATTAAGGGGTCATGAATGTATTCACCAGGATTGAGCCCTTGCTGCTGTTTTAGTAAGTATTGTTATCTCGACCCCACAAATTACACCAATTGACCTTTTCCCTCTCCTCCCCTCCCCTGCCCTGTGCCCAAGCCACTGCATGAGGGGCCTGAGCGAGGGGCTCCGACCGGAGCAAGCCCTGACACTCCCCCATGCCAGACCTGTGCAGATCCTGACGCTCGCCCGCCAGCCCCGCCTCGTCCCAGGCCCCAGGACTTCTGGGTCAGATGACCGACGTGGGAATCTGGTCGGTGTGCCATATCGCCAGGCATCTCCAGACAGCTGAGGCTCAGAGAGCACAGGCCTGGGGCCGTCCTATCTGGTGGATGGGTTTCTGAGCAGGTGGACATGCTGGGCCTTTCCAGTACAAGAGCTTGATTAAAGAAAACTCACAGGGCGGGAATTTATTAGAGATACTAGCAGAGGCGTTCCTTTGAGATACCCGTACCTTATATGTCATACGGAGTCTTCACTCACACACACGCCCTCATCTTTCCTTAGGGGTGCCAACAGTTCCTGTGTGTAACCAGTATATACCAGGGTAACTGGACCTGGACCCCAGGGAGGGGGTGGTAACTGAGGCCTTCTTTAAAACGTGTGGTAGCATTGAAGGCTTGCGGGAGTTGTGGGTCTTTCCTAGGAATGGTACATTCCCCAAGGTCATTAGTTGCAAATCCATCACAAGTTCTTTTTTTCTTTTCTTTTCTTTTTTTTTTTTTTTTTGAGACAGAGTTTTGCTCTTGTTGCCCAGGCTGGAGTGCAGTGGCGCAATCTTGGCTCACTGCAACCTCCACCTCCCGGGTTCAAGCAATTCTCCTGCCTCAGCCTCCTGAGTAGCTGGGATTACAGGCATGCGCCACCATGCCCGGCTTATTTTGTATTTTTAGTAGACATGGGGTTTCCCCATGTTGGTCAGACTGGTCTCGAACTCCTGACCTCAGGTGATCCACCTGCCTCGGCCTCCCAAAGTGCTGGGATTACAGGTGGGAGCCACCGCGCCCAGCCCACAAGTTCTAATCCATATGGAATTGTTTTCTTTTTCCTCCCCGTGAAGACCTTCAGTGGGATGAGCCAAGAGGCTGGGGACTGCCGTGAGACTTAGAAGGGACACCCCAGAGCCTGGTGCTGTCTCTAGCTCCTCACACAGACTCTCCTCCTCTCCTCCGGGACTCACTGCAGGGAATGGTTTCTGGGGAGGCGTGATGAAGAGGCCACTTCAGGATACATTGAGTTTGAAGTGCCCTTGAGACCTCCAGGGGGTGACATAGAGGATCTTCAGGGTCAGAGGAAAGGTGGCTTTAGGCATAGTTAGCATGAGGATGGTGAATCAAAATGACAGGTGTGGGGATGGACATGGGTCTGTGGACATGGATGGGTGAGGAGTCAGGGCCGACAGGTGTGGACGTGGGTGGATGAGGGGGCAGGGCTGACAGGTGTGGACGTGGATGGGTGAGGGCAGGGCTGACAGGTGTGGACGTGGGTGGGTGAGGGCAGGGCTGACAGATGTGGACGTGGGTGGGTGAGGGCAGGGCTGACAGGTGTGGACGTGGGTGGGTGAGGGCAGGGCTGACAGGTGTGGACGTGGGTGGGTGAGGGCAGGGCTGACAGGTGTGGACGTGGGTGGGTGAGGGGGCAGGGCTGACGGATGTGGGTGGGCTAAGGGGACAGCGCTGACAGGTGTGGGCCTGGTGGGCAGAGGGGACAGTGCTGGTGGAGCCCCGTGTTAACAGCCAGGTGGAAAGGGGCATGTGTGCCTGCAGCTGGGAAAGGCGGAAACCCAGGAGTGGAGAGATTTGAGAAGAGGCACCGTAGGACTGCATATCCCCGGGGGGTCCAGGACAGGAAAGCTGAAATGCTTTTTGAGTGGGGGCGTGGGTGGGTCGTGGGTCTGTGGTGGTGTGAGCCGCTGCTCCTCAGAGTAGTCCTGGCTTCCTTGTTGTGTAGCAGTAGGAACACCTTTGCATTGTCCCAAACGGAAGTAGCCCAATTTGCACACTCAATCATATCGTGCCCTAGGACATCTCGGAGAGCTGATGGGGCTGAAGCCAGCATGGTGGGGCAGGAGAGGTGGGGTGGGGGGCTGGAGGGGAAGAGGAGGGGGACAGAGCTGCGCCCACACAGGCAGGGGCTGTGGGGTAGGGGCTGAGTTACAAATGGGCTGAGAAAAGGACCCTCATATAGGGTGCTGGAAAACAGGAGAAAGGGAAGGAAAGTGAAGTTATCCGAAGTTTGTTAAGCACCTTTTTACTGACCTTTTTGGGGTTTTTTTGGTGTAGAGGGTGTGTAGAAATAGAAAAGTAAACTCCAGTTCTGTTGGATTTAGCGCGACTGGTGCCCAGGCTGCCCAGCTCACACAAGCTCTTCTCTGGGAAAAGGAGAGCTTGTCCTTTGTTTGTTTGTTTGTTTTAACTGATGGTTTCGTTTTGTTTTTTTTTAAGATGGAGTCTCACTCTGTCGCCAGGCTGGAGTGCAGTGGCGCAATCTCGGCTCACTGCAACCTCCGACTCCCTGGTTCAAGCGATTCTCCTGCCTCAGCCTCCTGAGTAGCTGGGATTACAGGCATGTGGCACCGTGCCCAGCTAATTTTTGTATTTTTAGTAGAGACAGGGTTTCACCAGGTTGGCCAGGATGGTCTCGATCTCCTGACCTCGTGATCCGCCCGCATCGGCCTCCGAAAGTGCTGGGATTACAGGCGTGAGCCACCGTGCCCGGCCAATGTTTTTAGAACAGTTATAGGTTTACAGAAAAATTGGATGGAGATTACAGACAGTTCACTCCCTTCCCCCTCAACTCTCCCAATCATTAACATCTTCTATAGTGTGTTACATTTGTTACAATTAATGAACTGATACTGATACTTTATTATTAAATAAAGTTTAGCATTAACATTAGGGTTTACTCCTGTGTTGTGCGGCTTTGGACAAATGCAGGAGAGCAAGTCCCACCCAGTGTGCTCTGGAGCAGCCGCTGGCCCTAAACCCCCTGAGCCATACCTCCCCTTCTTCCTCCCCTTGAACCCCCAAGCAACCGCGAATCTCATTCCTGTCTCTTAAGACTACCTTTTCCAAATTGTCACGTCGTTGGAATCATACAGTATGTAGCCTCTGCAGACTGGCTTCTTGCACTTAGCAATGTATGTTTGCAGTTCCTCCAGTGTCTTTTCATGACTCGACGGCTCATTGGTTTTTGTTGCTGAAAATATTCCATTGTTTGGATGTACACTTTATCCCTTCACCTATAACAGCTTGTATTTTCGTGTGCAGTTTTATGATTACTCAAATTGCACTTGTAGATATATCTTAACAAACACTTCATACAAAATAAGCATAGGATTATTTTATTCACCAAAGTATTGTTAATTAGCAGAGCTCAATTCTTTGGTGTCAGTTTATCAAATTTACCTTCTAGGTTTTGAGTTTATTATTAAGAACCTGCGTAGACTTATTTTATTTTTTAATGCATAGGATCTTTTGCCAGAAATGAGGGCATACTGGCCTGACGTAATTCACTCGTTTCCCAATCGCAGCCGCTTCTGGTAAGTCCCAGCCTCTGATTGCTGTCTTGATTACTGTCTGAGCGGGTGTGGGGAGCGTGATGAATCGCTAGAAGTGGAAACTGTGTGGGAAGCAAGATAACAGAATCTGTCTTCTGGGGCTGAGCAGTTTGAACAACCTTTTATGAGATATGATTCTGTTACGGCATTTTTGGTGCCTTTCTCCAATGTATAAAAAATTGAAAGCAAGTGGAATTTACCATATAAGCCTGTTTTCTAACCTGTATGGTATTTATTACTTTGCTTTAAAACTTTTCTCGGCCAGTCACAATGGCTCGTGCCTGTAATCCTAGCACTTTGGGAGGCTGAGGCGGGTGGATTGCTTGAGCTGAGGAGTTTGAGACCAGCCTGGTAACATGACAAAATGCCACCTCTACCAAAAATTTAAAAGGTCAGCTAGATGTGGTATTGTGCGGCTGTGGTCCCGGGAGATCAAGGTTGCAATGAGCTGTGATCAGCTGGGGTGATAACTAGCCTAGGTGACAGGGTGAGACCCTGTCTCAAAAACAAAATAAAGATACAAATTTTCTCTTCTGAGGCTTAACAAAGTCCAATGCTTGCATATCTAAGAATTAGTCCATATCAGACAGGAGAGAATATTTCTTAAGGAAATTGTGCTCCTGTCTTCAAATACATTAAGAAAAAAGAGACCAGGCACAGTGGTTCACACCTGTAATCCCAGCACTTTGGAAGGCCAAGGCAGGTGGATCACTTGAGGTCAGGAGTTCGAGACCAGCCTGGCCAACATGGCAAAACCCCATCTCTACTAAAAATACAAAAATTAGCTGGGCATGATGGCGTACGCTTGTAATCCCAGCTACTTGGGAGGCTGAGGCAGGAGAATCAATTGAATTCAGGGGATGGAGGTTGCAGTGAGCCGAGATTGCACCACTGTACTCCAGCCCGGGCAACAGGGCAAGATTCCATCTCAAAAAAAAAAAAGAAGATGTCTTCTAAAATGATGATCTCATGCCTATGACTTAGGGAGGAGAGAAAGTGAGACTTAGCATGTGAGGCTGAGACCTCAGTCATAGTGAAGCACCTTTAAGTTCAGCAGAAGCTAAGCCTAGGGCATAAACGCCATGTTGAATTCAAGATAGCTTTTAAAATCCTGGCTTTTTTAAGAACATAAAGTTAAATTCCTTGTATTAACATTATATTAACTGAAGGTAATTATTTTCTCTATCCCACTTCAATATTGCAATTTATAATTCAGATTACAACCCATCAAATTTTAGGTGGGAAGATTAACCTAGAAATATTTTTGTGTATAATTTTCAGGAAAATTAAAAGTTAAGTTTAGAAGAAAGCTTTTGAAAACAAAATGAAATGGAAGTGATGTCCCCCTTTCTGGTTCATCGGTGTGGCAGTGAAGTGGCCTTAGGATTCATGGACCCTCAGTCTGTGCGTTGAATCACCCTTGAAAATTCGGGTGGTGAATGGTTCAGGTCTCAGTCACCTGTTCTGCACAGCCTGTGTTCTAGAAAATTATTTCAAAATAATGGCCATGATAAGTTGGAATGGAAGAAGATAGGAAAAAAAATTATATGTCACTTCACAGTGTACTTCAGATGATGAGTTTATGGTAACTGAGTTATGTGAAAGAGAATTTTTCCAGTTGTTACAATGTTCCATGATAGAGTCTGTCAGATTTTAGCTAAATGGCTTAAAATAAATCAGCAAACATGCAAAGGCCTTCAGTGAGCTGGGTCTTGAGCATTTAATCAAAACAGTGTGGGCACAGTATGCATTTATTTTTGGGCTCTGATAAAGGCAAGATGACTTACTTTAAATTTTCAGGTTGATAGTTGAATTACACACTTAAAAAACTGGTTCTAAATGAAAAAGATAAATCTCACACACAAATTAATATTTATATTTTTGAGTGCTCCTAAATACAAAATATCAGCTAGGGAGGAGCTCCTGTCTGGGCTGTGTCACCCAGTCCTGTGCCTATCACTCAAGTCACCTGACTAACTCCATGGGGGTTGGCCTCTGGCTTCTCCACCTCTGCTCCTTGGGCAGGGGAAGGTGTCACAGCACTGCTGTGGAATGTGTCTTTGGGCATAACCAGCCCCGAGGACTGGCTGCCTGTTGTGGCCGAGCGGGCTGGGTGACAGTGGGTGGGTGAGCCTGGGACATCCGCTCCTGGCTGCATCTGCTCTTGGTGGGTGAGTCAGGGTGTCTCTCAGCACAGAGGGCAACACGCTGAGTCACTTCGCATTGGTGACTGACCGTTCTGATGCTTAAAAAAAAAAGGTCCAGTCCAAATGAAGTGTGAGTGAATGCTGTGAGCTCCATGAATATCAATCTATTTCCAACATCTGTTGAGTTAAGCTTGCTCCAGGAATAATGATGGCTGACATTTACTGTTTATTGTGAGCCAGGAACTGTTTTCATTCATGTGGAAGGGCTCAGCACACCTCATCTCACCTGCAGAATTACCCCTGTTTTATAGAAACTAAGTCACCTGGAATTCAGGTTACATTTCAATTAGTTTAAAATAATCTCCTTTTTCTACCTTATAGGATATAGGAAGTTATCAGGTAATTTGCTCTGGAAAGGCTTCTAGATGAAGACAGTTACTCATCCACTTTCATCGTTCCTGTTTTCAACTTTTCATCATTTTCTGAGAGTTAAATCAATAGGAATTATTTAAAACTAGTATTTTGGATGAATTTTGCCAGTGAATTAATGCACATTTAGATTGTGTTTTTAAGACTGCATATAAGTGCTTTATAAGTGGTTGCATGAATGTTATTTATTAAAACTTCATGAATTCATCACCAATAAAGCTGAGGAAATCTGATTCCCATTTTGTCTTTTCATGCTAAAGATGATAAACATCTGATGACACGCCAGTCATTCTGAAGGTGGCTGTCAATCTCGTCAGCAGTTGATTGGATGACAGCCCAGTGCAGTGGGAAGGGCGCTGACCTTGGACTTGAGCGTGGCCTTCAAGGGCAGGCTCTGAGTGACCTTCAGCAAGTCCCCTGGCCCTTCTGGGCTTCCATTCCCTGTCTGTAAACTAGCAGTGATATTTCCGCCTTGCAGAGTTTTGAGAACCAAACGAAGAACGTGAAAGATTTTTGTAAACCTTTAATCTGCAGTAAAATATCAGGAATCATTCTCAGTGACCACATTTTTCTGGAATACAAATTGCTGTTCACGTGCAGCCCTTTAGTTATAGGCTATTCAGTTGTTCTTATTGTCCTCTATGTAGAATGGATGCTTAAACTATAATTTGTAGAAGCTGAAATGGAAAATGGGCCTGAGGTGTTTCCTGGTAATTAGCTGTCCTGCCTTTCCATGGCTGGTTGCTTAGAAATGACAGTTTGTGCCACTCTGCGAAATTCCCTGACTGCAAAGCACCCACTCACTGCAGGAGACCACACGTTGCTTTGTGAATCAGTGGGGGTTGGGGCAGCAGCATGTTCTTTTTTCTCAGCTTTGATTTGTTGTTAATTGAGCAAGCTGTAATTGTAGACGTGAACTGAAACTGATTATTTAATCGTGGGGGATTGAAATAATTGCCTATGTTGCAAATAAGGAATTTTATCCTTCCTACTTTGTAAAAGAAATGACATGCCTACCACATGGGAATAGTCTGTGCTGAGAGAAAACATGCTTGAGCATTTTAATTGGGAATCAGTTTCATTACTTTTTTTTTGAGATGGAGTTTGTCTCTTGCCCAGGCTATAGTGCAATGGCATGATCTTGGCTCACTGCAACCTCTGCCTCCCGGGTTCAAGCGATTCTCCTCCTCAGCCTCCTGAGTAGCTGGGATCTCAGGCACCTGCCACCACACTCGGCTAATTTTTTTGTATTTTTAGTAGAGACAGTTTCACCATGTTGGTCAGGCTGGTCTCAAACTCCTGATCTCAGGTGATCCACCCCCTTCAGCCTCCCAAAGTGTTGGGATTACAGGCATGAGCCACTGCACGCAGCCTGTTTCACTACTTTTAAGTGGAGATTTTTCCTAATCCTCACAGGAAGCATGAGTGGGAAAAGCATGGGACCTGCGCCGCCCAGGTGGATGCGCTCAACTCCCAGAAGAAGTACTTTGGCAGAAGCCTGGAACTCTACAGGGAGCTGGACCTCAACAGGTGGGTGCGCCCTTCCCCCGGCTGCACTTCCCAGTGGGGATCTCTGCTGTCGCCCAAGCCTGACAGCTGGATCCAGGGGAGTGGGTGTAGACCTCACTGCCCTCCAGCAGCTTCTGCATGTGCACTATTCGGCTACTGGGATCATTCCTGAGGAATGTTCTGAGCCTACCAAGCCTTTCCAGATCATTCTACATCACGATCACACAGAGTGGGTGCAGAGTATTGGGATGCCCATCTGGGCACCATCTCATCATCAGAGTCGGCCATAGGGAAAACGAGGACTCCAACCAGCATGTGCCGTTCTCAGCCATGATTCCTGATAAAGGATAGTGCATTAATAAGTCGTTTCCTTAGAAAGACGGAAACTCTGGAAGTCTGTAGGTCTTTGCCGCAGAACTCCTGGAACAAGCAGGCAGGAAAGAGATGTGGGCCAGGGTTCTTTAAGCCCCAGAAATGACCCCAACCTGCCTAAATCGTCCCTGCCTGCCCTCACCTCTATTCTTGAGAAGTGGAATACGTTGTCCCACTTGAGCCAGTTGACTTGTAAAGCAAAGTGCCTTCTGAGCGCCACACCGAGCCCACTCACTGTCCGAATCTGGTTGCTAGAGAGCCAGGGTGTGCCCTTACCTCTCCGTCGGGACGTTTCAGGGTGTCAGCGTCTTAGCTGCTCTCACTGACCTTCATCATAAGAGGTCATAATAAACCAGTGAAGTCGTGAAAAACATGACAGGCAATTGCACAGCCTCTGTGTTGCTGCTTTTGGAATTCACGCAGCTTGTTTTAGAGCAATTCTCCTTCAAATCAGAATAATACCAGGAGCCTTAGCTAATCAGCTGTATTTAAGGTTTCTGAATCAAAACTGCTTAAAAGATGAATAAACCTCCATTGCTTATCTAGACATGTGCTTTGCCTCCTCAACGTACAAAATCGTCTCACACAGATGGTCTCCTGTGTCATCTGATGAAACGCAGTCTAACAGCTGCAACTTGGGTGGGATAGAGCTCAGGCACTGATAGAAGAGGGGCTTGGCACGGTTAGCGGGGATCAAGATTACATCAAAGAATGCCCTGTGAATAAACTTCTTTAAAAATCACCTCCCAGAGCGCGTGGCATTAGGTGTGCCTTTTCATCCTGGTTCTGACACTAACTAGTTGTACAATTTGTGTATCTAACCTCTAGCTCTTTTTTCCATGCTGTGAAATAAATGGATAGGTTGCCCTCAACCCTGAAGTCTCTTCCAGCTCTTAAAATCTGCACTACCAGGTATATACACTAAGAAACGTACACAGACCTATACACTTTGATTTGTATATAGTTTGTGTATATAATTTGATCTATGTAATTTAATCTTAGGTTTTTAATAAAGGAAGCATTGCTTTCTTGCAGTAAGAGCAATATTTTAGGAAACATTTTCTCACCTAACAAATGTAGCTAATTAGCTGTTCAGAAATCATTATGGGCCATGTGTGGTGGCTCATGCATGTAATCCCAGCACTTTGGGAGGCTGAGGTGGGTGCATCACCAGAGGTCAGGAGTTCAAGACCAGCTTGGCCAACATGGTGAAATCCCATCTCTACTAAAAATACAAAAATTAGCCAGGTGTGGTGGTGCATGCCTGTAATTCCAGCTACTCGGGAGGCTGAAGCAGGAGAATGGCTTGAACCCAGGAGGTGGAGGTTGCAGTGAGCTGAGATCGTGCCATTGCACTCCAGCCTGTGCGAAAAGAGCAAAACTGTCTCAAAAAAAAAAGTCATTATGAGGATTAACCAAGAGAGTGTCTTAGGTAGCTCCTGGAGCACAGGAGACTTGCAGTTAAAAAGAAAGTCTGACATTGCTGAAAGACTGGCAGGGTAGGACCCACTTTGGAGATGACAAGAAAGATGCCCTCTGTTTCAAAACAGGGGTCTCACAGTCCTGACCCTGCTGCAGAGTGCTGGTGTTTTCCAGGCTGACTCCATAAACCAGTTCATTTAATCAAACAGAGAAAGGATAAATGGATACTACTGAAAATTTTAAAATCAATCATCTAAATAATTCATCTCTGTATCCAACAAATAGTTTATTAAGTGGCTCCTACTTACACTCGTTGAAACTCAGTAGCTTTCCTGCTATGGTTTGGATGTGGTTGGTTTATCCCCACCAAATCTCATGTTGAAATTTGATCACCAGTGTGGAGGTGGGAGGTGTTTGAGCTGCGGGGAAGGATCCCTCATGAGTAGGTTAATGCCCCCTTGCAGGGGTGAGCGAGTTCCCACTCAGTTCCCCAGAGAGCTGGTTGTTAACAGGAGCCTGGCACCGCCCCCAACCCCTGGCTTCCTCTCTGGCCATGTGATCTCTGTACACACCAGCTCCCCTTTGCCTTCTGCCATGAGCGGAAGTTTCCTGAGGCCCTTGCCAGAAGCAGAATCTGGTTCCATGCTTCTCGGACAGCCTGCAGACCCCTGAGCCAAAAAAACCTCTTTTTTTAAATAAATTACCCAGCCTCAGGTATTCCTGTATAGCGACACTAGACAGACTGAGACACACACACACACACACACACACGACACATGCAAAACTCTAAGTCCTGGAGTTCCTGTGGGGATTCAGCAGAGCCCAGTGCTGCCCTGCCATTGCTGTAGATGGGAATGGTGCGTCCTCCATTCATTCATTCATTCATTCATTCAGTAAATGTTCACTGAGGGCCTGCCAGGGCAAAGCACTACTGAGAGTATGTTTGCTAAAACCTATAAAGAACAATTATAGGAAAATTATATTCTTAGTTTCTCCAAGGGAAATCTATAATTCTTAGTGCCTTCATTTTAATCTAAAAATTAAATTAAGAAGTCAAAATTTAAGACCCCTCATTTTTCCTTGTAAACTGGTATCACAAATTATCTTTTTCTCATAGGTTGGCTTTTCAAATTATCATAAACTGGAACAGGCTGGGCACAGTGGTTCACGCCTGTAATCCCAACACTTTGGGAGGCCAAGGCGGGTGGATCATGAGGTCAGGAGTTCATGAACAGCCTGGCCAACATGGTGAAACCCCCGTCTCTACTAAAAATACAAAAATTAGCTGGGCATGGTGGTGCACGTAATCCTAGCTACTCAGGAGGCTGAGGCAGGAGAATCTCTTGAAACCAGGAGGCGGAGGTTGCAGTGAGTCGAGATCGCACCACTGCAGTCCAGCCTGGGCCACAGAGCAAGACTCTGTGTCAAAAAAATAAAATAGAATAAAAAATTGTAGCTTGTTTTTCTTCACTTCATAATATGAAGGCAGCAAACCTGAAAAACCACAAATCATCTTGAAGCAAAGTTGTCAGGGTTCCCATAGACACAGATGAGCTGATGGCACGTGCTAGAGTACCCACAGATAAAGACCTGGGATGCGTGCCAAGCTCATCTCAACTCAGCAGAAAGCATGATGCTGGGTTAGGTGCTGCATTTCCCCACATCTTTCTCTCTTTGCCGTATTCCCTTGATCACCCAAGTCAGGAGCATGCTACCCAATAGACGTGTAACACGAGCCACAGATGTCATTTTAAATTTTCTAGTAGCATCATTAAAAGGAGCAAAAAGAAACAGGTTAAATTAATTTCAAAAATATTTTATTAAACTCAATATATCAAAAATAGGATCATCGAAACTTAGGATAAATATTAAAAAATTAATAAGCTAGTTTACATTTTTTTTTTTTAACTGCAAAGTCTGAAACCTGTTATTCATACAACACCAACAGCTAGGGTAGGCGAGGTCCTGTGGGTTCGGGCCATGATGGGGCTGAAAGGACCCTGGTCCGGCATCTCGGTCCTTGTTCCAGGAACTCTGTGGCCAAGACAGTCTGACAATAAGTTATTGCCCACAGAGGATGTCTAAGTCTTTGTGTCCACTCTGTGATCGTGATCTAGAATTTTCTACCAAGGCTTGATGGGGAACTAGGATATTCTTCTGCAATGATTCAGAATTTTACAGTGTACCTTTATACTTTAATAAGTGAATTCTATATATGGTAGTTTGGTAGGATTCTGTGTAGAAGTGCTTTAGGAGGTGATTGAAAGCTGTAGGGACTTACCATACGGTTATGTATTGCTTGGTGATGGGGTATAAAATTGTCATGTGAACATCTTGGAGTGCACTTACTTAGCTGATACAGCCCACGACACACATATGCTTTGTGGTATAGCCTGTTGCTTCGAGGCTACAAACCTGTACAGTGTGTGACTCTACTGAGTACTGTAGGCACCTGTATGTAACACAATGGTAAGGATTTGTGTATCTAAACATATCTCAACATAGAAAAGGCACAGTAGAAATGTGGTCATATGGGACCGCCCTCGTACATGCAGGCCTTCACTGACTGAATGTCGTAATGTGGCGCATGACTGTGTTTAAAGATTTGTCCAAATGCAGTTTACCAGGATAAGCCTGGAATCCGATTTCAATTGCTGTCTTTTAAAGCAGGTGTGGCAAACGGGTGGTGATGTGTGTGCCAGCTCCACTCGGTGGTGGCCCCAGCGCTCCCATGCTCCGAAGGAGTCAGGAACTGGAAAGGGTACCTGCCTGGAGCAGTTTGTGTGTGTGCTAAGGGGTGGGGAAGGCGGGGACTGGGAACCATGTATTTGCAGTCCATGTTGACACATTTGTTGCATAAAGTCATAGAAAACACTTTCCTTTAAGAGTGTCTTAATTTTTACCATGAAATATGATACCTGAAAAGAACAAGAAAGCAAAGTGGACCTTCATTATACAGCTAACTTTTTTAAATTTAAATTTTAGTGTGCTTCTAAAATTGGGGATAAAACCATCCATCAATTACTACCAAGTAAGTCTTGCTTTTGCTTCTTTTCTCGTGTGTCTCTCCCGGGGACCTCCAGTAGGGCCGTTTCAGCCTCTGAGTCAATGGGCTGTAAATTGCCCCAGTGCAAACCCCCTTCCTACTTAAATGTTATCATGTGAACAGATTTTATTTGCATTTTATTTTCCTGCGCATGTTGAGTAGGAGCTGAAGGCTGCTTAGACCAGTGATTTGGAAGCACAGATTTCATGGCTCCCTTTGTGAGAAGTGTGTGCTCCAGGGTCCGGCAGAGCAGGTGGAATCTGCAGTTTCAAGAGTCACATTCACTTTTATAACGTAGTCTTATATTTGTTTGTGGTTTGTTTTCATGATAAAATTGTGATTTGTTTTATGATAAAAGAAACTATAGATATTTAAGCATGACAAGATGTTATTAGCTGGTAAGCATATACAAAAAGTTGCTTTTTGCCAGGTGTGGTGACTCACGCCTATAAATCCCAGGACCTTGGGAGGCTCAGGCTGGAGGATTGCTTGTGGCTAGAATTTCGAGACCAGCCTGGGCAGCAGAGTGAGACCTCTAGAAAGAAGTAAAAGTAGCTGAGCATGATAGTATGTGTCTGTGGTCTCAGCTATTCAGGAAGCTAAGGTCAGAGGATTGCCTGCGCCCAGGAATTTGAGGCTGCAGTGAGCCATGGTCGCCCCACTGCACTCCAGTCTGGGCGACAGCCAGATCACGTCTCTTTAAAAAAAAAAGAAAAAGTAGTTGTTTTCAACTCTTGGTTGCCTGTTTTTGTAAACAAAATTGTACTCCTTTGTTACCTGGGGATGCTTGTGCTCCCATGGTGTAGCTGCAGTAGGGACCGATGTGTCATCCACAAATCCCGGGATATTTACGACGTGGACCTTTACGGAAAATGTTTGCAGACTCTTGCCTTAGAGAAAGGTATCAGATTCTTTGAGATAGTTTTCGTATTTATCACAGGTTGTGGATTTAGAAAAAGGTTGAAAGTCACTGATCTTAGTAGTTCTGGGGCGATGGCTGGATGTTGAACAATTATTTTGGTATCTTGACTGTTTGTGAAATAAATTGGCAACAGTGTCTTTGCTCTCATGGTGTCTGCTTACCTGTGCAGCCATTTTTCCAGAGTGTGGGGAGCAGTGGACTTGAGGAAGGAGTCTACCAGCCCTTTCCAGACTCCCCCTCAACCCCAACCCCAGGAAGCCGTAAGATGATCGCTTGCAGGGCCCTCACCGTCCTCACCTGGACTCATGTGCGAATAGATGAGGGACATGTGCCTGCCATGTTTGCCCAGAGCTCGGTGTTCAGGGAACTGATTACAGGGGTGGCAAAAGCCACAGGGGCCACACATTTGCTGAGCTGCTTCCAGGTGCGAACGGCGCTTGTTTGGGCATCAGAAACAGCACGGTGGATACTCGGAGTCCTGTCCTTTGAAAGGAGTTTGATTTATCATCAGGAGAAATTTGTTGCTTTTGCATCCAGCATCCAGCCACGTATCCACTCATCTGTTTTATGGGGAAATCAGGGCTGCGGGAGCACCCAGGAGAGCTGCCGACCCAGACATTTCCTGGGAAATGCGTTGCTGAGATGGAGGCCTGCAGCCTGCCCAGGCCCTGAGGGGAGTGGTTCAGTGGAGCAGAGCTGGGGGCTGGGGGCTGGGAGATATGGGACCAGTTGCTTCTTGAGGGGGCTCAGGGGCAGAGCAGGAGGGTTGGGAAGGGGCCGGGTGGGAGCCATAGACATGAGGACCTCATCCTCCAGCAGCGCTGAGCTCTGAGTAGGCCGGGGTGTTTGCTTGTTGCTGTCCCCGTGGTACTGGGGAGAGGCTAGGCACAGAGACCCTCCGAGTAGGTCACATGCTGGGGGAATCTGGGCCTATGGCTATGCAGCTGGAGAGGAAGGGATAGTGTGGGGAGCTTGGACTTGGCCGTTTGGGACAGGGGGATGGGAGAGGCAGAGGTCCTGCCTCAGGCCTCCATAGGAGTGACATTTGCTGGTGTCAGAAGCTTGGCAAGAGGGGAGGATGATCAGACCCTGCATGGACAGTTCGAATTGGAGCTCTCTGCAGAGTCCAGGAAGAGAGGTCTGGATGGGAGGGAAGCCATGGGGTGGAAAAGATAGCTTCCAATGGAAGGCAGTGAAAACTCGCCATAAGTGAAGGAGAAGAAGGAGGCCAAGGAGATGGGGCAGGAATGGCAGCCGGCAGCCAGGCGGTCAGTGGAGCAGGTGCTCAGGAGGCCCACAGGAGAGCTTCGTGGAAGGAGTGGACAGTGTCTGAGGCAAGGGGCAAAAGGCATCTGCTGGAGCTGGTGACCCCAGCTTGGTGCCCCCCAAAGCCAGAGTACGAGGCTGAGAGGATGCAGGTGTCCTCCTAGGAGGTTTGAGTCAGAAGGCACGAGGCAGAAGCAGTGGGGGAGGACTCCCTCAGTAGAGCGAGGAGGAGGCCCCTCATCCAAGAGGAGGTTGGAGCACAGGGGGGTCTAGGTTTGCAGTTTCGGGACCGGTAGCTGAGGGGTCCCAGGGCCTTTCTTCTGTGAAGGAGAATGTGTCCACCGTGGGGAGGGGGTCGGGAGAGAGAGATACTTCAGAGTGGACAGGGCTGAGAAAGCTTTATGGGCCGCGAAAGGCAGAGTAGTTGTTGGTGGATGAGGGTGGCTGTGGCAGGTGGCGTTTCAGGTGAGACAGCTCGGGGCCCAGAAAGACACTGGGAGGAGGAGAGCTCTGCTCTCCAGAGAAACAGGAGCAGAGAGGAAAACAGAGCCGCAGCGAGCGGCTTGTGGTCTGGGGATGAAGCCCAGGTTGACAGCATCCTCTGCTTCGCTGGTGGAGGTGGGGGCATCATTCTCACACCTGTGCTGGGTCCTGTCCCTGCCAGCCAAGGGAGACCAGGACCCTGCCACTGTTGCGCTCAGGATAGTCCAGAACTGTCAGATCTTTTCTGTTGAAGTTTAATTTCTAATACACTTGTATTTAAAATCAGGTTGCAGATTTTAAAGATGCCCTTGCCAGAGTATATGGAGTGATACCCAAAATCCAGTGCCTTCCACCAAGCCAGGTTAGACAGTTATGTTTTGTCTTCCTTTTTTTCTCAAGAAGACAGGTTCTACTTTTCTGATGGCCTTGTCTTCACCATGCAGTTCCCTGGGGCAGACTTGTATTTGTGCATTTGTGTCTGTATATGTGGGCATGTGGTGTGTGTGTGCATGTGTGTGTGTACATGCATGTGTGCATGTGCTGTGTGTGCATGTGTGTGTACATGCATGTGGGCATGTGCTATGTGTGCATGTGTGTGTACATGCATGTGGGCATGTGCTATGTGTGCATGTGTGTGCATGTCCTGTGTGTGCATGTGTGTACATTATGTGGGCATGTGCTGTGTGTGCATGTACATGCATGTGTGCATGTGCTGTATGCGCATGAGTATACATGTGCGCATGTGCTGTGTGTGCAAGTGTGTACATTATGTGGGCATGTGCTGTGTGTGCATGTACATGCATGTGTGCATGTGCTGTGTGTGTGCATGTGTGTGCATGTTCTCTGTGTGAACATGCATGTGGGCATGTGTGTGCATGTGTGAATGTGTGCATGCATGTGAACGTGCTGTGTGGGCATGTGCGTGTGTGTGTGTGTGTACATGCATGTGGGTATGTGCTGTGTGTGTGCATGGGCCTGTGCCTCTGTGTGAATGTGCATATGAACATGTTCATGTACTGTGTGTATGTGTGCACATATGGGCATGTTCTGCATGTGTGCACAGGCCTGCACATCTGTGTATGTGAGCATGCATGTGTGTCTGTGTGAGCATGTGCTGTGTGTGAGCAAGCATGGTTTCTTGACAGCATGCTAGGACAGGGTTTGTCTTCTTGCTTATCTTTAACAAGAATATACCTGTTCTTTTAGCAATAGGGTACTGTTGCCCTTTTGGCCTACAAAAGCCATTTCTTCTCCTAATATCTTGATAGATATGTTGAGTGCTGTTGTATCTGTGTGTAACTTTGTTAATTTTCTCTAACATAAAAGCAGAGGCTTTTCACCAGGGCACCAGGCTGGCCTCTGGTGGTGACCAGGGGATCCAACCCCCAAGCCCAGCTCCACTGCCCACAGGCGAGTCACCTGGGGCCACTCCTTCCAATTTAGTGCACAGCAGCCTTCTGCTCAATGAAGGGGTCCGTTCTTGGAACCTAGAACCTGTGGTGTGGAGCCTCTGCTTTTGTTATCTTCTAAAAGTTCTAAAAGTTCATGATCTTAAGACCTTGATGATAATCCAAGATCTGAATTCTAAAGCGTCTTTCATTGTTTACTTTTAGGATGAGGAAGTACAGACAATTGGTCAGATAGAACTGTGCCTCACTAAGCAAGACCAGCAGCTGCAAAACTGCACCGAGCCGGGGGAGCAGCCGTCCCCCAAGCAGGAAGTCTGGCTGGCAAATGGGGCCGCCGAGAGCCGGGGTCTGAGAGTCTGTGAAGATGGCCCAGTCTTCTATCCCCCACCTAAAAAGACCAAGCATTGATGCCCAAGTTTTGGAAATATTCTGTTTTAAAAAGCAAGAGAAATTCACAAACTGCAGCTTTCTAAAAAACAACTCCAAAGTGAAGTCTGTTTATTTTGCTGTTTCCCCTCCATGCCTGTGAATTGGATGTTGTGGTCCCTGTAGAGTGAGTGCATGTGGCGTACACGGGGAGAAAGGAGCTCTCCCACGCCTGAGTGGCTGTTTTGTGCTTGGGATAAAGCTCACAGATTGTTTTTTTTTTTCTCTATTAAACTCTTCAGTGCCCTGGTAGATCAGGCAGGCATACTTGGAATTTAGACAGATGGCACCGATTCAGGGGACTCTCTTGCTCGAGTTTTCCCCTCGGAGCCTGTTGCCTTCTTGGCGCAGGGACCCTGTCAAGACGAAGAGCTCCACGCATGGCAGGAGCCCACGCTGATGCCTGGTGGGCCTGGGGGGTGTCTCTAGCTCAGACTGGGTCTGTTCCATGTGACCAGAGCCCCAGGACATCGTTCCTTAGCCAGCTGCTCCGTTGTTGGAGGCCTGGTGTGGTCACAGGTGTGTCCTAGAACGGTGACTTTGCCCCTCCTGCCCTAGGAGATTTGGGTGTATTCACAGAGCAGCCATCTCCTGTCTCCGTCAGAGCAGTCTCTTCCAGGTTACTGGAAGGTCAGTTTCTGTCAGGCCTCACTTCCTTCTTATCAGAGGGTAGCCAGGTCCCTGCACTGGTATCTATTTAGAAATGTACATGGAGCCCCCAGCGAAATGTGCCTACATTGTGTGTTCCAGAACCGGAGGTACCCTTACCTTCTAGATATGTGATGACATGGCTCTCACGTCAGGCAGACTGCTGCACCCACGCTCTCGGCCTGCCGTGCAGGGATTTCACTCGTGGAGTGAGGCATCTGGGGGCTGTGCAGTGAGGAGCTTTCCATGTGTTGTTAAGACAACCTGTTAGCATTGTCTTCTCCCGCGTCTCCTGGCCTCTTCTCTCTTTAAATCCTTTTCTCTGTTTGTCTTAATCACATTAACGTCCTATTTATGTTTTATTCAATATACATTTAAAATAGAACTTACTATGTGCCAGGCATTGTGTTCAACACGTGAAATATTTAATCCTTAGAATAACCATATTGTCAGCATAATTTACAAAAAAAAAAAAAACAGCTGTATCAATGCCTGTGAATATTCGGCTTTACTCGCCCATTTAAAGAAGAGATTTTCAAATTGGCTCAAACCAAAACCTCACTTCATGGTGTCTACAAGACAGTCTGAAATGCAGAATGTTCAGAGAGAGACAAAGGTTTACCAGGCAGATGGGACGGTGAGAAAGTAGGTGTCGCAGTCCTGATCCTAGACTCAGTGGCCTCTGCGTCCCCCGCAGGCATTAAAGGAGACACAGGACGGCCTCTGGCCCTCTGGAAACAAGCTCTGCAGTAAGAGCCTGAGACAGGCAGCACCCAGCCAGGCCTGACAGCTTCTGCAGACAGACAGAGTGAGATGATGGGGGATTTGATGGAAGCAGTCCCTGTATTTTGTCTCTTCTGTAATGGAGGAGCTGAGCCCTCTTCTGCAAGCTGTGGGGAAGGCTAGCGGAGCCCAAGGGTCCAGGGTCCCCACCTTGTCATTGTCCCTCGGCCCTTCTCTGAGCTCATTTCTGTCTCCAGTGTTTTTCTGTTGGCTTGGCAGGGCAGGATTTGTTTCTGTCGGGAACTGATGATTTGTGTTTTGATGCCTGTGAGAGGGACAAGATCTGATTTGTTTTGCACCTGGAAGGGCGTGATTTCCTGCATTTGCTCTGCGTCCTCAGGGAGTGGGTGTACTTTAGAGTTGGACTCTTAAGCCTCAGAGTCCTTTAAATGATGTCAATTCTTTTTTTTTTTTTTTTTTTTTTTGAGTCATTTTGCGAACACAGGGATCAAGGCTTGGGTTTTATCTTCATTATTCCCAGAGGAGCTGGTGAATTTGAACAGACTTCCTATTCAAATTGCATTTATTTTATAGCCTTGGGGGGTCAAGGAAAGCAGCTCTTCAGAGGCTGTCTGCAGTCGGCTGGCCTTTGCGGTTTTTAAAGAAGCCATTCTTTTTTTTAAGTAGCGTGTATTTATTATATGAGTGTGAGCATTTGAGAGCGGATGGGGACGCCAACAAGGTAGCATCCTGGTGGGAGGCATGGGCTGCGGAGTGCTGGTTTCCTGCCATTGTCACGTCAGCTAAATGGAAGAAGGCACTGGTGAGGGGCTGGATGGTTCAAAACATGAGCACAAGCAAATGCTTGGCTCTCTTAATATTCCTATTTTGGCCTAGAGCTCAGGAGCAGGTAGAACATGAGCGTTTGATAACCTGCCTCAGATCATGTAAGTATAAGGCACTTATGAGCCGCAGGAGACAGAAGGGGAAGACTCTGCGTTTAAGGTTCAGTGATGGAGATCAGATCCAAGCACATGTTTTTACATCATTAAACAAGTAGGTCGTGCATTTTCCAGATTCAACTCAGGAAGATGCAACTCTGACCACACGGTTCTCGCTGTAACTGGGCGGAGGTGACTGAGAAATGCCTCCCATGTGAGCGGGGTCTCAGGCTCGTATGTGTGGAAGGAGGAGCAGGCCAGGCTCTGGGATCAGAGCTGGGGGTACAAGTGTCTCCCAGGGGGACAAAGGAGCAGGCGCATCTCAGGATGGAGAGCAGCCAGGAGGGGCAGCTGGCCCGGGTCTCAGCCAGAGCAGGCGTCTGCCTGGAGCATCTCTGCGGCACCATGGAAAAGAGGACCCGTGGACTAGGCCACAGGGATGAGTGGAACTTATGGTGGAAAAAGACACCATAGGTAAAAGCGAGACAAGAAAACCAGGTTCCCATGAAACTCCTTCAGACCAGCCCCTTCTCAGCAGGGCTATTGCTGTACCCAAGAGCATTTCTCTTGGCCTGGGAGGGGACAATGCTTTGTCACCTGGAAAGCAATCCCTCTCTCCAAGCTAGTAGTGGGAGATCATTATGCGCTTGAATAACTAACAGTAGCAATTGTATCATATTCAGAACTAGATATCTTTTCTTTTCTTTTCTTTTTTTTTTTTTTTGAGACTGAGTCTCACTCTGTCGCCCAGGCTGGAGTGCAGTGGTGCGATCTCGGCTCACTGCAACCTCTGTCTCCTGGGTTCAAGCAATTCTTCTGCCTCAGCCTCCCGAGTAGCTGGGACTAGGCACGCCACCATGCCCGGCTATTTTTTGTATTTTTAGTAGAGTTGGGGTTTCACTGTGTTGGCCAGGCTGGTCTGGAACTCCTGACCTCAGGTGATCTGCCTGCCTCAGCCTCCCAGAGTGCTAGGATTATAGGTGTGAGCCACCGCGCCTGGCCCAGGTATCTTATCTTTCCACCGAAACTTTTGCCTCCATCTCGGTGAATGACATCACCATCCGCTTATTCCAGGTAGAAACCTCAAAGTGAACTGGAAACTTTTTAAAAAAATTTTGCCTAAATTGTGAAAGTATTCTGAATTATATTCAGCTTATCCTTCTCATTACTGACTTAGTTCAAGCCTCAGTCTCCCATCTGGGCCATGCATTGACTGCCACGCCACCTGACTGTCAGTGCTGGACGCTGGCACCGTGTTTGTGCCACTCTCCGTAACCAACCATGGCTCTCTGCTCCCAGATCACACCTCCCCAGTATGGCGGCTCAGGGACATTCCCTCAATCCCTCCTGCCCTGTTGGCAGTGCCTCCACCCACTCCCCACAGCCCATGAGGGCTCTGCTTAGCACTTCCTTGTGCCTGGATTCTCCGCGCAGTTTGGGTGGCCTGGAGTGCTCTTCTGCTCACCTAGTTTAGCAAGTTCCATGGGATATCAACACCCAGTTCCATGGTTGGCCGTTAAGAGTTCTTTTGCAGTCCTGGGTGGCTCTGCGCCTCCACGCCCAGGGACCAGGGCCTCTTCTCTTCCAGCTCTTGTTGTGTTACATAGAAGATGCCAGCTGGATGGCACAGGGGAGGGCCGTACAGTGTAGATGCGGACAATGTGGCATAGGTGAGGACTGGACAGCAGAGACAGTGGCTGCATGATGGAGGTGAGGGCTGGACGGGGGAGGCAAGGGCTGGACCGGGGAGGTGAGGGCTGGACAGGGGAGGTGAGGGCTGGGCAGTATAGATGAGGCCTGGGTGGCAGAGGTGAGGGCTGTGCAGTGTAGGTGAGGACGGGCTGGACAGGGGAGGTGAGGGCTAGGCAGTGTAGATGAGGCCTGGGTGGCAGGAATGATGCCTGGATGGAGGAAGTGAGAGCTGGGTGGCTTGAGTGAGGGCTAGATGGCATGGGTGAGGGCTAAGTGGCATAGATGAGGCCTGGGCAGCGGAGACATGGACTGCGCATCGTAGGTGTCGGCTGGACAGCAAGGGTGATGCCTGGACAGCAGAGGTGAGGGCTGGGCGGCAGGAGTGAGGGCTGGGCGGCAGGAGTGAGGGCTGGATGGCGTAGATGAGGCCTGGGCAGCAGAGGTGAGGGCTGTGCTGTTCCGGTTTTGGGCTAGACGGCAGGGAGAATGCCTAGATGACTGGGTAGAGGCCTGGGTGGGAGAAGTGAGGTCTGGACACTGTGGGTGAGGGCTGGATGGCGTAGATGAGGCCTGCGCGGTGGAGGTGAGGCCTGTACTTCTCCTGCCACTAAATCAAGAGCTGTTTATTGATTCATTCCACACTTTTTTCAACCCTTCCTATGAGCCGCCTCTCTTCTAGGCACTGGGACATGGCCATAAGCAGGGATCTTTTCCTCTTGGGCCCACTCCAAGAGTGGTGGCATATGCCACCATGCCCGGCTAATTTTGTATTTTTAGTAGAGATGGGTTTTCTCCATGTTGGTCACGCTGGTCTCAAACTCCCGACCTCGGGTGATCCACCTGCCTCAGCCTCCCAAAGTGCAGGGCAACAGACGGCAAGGGAAAAGAGGAGCATAGCTGGTGCATTTGATGCTGGTAGGTTGGAGGGAGGGAGGAGGTCAGAGTTATGAAGGCGGCCAGGGAAGGCTTCCTCGGAACCTGAAGAAAGGGAGACAGCAACTGCAGGGAAGGATCTGTGGGCCCTAATGGCCACGTCACACTACAAAGGCCCGGACTTTGTCCAACTCGCTTCTGTGCTCCATGAGTGCACCTGTGTCTGAGGCACATCAGCTCTAAGCCAGTGTTCTCTAGTGATGGAGTGAATAAATGAATAAAATAGAAAAGAGAGGCCGGGCGTGGTGGCTCATGCCTGTAATACCAGCACTTTGGGAGGCCAAGGCAGGCGGATCCCAAGGTCAGGAGTTCGAGACCAGCCTGGACAGTATGGTGAAACTCCATCTCTACTAAAAATACAAAAATTGGCCGGGCATGGTGGCGGGCACCTGTAGTCCCAGCTACTCGGGAGGCTGAGGCAGGAGAATGAATCACTTGAAGCCAGGAGGCAGAGGTTGCAGTGAGCCGAAATCACACCATTGCACTCCAGTCTGGATGACAGAGCAAGACTCCGTTTCAAAAAAAGAAAAAAAGAGAATGCAGCACTGGTCCCAGTGGAAGGTGCCTGCTGTTGGCTTCTCACCACGCCCAGATGAGGAAACATGCAGATCGCCTGTTTTCACTTTTTGTTTCTGCGAACTTTGGATCAGGAATAAAAATAATTTAATGCAGGTCCTAAGGCAGCTGAGAATTGTAATGTAAAATATTTTCAGAATTCAACTATATTGGCTAGATCTATCACTGCAGAAGGCTGGAAAAGACTCAGAAGTTAAAATACTACTTTTCCTCACAAGCTCTAGCTCCTGAAATGAAATTACCAGGATACAATCACAGATATGAAGTCAGTATTTGGGCGTCTATAGAAAAGAAGTCCATTGCATTGCTTATGGGATGAGCTACGTTTCCCATAGAAGGGGCAGTAGTGAGGGTTTTCTTATCTGAAGCAAAATCTCTGACAGATGATGAGAAATGCAGTTTTATGTCATTTTTTTTCTGATAAGAATTCTATTTTTTTTTTCTGAGTGACTGTAATGGGCCTTCCATTTATTTTAGACAAAAAAGACAGAATTAGCATTTTAGGCTCAGATGATAGTTATTAGAAAGTTTGAGATGGGCCAGGCGCAGTGGCTTATACCTGTAATCCTAGCACCTTGGGAGGCCGAGGTGGGCGGATCACTTGAGGTCAAGCGTTCAAGACCACCCTGGCCAACAGGACGAAACCCTATCTCTACTAAAAATACATTAGCTGGGTGTGGTGGCGGGTGTCTGCAATCCCAGCTACTCAGGAGGCTGAGGTGAGAGGATGGCTTGAACCCAGGAGGTGGAGGCTGCAGTGAGCCGAGACTGTACTCAAGCTTGGGCAACAGAGTAAGACTCTGTCTCAAAAAAAAAAAAAAAAAAAAAGGCCGGGCCTGGTGGCTCACGCCTGTAATCCCAGCCCTCTGGGAGGCTGGAGGTTGCAGTGAGTGGAGATTGCGCCACTGCGCTCCACCCTCCAGCCTGGGCAACAGAGTGAGACTCCATCTCCAAAAGAAAGTTTGAGATGGATAAAGTTAAGATCCATTAAATGCTGTATGGACTTTATGCTGACGTGCTTTTCACATTTCAGACCTGTGCATTCTTATGCATTTACATTCCCTTTATTTGAGGGAGCAAGAATTACACAATCACCTTTTCCTACCCGCTTTTAACACTGAGAAAAGTCTGCAGAGTGACAGTGGCCCATTTTTACCAGCAAAGACATTGAACCTGGCGTGTACAGCTTTGGTGGTTGGTACCTGTCACCATCTGCTCTTCTGTCTTGATGACCATATGTCTTGGACTGCACCCTGAGATGTGGGCTGCTCGTGCTGCCCCAGTACTGAACACAGCTACTTGAGCATAGTAGGTGTTTTGAAAATATTTAACCTGAATTGAGAAAAGATAGTCAGCAGTGGCCCAAAGATAACAACATACATCAAAAGTCATGTACAAGATTCAGCCAGTCACCAAGATGCTCCCAATATTCAGGGGCTTGGTACCTCACTAATCAAAACTGAAATGTCACCCGATTGGTTTTTCTCTGAATGTTTTAGAGCAGAATAGACTCAGCCATGGGAAGAGACATTTGAGTGGACTCTATTCAGGTTGATTGGAGTCTCCTCCAGGTTAATCATTCCACTTAAGTCAATGAGTGAAATTTTATACACCTGAGACTCTAGCCTATGGCAATTCCTGGAAATCAAGTGGTTTTTTTGATGGGGAGCCGGGGGATGGTCAGTGGGATGCAACTTGCTGATGATGAGAGATGAGGTGTAAGATATTATCAGGCAAACACCAACGAAACAGGCTTTACTATAACTCAGATCACCGCGCTTTTTGAGTGTGTCAGTGAGTAATCCATAATCACATTTATAGATACTTCTTTCACATTTATAATAATGTCCCCAACATAAACATGTAAACATGATCAACATATATGCTTAGCAGTTAGGATCCTATAGTTATCAATAAAAAGTGGAAGCTGTCTTTAAAAACAGAGAGAATTAATTGACTCAAGTCATTGAAAATTTCAGTGTGTCCACCTAAATGACAAACAGGCTCTCTAAAAGAAAATGATATTTATTTGGGCATAGGGCATCGCAATGGGAGTATGTGTGCCATAGTAAACTGCGTATTCAGGGGGGTAAAGGAGGACAAAGGTTTTTAATGGGAAAATACAAGAGGAGGATTACTTCACTGTTTTAAGATAATTATCTTTGGCTGCAAAGATGAATAACAAGGATGATGCCAGTCCAGGGCGGGATGGGCAGTGGCTGGTCAAATGCCCTTGCAGAAGTATGTTTTCCTGTAACATGGTGGTGGCCTTTGTGCAAGGTTGTGTTTTTTGTAGTCCTTTTTGTTATCAGGCATCGAGGCGTGAGAACCCACTCTTTATGGCCTTCCCTGGTGCTTTGTGAAAGTTCCTTTTGTTGGTTTGTTTAATGCCAGTTACTCCATTTTGATTCTGACAACTTTCACATTTCCTTTTTGAGCAACAAGGGAGGTTTGAAGTGGGTGACTCTCAGGCTAAGCCTCCTGGAAGTCCACTACTGAGTTCAATCTTGTCTCTCCTGCAGTCTTTTGCTATTATCTCTATTATCTCAAAGTGCTGGACCAACATTATTTTGTTAGGAGTTATACTTCTGAAAAAATTTAACAAACAACAGATACTAAGTTTAAAAAGGTAAAATACAAAGCAAGATTAATACTAATATGACCGTCTCAGTTTGCGTAATGGTTTTGCATAATAGACCTAAGTTTGAAAGGCAACCAATAGAATAAATCAAATAACCATGGGGAATTAGGTGAGACCTGTTGTAGCCATGTGACCTATCTTCTTATTTTGTATAACTTTCCCAGAGAAATTTATCCAGGTACAGCATGTGATATTAACAATAGTACAGACATTTTAAAATGTAACCAGTAGATACTAAGGATTTCTTGGGTCAGGTTCTGTCAAATTATAATAGAAGTTACTAATTGTGAAATTTCAATTATACCATTATCCTGCCAAGTGAAAAAGGTGGATATTAAGAGAGATAAGTCTCATATGATGTGGAGTCTCATTCTGATGTCATGTCTACAGCATGAAAAACATCAGCTTATCCAAGTTTACTGTTTGCGTGTCACTGGGTTATAGCATCGAGCAGTTTGGTGCACTTTCTATGGCTCATATATCAGACTTTCAGAACAAAGCAGTTTCCATTTATAGTAATTCTGTGGAGGACAGTGAGATTGGAGGAATCTAAAGGAATTCAGATCTAGTTTAGCCTATAGGCAGATAAAAAGAACTTTCAAATAACGAACGGGGCTACAGTCTAACAGCAGGTTTATGACAGTCTTTTAGAAACACAACTTTTTTTCTCTGCATCGATCACATAGGAATCGCAGGTTTAAAAACCTCTTGAGGCCAGGAAGCCAATCCAATGCAGACTTTGGGTTTTCCTTACAGCCTTAAGGCTCCTGGGCCTGCCAGGAAGTGACACTTTTTCCTCAATCACTTAAAACTGGGAACTCTTGAAGACAGACATTGTATACACATTCTTGAATATGAAATTTGGTCAAATCCTTGGTAATATAATCAAGGTTTACAATTTTATCCTGCTATAAAGATAACAGATTTTTATTGAACTTAGGCACACTGTCTTAAAAAGTAAGAATATGAATAGTTACCAAATTTTGGAGGAATCAAATAGGGAGAAAGAGCAAATGTTTTCACCTTTATTCACAAAAGTATACTTTACCAAATTGCTGTAGACCATAGATAGCTTAAGATAGAATGTTGTCTTAAATCTGGTGAACAAAACATTTAAGTAAAGAACTCAAAATGTTTTAAACAAAAGTTACAAAAACATTGTTATCATCAGTTACTTAATTTTATGTAATTAATTTTTTGTTTTGCTTGATCTTGATTAGCATTCCATGAATGCTTCAGTTTTTGGTTAGAGTTCTGAAAATTGTTATTTAGTCCATTGATCTTAAGGTTTTCAGAAATCTGTGTTCAAGAGTGCTTGTTAGGGTCCTTTCCATAGAAAGCAATTTTAGACTATAGCTAATTGCAAATGCTTTTAGAGAAAAATTCAAACAGTAAATGTGGATGATAAAAGCTTACACTAGCTATGGGTGAAAATCATACGACAGTTCACAATTGACAAGAAAATTTATTTCTTTCTATTGCGGCATCTTAAGAGAACACCCAGAATCATGAATGGCAGCATCACATCAAGACCATCGGACTTTTATAAATTCTATATAACTTTTAGAATACATCAACAATATTCATATAAATATAACTTAAAAGAAGGTTTAGCAACCAAAATTATGACTGATAACATACTAGATCTCTAGGAATTTATATAGTTTTTGAAACATTCATATCAGTACCATTCCCATAAATGTAACTGAAAGAAGATCCAATACCACTTATCATTTGATGATGTTTCCCATACGATTTACTAAATAAGTCTAATCATGTAATATCTCTGTAAGATGAGAGATACATTCTTTCAGGCTCCCCAGGGACCTAACTGGAAATCTCAAAGTTAATTCTAGGTCAAAAGACTAACTTCAGAATTTTGATCCCAAGGAAGCCTGTCATTATATGTCAAAAGGTTTAAAATGCTTGCTCAAAACAATCATAGGTCACTGTGCAATAACAGTCATTTAACAAGAGTGATAATGAAAAGACTTTGAGAGCAATACAGAAAGTTACATGGATGTGAAAACCTTAACTCTTTCAAAGCTCAGTTTCCCGAAGTAATCAAAAACCTAATAAAGACAACACAGAAAATTATCTTGATAAAACATAAATTCTTTATTTTTTTAGGCCAGTTACCAAAAAGCCAAAGAAAAACCTCTTACGGTGTGAGTGCTTCTCCTTGCGGGAAGCTTGTTTAGATAACCTGGAAGCTGAAACTTTTGAAAATGATACTTGAATTTAACTGAACACAGAAAGAATGTGTGTCCAAGCTGTAAGCGTACCCCATGTTATAGGGAAGAAACAGGAAAACTAGCACCTTGGGCAGGGGAATACATGGCTCTTAGAAAAAATTAAAGTATGTGTAGATTCCTGGTTACATGGAACAATTCAGACACAAGAAAAGCCAACAGTACAGAATCAAGTTATATTAGAAGGCAACATTACTTTCCGAGGCTTTCAGGAGAAATATTTCAGTGTCACGTTATAATAGCAGATATAGAACTGGAGAAGAAAGTTACAGGAGTGACAAAGGTTGAAGCAGAGGGCTATCATCACACGTCTTCTCAAAGAGAAAGAGCTGAAGGCCATGGTGTGAGACCTGCAAATGATGTGCTGTTGAGATAGAGCAAAAGTTGAGCTTCTCAGATAGGAATCGGAGAAGCTTTAAGACGAAAATTTTGCCATAAGAAAGGAAATTTCCATTCTGAATGAAAAAGATGGCATTTCTAACCTGTAACTAGGGAAATTAAAAGAATCTTAGGAAGAAATGTGGAGAAAAGAGAAACTCCCTGCAATTTAGAAGATAACTATTGAAGAAACCGATTTCAAAGTTAAAAATCAAAACCTCTTTACAGTTTTACTAAGAGCAAATCAGTATTTCTTTCTTTTTTTTTTTTTTTTTTTTTTTGAGACAGAGTCTCACTCTGTCACCCAGGCTGGAGTGCAGTGGTGCGATCTCGGCTCACTGCAACCTCCACCTCCCGGGTTCAAGCAATTCTCTGCCTCATCCTCTTGAGTAGCTGGGATTACAAGTTCCTGCCACCATGCCCAGCTAACTTTTTTGTATTTTTAGTAGAGACAGGCTTTCACCATCTTGGCCAGGCTGGTCTTGAACTCCTGAGGTCATGATTCACCTACCTCGGCCTCCCAAAGTGCTGGGATTACAGGCGTGAGCCACTGCACCGGGCTGAGCAAATCAATATTTCAGGAAAACCCTGTTCTAACATATGGGATAAAATTTTTAGTTTTCTATTAGTGCATTTTTATTTTGATATCAAAGCTCAATCTTCAGAAAGAATTATAAGTGATTTCCTTCTAATTATAGCCAACTTGATAATGTGAAATTTCTTCATAAATTCATCCTTCATTAACTTTTATTTACCTGCTTGGAAATTTTACAGCATGTTTAGACTCTCTGCTTTGTCCTATACTTTCTTTTTTAAAAAAAACCAACCAGTCATTTTATTTTAGTACAAAAAATTATCACACAAGATTCTCATACAAAATTATTATCTTGTCTTTTCAACCTTTCTAACCAAAAGTACATCTTCATACTCATAACTTTCTTTACATCTTTCCTGCTTACTGATTTCTTTGTATCTTGTTTCTGTTTTCTTTCTAACTCCGTATTTTAATCAACCTTTAACCTTCAAATTAGACAAAATTATTCTTTAAATAACACATGCTTAATGCCTTTTTAAAATGATTTTTATTATTAAAACATCTTAGGTGCACTTTATATACAGATTTATAAATATTAATTAGAATTTTAACTCTTAATAACCTTAATTTTTAGCAAGTAATTTTAAACTGTCACATGCTGGTATTTTATAGATGAGAACCATTTTATAATTTTAAAAAATGCTTTTCCACAACATAAATTTTATGTACATTAATAGAACCAAATATATTTAGTCATAAAATTTAAGAAGCAAAGAACAAACATTTATGTTCAGAAATTTCTCAGTTTTAATCTCATTTGGAAATAACCCAGATATTTAATGAATATTAATTTAATATAGCTTTAATATTTCAAATTACATTAAAAGTTAATTTATAAATGTTTACCCCATTTATGCTTAACTAATTTATCTATTTTGAACAATATACCTAGATTACTTGTGAAAACCAAGATATTAGACAAGGCTAGTTATTCCATTTTTGTTATTGTTGTTAACTATTTTTATAGCCTGAAGAATATCACATGTTCACCTAAATAAGAATCTCAAAATTAAGTATGTGAATATTTTGCAAATAACTCAGAAGACACAGCTGTTTATATTAAGCCAACAATATTAAATTAGTCTTATCAGAGAGTTGGACAAAGATCATCTTGTTGTCGGCTGGGTTTGTAGTTTTATAACCTTTACGTTAAACCTTGCTACCTTAAAATATCTCATAGAGACATAAAACTGTCTGACCAATAAACTCAGGCAAAAATGTATTTTGACAATTCTAAAGATATTTTTATTTTTCCAACAATTTTAGAGCCAGTTTATTAAAGATTTACTTAAGTCATATGAACTAAAAGGCATTTGAGTGAATTGCTGTATATTTTATATGAGTGCTTTTTTATCTAAGCCAATCTGAATAAAATTTCTTAAGAGATTTCTAGCTGACCATACCAGATTTTGCCATGGAGACACAACATACAATATAATACATGTACATATGAACAAACACACATATTCACACACAGAAACAAAGTTCTTATAGCTTTCATTTTAGAATTTTAGTCATAATACTGTAAAGCATACAATCTCATTAGTTTATAAAAGACAGTTGGATCCAAATTGCATTTCTGACAAAATTGGGACCTGTTCACATGACTACACTTTGTTTGCCCAAATAGGTAATATAATAAAAGCTGTGGACCAGAATTTTGAGTAAAACAGTTTGGTTTTTAAAAAGAACAAAAATACCTCTTTTAATCCTTTTTTTAGTTTCAATCTTTATATCTTTATAAACATTTATCTAGTTCTTTTAGTTTTATAAGTAGTTTATAGTTTTATAGTTGCCAGTCCTTCAATTAATTATTTAATTATCCTAAGCAATTGTTAGGCAAGCCCAAATTTACATTAAAAGAGTTGACCCTTATGTCTAGTTTCTTGGTTACCGTTGAGCTGTTGTTATTTGTAAAGCTATTAATTTGAATGACCTTTAGGACCTTTTGTAAAAATATTGGCTCGAATGCAATAAGCAGTGAATTTTATCTGAACACCAGTAGAAAAGTCAGCAGATTCAAACTAGGCAGAAAAAAATTGGAAGAGAAAATTAGAGAACTTAGAAGGCACTACATGTTAACTATAGTTTCAGGGATGTTTTTAGAGAGTTTCAGTAATGACCATTTGAGCCTCTGAATTTTCCTTGATGTAATTTGTCAATCAGTTAAAAAAATGTGCACAAAAATGAGCCATAATAAGTCAGCTGGTGTAGGGAGACCCCCTGAAAGTATTGCTACGGAATAAAAAGTGAAATGCTCCTGATTGTTGTAAATACAGGATTGCATGCAGGATTGTGTAAAGACAATGCCAGGTTGGACTGCCAGAACGAGCCAGCAGCGCGTGTTGTGCTTCCCCCTGCAGAGAGCCTATGAATGGATGTGCAGTCAGGGAGGTTTCACATCACCAAGATTCCTATCCCAGAAAAGCAGATGTTCATAGCTCTGGGAATGGAATGTGACCCTTGTGGAGAGCTATAAATGGACGCATGAGGGGTGCCTGTCCATTTGGATAAGATAGGGCTATAAACGCCCTCATCTTGCCACAGCTCTTCTAGGCCTCTTTAGGGTTAAGGCATACTACCTTCTGAGAATTTCTTCACGTCCTGTTTCTATGGATTGTTTGTAACCGGCTTTTGCTGCAACTGTTACTGCTGATTAATATCTTGCTAATCATAGGTTATGGAAAGACTGTTTTTCCGTTTTAAGGCTCTGTTAGAAATTACTGATGCACACACTATATTGTAAATTCTTATCTCTGTATACTGTACTTCTGCATACAGAAGTTATGTTAAAGAATTACTTCATCCCCATGTGACCATCTCACCTCATAATCAAACAACCCTAAATCCCTAACTAACCTACCCCTGCCCTCACTAAACTTAATAATAAATGCTGGTATATCCAGTGCATTGTTGGCACTGCAGGACCAGAAGGCGGTGACCCCCCTGGACCCAGCTTTCACTATCTTGTGTGTGTCTATTATTTCTCGACCTGCTGATCTGCCTGGGAACAAAGAGAGAGCCCCATTGCATTGTGGGCTGCTGGCCAGATCCCGCAATAAGCTGGCATCTAAGAAAACTTAGCATGCCTTTATGTTTGAGAATCCCATTCCATTTCTTATTAATCTCTGAAGAAGAAAACAAGATCCTATAAATCTTGTCACAAGTTTGGACTGGTATTTTAGATGGTGGCAACCACCCTGATGGCTTTTAGTTAGCCATTTAGAATGTTTATTTTTTGCCTTCAGACTATACTCAGAGTGTTCATTTTAACCCAGGGAGGATGATCAAACAAATTACTCAGCTAGATGCATAGAACAAAAGTAAGTTCACCAGGAAAGACATGCCTCGCAGACAGAATATAAATTCTGTGGAAATCAGGGTACTCAAATCAGAAAGATTCTTGTTTTTATACCAGAAATGACTTGCCAGAAAAGACAAAAAGTCTTTTATCATCTCCAGGAAGGATGTCAGATCCTTTATTAAGACAGCCTTGTAACCAAACAAAATCCTGAATAATATAAAAAATTCTCTACCAAAAAGAAGGAGGCTTGGCCTGAGAGACAATGCACCAGGGCAGAGAAAGTGAGCCCTGGAAGCAGAGCATTCAATGGGCTCAAGTGAGTAGTTCACACCAGGTCCAAGAATCACTGGTGCTTTCTGATGGTCTTTTTCAAGGTCGCACTTCTGACACCATTTATGTCACCCTAAATAACACATAGACATGGGCGCTCTAAAGAAAAATGATATTTATTTGAAGATGGGCATTGCAATGGGAATACATGTGCCATAGTAAACTATGGGCATATTTGGGAAACTAAAATAAGACAAAGGTTTTTAAAGGAAAAATGCAGGAGAATGACATAATTGTTTTGCAATAATTATCCTTGGGTACAAAGGATCAATAATAAAGATGATGCTATTCTGAGACTGGAAAGGCAGTTGCTGGGCAGATGTCCTCACAGAAGCATTTTTTGTGTAAGTTTGTGATGGCTCTGTGCAAGGTTTTGTTTTAGTAGTCTTTTGTGACAGTTTTGTTACCAGGCCTGCAAGCATGAGAACCCCTTCATATCCTTCCCCAGATCAATTTGTCAGGGTTCTGTTTTTGTTTTTGTTGTTTTACACAAATGACTTCATTTTGATTCTGAAAACTTTTACAAGGTACAGTTTGATCAGGGGTCCAGGTTAATTGTTTCCCAGGACGCTGGGCTCTGTCCTGCTTTATATTATGGCTTTTCTCTTAGCCTGTCTTCCATGTGAAACAAAATGGTAGGAGCCATGCCAGGACTTCAATCCATCTGGGGGAAAGTTCCCATTTATTTTCTTTGTAATGCAAAGCAACTTTCCCCAAACCAAGTCTCTGAAATAATTATTCTCTTTCATTTTTTTCTATATAGGATTTATAAGGACAAGTGGTCCCTTTCTTACAGGCACTATTAAGAGCTGGAGATTCTAATAGAATAAGTAATTTTATATGTTATGCACAATTAATTGTAATATATAAGTGCAAAAGTGCACATGCTGGGTATTTTACATGTATGTTCTTATTTAATTGTCACAACAGCTCTGCAAAGTATGGTCCTTGCCATTTTAATGAAGCATCAAAAATAGACATGTTAAACAATTTGTATAGTGACACAGTGATGGTAAGTGGCATTTTTCAAAAAGCATTTGAACTTTTAAAAACACTAGTTGAGCACACTTCCAATCACAACACAGACATTTGATTTATCTTTGTGGAAGGAGCCAATGATGCTGAATGAACAGGCTCTGCATGTAAACCATGCAGCCTTTTTGCCAGCCTCTGTCAGTGTGTTGTGCAAATAGTTGGTGCTGCATGATTGCTTGCTGAATTGAATTGAAGATGTCATTTCATTCCAGGCCATTGTAAACAGTTGCTAGTTGCTGGCATCCTCCAATTTTCTTTGTGAGTTTGAGACTGAAGCTTGAGATGTGGCCTTGAATGCCTTTTTGTGATCCTCTCCTTTGGGTCCTAGCTCATGCAAAGAAAAGGAGAGTCTGGGGAGAGCCCCAGTGGAGCAGGGCTTCTACAGAAGAGCTGCACTCACAGAGGCAGGGCTGACCTGGACGAATTGAAGATGGAGGTCAGCAGGAGGTCACCCTTGCTGCAGCTTGGTGAACACAAGTAGGGCCCCATGGGCCATGTATCACTGAGGTAAGGGACTTCAAGGTCACCACACCACCTTTTCAAACAGCATAGGACCTGTAGACCCTCAGAAAAGCAGAGACAGGCACAAGCCTTGAGGGACAGAGTGGCTCTCTAAACCTAGGCTTTAGACAAAGCACCCTGAATGTGCAAGGTGTAACATACAAGAAGTGTAACATTTGCACATGCAGGACAGTGATGTCTCTGGGCTCTGTCCTGTGCCCATCTTGAATGGGGAGTGTAGCTGCCAGCACACATCAAACAGTGATGCTGAGAATGCAAGAAGATACGGATTCTTCTACTTGCTGTCCTTGTGCTGTTCTCTGGGGACTCTTCACTGGTGAAGAGTGCAATCACTGAGTAATTTTTTTATTAGGGCAAATTGGGCTTACGATGACATCTTTTTCTCCATAGTTCTTCCCAGAGAGCAGGCAGGTGGCAACCAGGACTTGTAATGGGTGTTTGCTAAGCACATCCTGCATGGAACCAGCATATCACCTTGCATTACTGAGTCCTGATGAATGAAACTGGAACAAAGTAGACTTCTCCTTCTGTGCTGAGCACCTGAAGTGTTTGTGTTCTGAGGATAAGAGCCCTGAAGATGATGTGAGACTTTTTTTTTTTAAGCAAAATAGCTTCCTGATTGTGTCCTATTTGTCTCAAGTTCAATTTTTAAAATCTGAGTTATACCAGATATGGACAGGATCTTTGATAAAGGGAAACTAAACCCAACAATGAATTGAATTGGGTTTGGAAAAGCATGTGTGGAATTCAGCCGTTCCTCCTAATCTCATTTCTCTTCACCACAGATCGTTGGGGGCTGCACGTCGCTCATCACTGTTGTTGAGAATTAGTTTTTTCATCAATAGTCCATATTTCTAAATTGGAAAATATGGATTGGCCAGGCACGGTGGCTCATGCCTGTAATCCTAGCACTTTGGGAGGCCGAGGCAGGCAGATCCCTTGAGGTCAGAGGTTCAAAACCAGCCTGGCCAACATGGTGAACCCCCGTCTCTACTAAAAATACAAAAAAATTAGGAGGGCATGGTGGCGCGTGCCTGTAATCCCAGCTACTTGGGAGGCTGAGGCAGGAGGCAGAGGTTGCAGTGAGCTGAGATCACACCACTGCACTCCAGCCTGGGTGACAGAGGCTGGAGTCTCAAAAAGAAAGAAAATATGGATGATGATTTTCTAAGGTGATCACCAGGAGGCAGATAGCAACTTGTTTTTACTCAGACACTATGACTTGTTCAATATAAAATTAGAAGCTCTTCCCTCTTCTTCTCGGAATGCTGTTGCTGGTGATGCTGTCACTTCTCTCCACCCCGGTGTACAGTGTGGTGATCAAAATCAGATGTGCAGAGGAGTAGAAAGAATGGGTTATCAGCAAACGGACGGCAGAACCGGGGTGTGTTATGAAGTTCGCCTTGCTCTTTCATGATAACTTTTGCTCTTTTCCTGTCTGATGGGATGCCTGTTCCTTTATCAGTGAGTTTCTCTAGTTAGCAATCTCCCTAAGAAAGGGTTGGTCAATCTCTTAAGAATGTGGTATGTCTTCTACTTATTTTAATTTCAACAGACTTGTTGCTAATTTTTACACTGAGGTCAGGCGAGTTGCTTCTTTTGTGTTATCTTCTCTGCTGCTGTGAGTCACTAGACCATTTCTGATACCTGGTAATGCAGGAAGTGGTGACATGGATGTTGGGAACATATCATTGCATTTGCATTTGGCCATAGCTGTGAAGTTCAGGCAGTTTAACACATTTGTATTAAAATAATGAAATTATAACATAAAAATATAGCCCAGAAAAATTGAAAAATGGTTCTACTTTCCTTTTAGATATTCTATTCAACATGCTGACCGATTTTATGCATCAACTTGGCTGGGTTTGGGGTGCCTAGATAATTGGTTGACATTATTCTGGATGTTTCTGTGAGGGTGCTCTTGGATGAGATGAGCACTCCAGTTAGTGGAGTTGAGTGGAGCAGATAGCCCTCCCTAATGTGGGTTGGCCTCATCCTGTCAGTGAAGGCCTGAATACAACAAGACTCACCTCCCCCGAGCAAGAGAGAATTCTCCAGCACACGGCCTTTGGGCTTAACTACAGATTTTGGACTTGCCAGCCTTAGTAATCACATGAGCCAATTCCTTAAAATAGATTGATCTCCCTGTACACACACACATCCTATTGGTTCTGTTTCTCTGGAGAACCCTGACTAATCCATCCCCTGTGAGTCAACATCGTCTGTTCGGTGCACGCAGGCGCCCACACACCTGACCTCCCTGGGCTCTCTCTGAGCTGTTCCTGGTGTTCTCCTTTTGGGGCGAAGATGAAGAAATAACATACAGTTTCATGCAGGGCTTCCTGGATGGCTTCCATTCCCAAGAAAGAACAAGTATGTACAGACACAGATTTTACTACCAACATGAACAGAATAGGTGGAAACAGTCAAAATTTGAAACCAAAGTGTGTTATGACAAGTAAGCCTCGCTCCCAGCCCCATCCCTTAGTCGAATGACACCTTTCCCTAGATGCTTGGACACCTGATTCCGTATTTCTTTTTCTTTTAAAAAGACTTAAGTTTGCAGGAAATTTGCAAGAATGGTGCAAAGAATTGTTTTCCCCCTGAAACACTTGAGAACAAGTTGTTGACATGATGTACATCACCCCTAGATACTTAGGGCATGTTTTCTACACAGGATGTTCTCTTACACCTCACAGCATAACCGCCTGGATCAAGAAATGGGCCCTGGCTGAGCACGGTGGCTCATGCCTGTAATCCCAGCACTTTGGGAGGCCGAGGCAGGCGGATCACGAGGACAGGAGATCGAGACCATCCTGGCTAACACAGTGAAACCCCATCTCTACTAAAAATACAAGAAAATTAGCCGGGCGTGGTGGCGGGCGCCTGTAGTCCCAGCTACTCGGGAGGCTGAGGCAGGAGAATGGCGTGAACCCAGGAGGCGGAGCTTGCAGTGAGCCGAGATTGCGCCACTGCACTGCAGCCTGGGTGACAGAGTAAGACTCCATCTCAAAAAAAAAAGAAAGAAAGAAATGGGCCCTGACACATCACTGTCACCCCATCCATAGGCCTCATTTCACTGTCACCAATTGTCTCAACAATTTCCTTTCAAGCAAAAGCATCCACCTAGGACCCACAGGGTGTTTGGTTGTTGTGCCCCACAGTCTCCTGCAGTCTGGAACGCTCCCGGGGATTTCTTGGCTTTTGTGAAGATTGCAGGTGGTTATTCTGTAGACTGTTCCTCAGCTTAGTTTTGCCTGCCGTTTCCTCAGGGCACGTTTCTAGGGTGAGCAATTGGGCTTCTCCTTGTGGCATCCTGTTAGATGGTGCGTGATCCTCACAAGACTCACTGGGGCTGGGTCCGTCAGCTTCTCCACTGTTAGGTTTTCATTTCTTCTTTGTAATTAATAGAACTCAGAAGTTATGTAAATATTCCATTCCTCATTTAGGAATTTAAGTCGATATGGAGTTAAGGTTTCCTGTTTCATTCTGTGAGTTAAAACCCATTGCTTTCATTATGGCTTAAATAGCTCTCATTTGGCCAGTGAGAGACCCTCAACCTGGTGTCTGGGTCATCTTCTCACCTCCAGGCCATTGTTTGAGCCCTTCCTTACTCTTGGGCAGTGCAGTGCATTCTAGCTCATGTGCTTCCCAAAGCTGGAGCCAGCCATACCTACCAGGAGAGAAGTACCGCTCCCCACATACGTGGATGTCTGCATTCATATCTACATTGATCCACATATACTACAAGCCGTAGGTTCACACCAGTGCTTTTAATTCTAATCTAATACTGCAGAGATCATTCTAGTTTTCTTTCTGTCCATGTTTGTAACTTTCCCTAATATTGATAAACCTGGCTCCCATTGTCTTCACTTATTTTATTGATCTATGTGTATGTTACCAAGCTGTGCTGCTGTCCCTCCTGCAGATGGGGGTGCCACCTCCCCCTCAGTGCTGACATGCCCTGCCAGGCCTCTGCCATCCTCCACTGTCAGTTCCTCATTCCACTGGAACCTAACACCCTAGAACGAAGAAGGGAGGGAGGGAAGAAAGAGGGAAGGAAATTTTACCACGCTTCAAAGCATTATAATGTTTTCACTTTTACAATCTGTAAACTCCATTCATGTGCACATTTATGTATTAAAATTCTCACCAAAGTAAAATGCAAGCACAAGACCAAAGAGAGGAGGATGCGTGTTGTGCTCTAACAGCTAATGCACAGATCATTGCATCCCTATCATCTGCTGTGTGAGTCCCTTCAGAGGACTGGGAAAAGCCTGATTCTTAGCGTGGAGTTAAGATAGGAGGCTGCCCTGGGTGTTACCCGCCTAAGGCTGGCCTCCAAGGCTTCAGAATTCATCCTGAGAAGCTTCATTCCTGGCGTGCTGGGGGACTGATGGGTCTCCTCCTTTGCTGACCTATAGTGGTGTTTCTAGTTCCATTTATCCCATATTTTTGTGATGCTGTGATAACATCTTTTCACAACAATTCGTTTTCTTCTCTCTCCTGCTTCCCACGCTGGCTGTGGCAGGGAGAACAGGGGCACTTCTGTGGAACGTGTCTGTCCCGGCAGGAGGGAAGGTGTCTGCTGGGAGCCTCCAGAAGCCGCACTGCAAACAGCTGAGCTGAGCTGAGCTGAGCAGAGCAGAGCAGAGCAGAGCAGAGCTTGTCACCCAGAGGAGGGAGGAAACGGTTCAAGGGAAAGGCTAAGTGAGCAGGCAATGTTCCCTCTCCAACAGCAAGGCATGAGAGAATGTCCTTGAGAGCGGGAGAGAAAAATCACATTGCTGCACTGATGTTTGCACTTCAAAGAGCTCACGCGATGCTGTGTAAAGCTCTAGCTGTTTGCCCAGGTCCCGATAAAGTTCTGTGCCCATGGATGAGGACGGAATCTTGTATTCAGCATCCTCCTTCCCTGGCGTGGTCTCACGGAGCAATCTCCTCTCGGGGTTTCTATGGTGGATGCGATATTGCAGGGAGTGTTTGCTTTACTCCCCCAAGGCTTCCCATAGAAGGCCCCTTGAATAGGAGACAGAGGAAGCAGAATTGTGGCATGATGGGTGTTTAATACATGGCACTTCTGCTGTGTGCGTGCCATCTTATGTTGGTTTCACTCCAAATGAAATCCCAGTGAGGAGACACTGATTCCTTTGTGAGTCATTGGAGAATCTGCCACCTGCCAGAGGTTCCGCAGGTGCACGGTCAGGCAGACACTCAGACCTAGGCCCCCGGCCCCAGCCAGCTCTCCCCGACTGTCGTGTCTTCCATAGACTGCTTGGTGAACCAAGGACAGACACAAAAGGCAGCCACCAACACTGCCCAGTCCCCATCCTCTTGCCTTCATTATCTTACAAGGGTTTCTCATGTGCTCTGCATGGGAGATATGCTGGGCCAAAATGAAACAGGAAGTCCCAGGCAAGCACAGTGCAGCTAAGTTTGTGTTTCGTAGAAAAACCACATGAATCAATAATATTCAAGGGCTATTTTAAAATTAGTAATACTCAGTCCATTGCTGATGAGCCGTTGAGGAAGCTGCTTACCTAGTGTCCGACAGCTGAGAAAGCCATTGAGGAGTGGGGAGAAAGGAACTGGTGTCTTGCCCTGGAGTGTGGGTTAGGGGACAGAGTGGGGGTCCTCAGCGGAGAGGAACATTCAGAAAATTCCTGAATAAAAGTGGCTTTTATTCTACATGTTTTAGCTTAAGAAAGATATCCACCTTGATTCGGAGGTTGACTATGAGGAACCATTGGCAAAATGCAAGATGGATTAAATTAAGATATACTCAGAAAGCCCATGTGTTAGGATTCACTAGCCAGTAATAAAGACATCCAGGCAGATTTTCATCCAATCCAGGTGGTAAGAGATCAAGAGAAGCACGAACAGGGCCCCTTTCATGAATTCACCACTGCGTGGAAGCCAGCCCTGTGTCTGCTGAAGGCTGCTGCTCAGGGAGCTAAGCTGGCAGGAGGAATTGGTGGGGAGAGCGGGGCCGGGCAGGGAGGTGAGCTGGCATTGAGGAGTTGGTGGGGAGAGCGGGGCCGGGCAGGGAGGTGAGCTGGCATCAGGAGTTGGTGGGGAGAGCGGGTTGGGCCTTCAGGGTGGGTGGACGGTGGCAGCAATGACATCAGCAGGTAATGAACAGGGCATGCAGCAGCGGTGGGTGGAGATGGTGGGGTGGCAGTGCAACTTGGGAACAGGAGTGGGCAGCATAGGAAAGGGGTTCAAGGCCTCAAGGAACATGCGAAGGTGCAGGAAGTGGAGAAGGAAGAAGCGTTGGCAAAACCTGCAGCAATAGCTTAGAGGCAGGGAACTGGTGGTCAGAGGAGAGAGTGTGGGGAAAGAAGCCAGAGGACTCAGGCCTGAAAGCATGCGAGGCACGGAAAGGCAAACACAGCCCGGTGCTGGCGGGAACAAAGGCCTGCTGCAGAAATTTACAATTTGTCCCTCATGCTGCTGAGTGGGAGGACAGAGCGTGACTGCAGGCTGCGGGGCTGCAGGACCACGGGTGTTCTGCTGGGGATGATGGGAAGGCAGTGGGAAAGGCCTGAAGAGACCCTGGGAGTCCTAGCTGGTTCCTGGATGGAAATTCTTTGACCAGCGTCCTATATGGCCTAAAGGGAAAAGTACAGGAGCTCTGGAGGGGTGAGTGCTCCACACACGGAGCTGTGTTCCGGAGGGGTGTGTATTCCCACACACAGAGTTGTGTTCTGGAGGGGTGAGTGCAGAGCTGTGTTCCAGAGGGGTGTTCCCACACATGGAGTTGTGTTCCGGAGGGGTGTGTATTCCCACACACAGAGTTGTGTTCTGGAGGGGTGAGTGCAGAGCTGTGTTCCAGAGGGGTGTTCCCACACACGGAGTTGTGTTCCGGAGGGGTGTGTATTCCCACACACAGAGTTGTGTTCTGGAGGGGTGAGTGCAGAGCTGTGTTCCAGAGGGGTGTTCCCACACATGGAGTTGTGTTCCGGAGGGGTGTGTTTTCCCACACACAGAGTTGTGCTCTGGAAGGGAGTGTGCTCCCACACATGGAGTTGTGTTCTGGGGGGGTGTGTGCTCCATACACAGGGTTGTGCTATGCTTCCACAGCGCGGGCAGCATGCGTGTGGGTGTGTGGTGGTATAATTCATGGCGTGGGAGATCTCCCAGGAGTGTGGTCCTCCTGCTGTTCCTGGCAACTCTTGCATTTCCCATTGGGTCTCACCTTTATTTCATTCATTGGTTCACTTGTTTATTCAGCAACTGTCTGCAGAGTTCCTGCTCTGGGGGAGAAGCAGTGAGCCAGGGGTTGGGAATACCCGGGTGACAGGAGAAATGTGGTCCCTGCCGCTTCCTGCCTTTCAGAGAAGTCACACACCTCCCATGGCACTCGAAGGGGATACACACGGTGCTGTGAGCACAGGGAGACCCGGCACCACGCAGCCCCCCATCCCTCTTCAGGGAGACCTGGTACCACCCAGCCCCCCTATCCCTCTTCAGGGAGACCTGGTACCACCCAGCTTCCTCATTCCTCTTCTCTCTGCTTCTCCATTCTATTTCATTTCTTGACCAGAGAATCTCCCCCTCCCACTGTCTCTGTGGTTTCCAGAATGGAAAAAACGTAAATATCGCTATACAACGCCCGACCCCTGCCGCCCCAAAGAATCTCAGGAGGTCAAGACCCCTGGATCTCCTTGCACCTCTGCTGTGGATTCCATGCAAGGCTTCACAAACATGCTTTTATGTGCGTGTCCAGCAGCAGAAGCCATGTGAGTGTGCAGGAGACAGGGAGCCCTTTCGAGCCTCCATGGAAAGCCAGCTCGCTTGGGCTGTGCTGGAGGCAGTGCCCCTCTCTGCTGGCTGCAGTAAAGGCTGTGAGCAAAAGGAGGGAGGCTGAAGGCCAGTAAAATAGAATCATATTTACAGTGATACAAAGCCACGTGCCACACTTTCTACTCGGTGGTGGGAATGACAGCATAAGGGTTTAATGCCTACATACAGTTAGGATCAGGCTGGAATTTGGGTGTTTGGCTCCCCATGTTTTAACTCACATTCCTTTAATTGGGTCATAGTCCTGCCCTCGCTGTCATTTTTGCCAGCTGCATGGTTCCCTCTGAGCTGCAGAATCAGGTAGACCAGAAGACCCAGGTGATGCTGGTGTTTACCTTCTTAGCTGGGAATTAGTTGGCAGCGGCCGCATGGCTCTGACATTCATTTCAAATATAACCTGCAAGGAGCAAGGAAGAAACCGCAAGCAACACAACTTTTTCGCCCTCAAATTACATCCCAGCTGAGACCGCTGCCTGGGATTTTCTCAGCATCCTTCCTGCCCCTCAGTAGGACATGCTGAGCTGTTCTGAGCCATTTCACCTGTGTTGGGAGCTGTGGCGGGAAATCAGACGGAGCGGCGTCTTGTAGCTCATTTGCCTCACGGTGGCTCCTGCTGCCTTTCTCCTCTTCCCATGTGGCCAGTGGCCAGCCAGCCCCTGCTGTCAGCACTTCTGAGCTAAGATCTCTCTGACTCCACAGGAACTGGCAGTGGGAATCCAAAAGTCACCATGGTGACGACTCACTTAGGAGTGTGCTGTGTTTCCTGATCGCGCAGCAGCCGTGGGGGCAGGCGGGGCAGCTGCGCTTCCACCCACTCTGAAGTTCACCCAAAGCTGCCCACTGGCCGGTGTTCCTCCAGCGTGGGCCTCAGCCCGCAGCATTGGCGTCCCCTGGGAGCTGTTTAGAAATGCAAATGTCGGGTCCTGCGCAGTCTTGCTGCTCAGAGTCTGCATGTTCCCAGGGCCCAGGAGGCTGCTGCATGCCGTGAAGTGTGAGGAGCCGGGTTGGGGTGGCCCACCCTGTGCACAGAGCCGGGAGGTGCCGTGGCCTGCACTGCCCCACCCCGACCTTCTGGCAGAAAGTCCAGGCTTTCCCTGCTCTACGCCGACTCCCACCATAGTCTTATTGAGATCTCATATGAGGAACCAACTCCATTCACAGCTGAGGGGCTGAATCAAAGCACTGGGGGCAGCAGTGCGGGGTGGGTGAGACCCTGTCTGGAAAATGGGACAGCGTTAGGGAGGAGTGTGTCCATGCAAGGAAGGCTTAGAAATGCTCCCACACATGTTGGGGTCTCAAAGTTTCAGCAGTGGTCACTGCCTGAGAAGCTCCGGCCAGGTCAGAGGTGCCAGGGCACAGGTCAGGAAGCAGCTGAACCCCTGCCTGCTAGCCAAGCTCCGGTTCTCACCCACTGTGCCTGGGTCACACCGTCCTATCCGGATTCCACTGGTATTCACATTCCTGGGATGTGGCGGAGTTCCAGCTGGGATCCGGCTGCCCATCGCTGTGGCGGGAAGAGAGCTGCTGAACAGCATGCGAGACCCCTTTGCAGAGGGGCACTGCTGCGCTGCCAAGGCAAAGCCTGAACAGGAGGAGGAGACGAGGGTCACAGTGATAATACCCCTTGGAGGGCAAGCTGGGGTGGGCCGAGGAAGGGGCCGGGGCAGAGCTTGAGGAATCTGCTGAAGGAACAGCCTGTTCAGGCTGACTCAGGTCGGCCCACAACTCCCTTCACCACCCCAGGTCCTTTGAGGTACAGAGGAGGCAAAGGAGAGAGCAGCTTTGCAGCCTGCAAAAGGTCTCCTGGCCCAGGCTTGTCTAATTTGCAGCTCTAGGCTCCCGTTCACAGCCCCGCATGTCTCCATGCTGGTTAGGATGATGCTAGCCCTGTGATAAACACATCCCATCATTTCACTAGCTTCACGCTCTGGAAGTTTTATTTCTTACTCATGTCCCTGTCCAGTGCTGTTGCTCCTGGTACTAGGCAGCACTCCGCATAATGAATCAGGAGCCGAGGCTCGTCAGTGCTCCACGGGGTGACTCAGGGTGCAAGGCTTCTTGTGTCCAGTGGCTCCGTCATCTCTCTTTCACCTTATTGCTGGGCTGCATCTTTTTTTGTGCCATGAACCCCTTCCAGTGGCCTGATGGTCTCAGAATAAGATTTTTTAACACATTAAAGAAAACACAAGACAGCAAGGAATAGGATATGAAAATGTTTTGTACTGCCAGCAAAACACCAGTCCTGCTGAAGCTACTGTGCTTTTTTGCCTACACTCATAATTGATGGAAATACTAAATATGAGGTACAAATAATGCAGTTGTTTTCCCATTGGAGGTCACAGGCCCCTGAATCTAACCCTGGGTTTACAGCTGTAGCCAAGAGTCAGGGAGAAGAGTGTGGAGAAGGCACAGCCGCTTCCTTGTGTCTGTGCTGGGAAGGACACCGGTCCCTCCACGCCCCACTGGCCAGCACCAGTGACAGAGCCACATCTAGTGGGTGGGCCGTGAGAAAAGAAACACTTCAGCTGAATTAAATTTAAAAGCATGTAATTGAGCAATAAACAATTTGCGAATCAGGCAGCCTTCTAAGCCAGAGTAGACTCAGAGACTCAGGCGCAGCCGCATGATGGAAGAACGCACCCTGTGTGTTCACCCGGCGTTCTTCCCTCTATGCGATTGCACAGCGTTTTCCCCAGTGTGTATTTACCCGGCGTTCTCCACCCTGTGTGATCGCCCAGCGTTCTCCCCTGTGTGTGTTCCCCTGGCGTTCTCCCCTCTGTGCATCCACCAGGCGGTCGCCCTTCTGTGTGTTCCCGCGGCGTTCTCCCCATGTGTTCACGTGGCGTTCTCTCCCCTGTGTGTTCCCACGGCGGTCTCTTTACTCTGTGCGTTCCTCGGCATTCTTTCTCCTGTGTGCGTTCACCAGGGGTTCTCCTTTCTTTGTGCGTTCACATGGCATTCTCCACCCTGTGCGTTCGCTCGGCGTTCTCCCCTCTGTGCCTTCACCAGGTGTTCTCCCTTCTGTGTGTTCGCACTGCATTCTCCCTTCTGTGTGTTCACGTGGCGTTCTCTCCCCTGTGCGTTCAAACTGCGTTCTCTTTACTGTGTGCGTTTCCCCGGCGTTCTCCCCGCGTGTGCGAGTTCACGTGGCGTTCTTTCTTTGTGCGTTCACATGGCGTTTCCCCACTGTGCGTCCCTGTGACGTTCTTCCCCCTGTGTGTTCGCGCGGCGTTATTTCCCCTGTGTGCGTTCACGCGGCGTTCTCCCCGCTGTGTGTTCACACGGCGTTATTTCCCGTGTGTGCATTCACGCGGCGTTCTCCCCCCTGTGCTTTCACGCGGCGTTCTCCCTGCTGTGTGTTCACGCGTCGTTATTTCCCGCGTGTGTTAGGGCGGCGTTCTCCCCGCTGTCCGTTCAACTTACGTTCTTCTTGCTGAGCGTTCGCGTGCCGTTCTCCCCACTGCGTGCTCGCGCGGTTGTGTTTCCCGTGTGTGTTGGCGCAGCATTCTCCCCTCGTGCGTTCACTTGGCGTTCTGCTGCTTGTGCGTTCACCTGGCTTTCTCCTTTGTGCGTTCACCAGGCGTTTTCCCCCTTGTGCGTTCACCTGGCATTTTCCTCCCTCTGTGTTCTCCCGGCGTTCTCTCCCCTGCGCGTTCCCACGGCCTTCTCTTTACTGTGTGCTTTCCTCTGGCGTTCCTACCCCCTGTATGAGTTCACCTGGCGTTCTCCTTCCTTTGTGCGTTCACATGGCGTTTTCCCCGCTGTGCGTTCACCAGCGTTCTCCCCTCCCGCTGTACGTTCACCAGGCATTCTCCCCCTTGTGGGTCCGCGCGGTGTTCTCTCCCCGTGTGTGCTCACCAGGCGTTCTCCTCCCTTTGTGTTCACACGGAGCTCTCCCCTCTGTGTGTTCACCCGGGGTTCTCCCCTCTATGCGTTCACGCGGTGTTTTCCCCAGTGTGTGTTTACCCGGTGTTCTCCCCGCTGTGTGATCGCGCAGCGTTCTCCCCCGTGCGTGTTCCCCTGGCGTTCTCCCCTCTGTGCGTTCGCCGGGCATTCGCCCTTCTGTGTGTTCCCGCGGCGTTCTCCCTCGTGTGTTCACGTGGCGTTCTCTCTCCTGTGCGTTCCCACGGCGTTCTCGGTGTTCTCTTTACTGTGTGCGTTCCCCTGGCGTTCTCGGCCCTGTGTGCGTTCACTCAGCGTTCTCCTTTCTTTGTGCGTTCACATGGCTTTCTCCTACCTGTGCGGTTGTGCGGCGTTCTCCCTGTGCGTTCACCTGGCTTTCTCCTTTCTTTGCGCGTTCACCAGGCGTTTTCTCTTGTGCGTTCACCTGGCGTTCTCCTCCCTGTGTGATCTCCCGACGTTCTTCCTCCAGCCCCCACCGTGTGTTCAGGTTGCGTTCTCTCTCCTGTGCGTTCCCAAGGCATTCTCTTTACTCTTTGCGTTCCCCAGGCGTTCTCCCCGCTGTGTGCTTTCACGCTGCGTTCTCCCCTTTATGAGTTCGCGGGTTGTTCTCCCCACTGTGCGTTCAACGCGGCATTCTCCCCTCACTTTGCTTTCAAGTGGCGTTCTCCCTGCTGTGCGTTCGCGCAGTGTTCTTCCCCGTGTGCGTTCACGTCGCGTTCTCCACGCTGTGCGTTCGTGCGACGTTCTCCCACCTGTGTGTTTGCTCGGCGTTATTTCCCGTGTGCTTTAGCGCGGCATTTTCCCCCTGTGCGTTCACCTGGCCTTCTCCCTCCCGTGCATTCACCAGGCGTTCTCCCCGCTGAGCGTTCGCGCGCCGTTTCCCTCCTGTGCCTTCACCCGGAATTCTCTACCCTGTGCGTTCGCGTGGGCGTTCTCCCCCGTGTGTGTTCACCCGGCATTCTCCCTTCTGTGTGTTCGTGCGGCGTCTCCCCCGTGTGTTCACGTGGCGTTCTCTTCCCCGTGCGTTCACCGGCGTTCACCGGCGTTCTCCAACCCCGTGCATTCAGCAGGCGTTCTCCTCTCCGTGCGTTGACCTGGAGTTCTCCCGCATTGTGTTCACGCGGAGTTCTCTCCTCAGTGTGTTCTCCTGGCGTTCTCCCCCGGTGTGTTCCCGTGGCGTTCTCTTTCCTGTGCGTTCCCATTGCGTTCTATTTACTCTGTGCGTTCCCCTGGCTTTCTCCCCCACGTGTGTGCGTTCACGCAGCGTTCTCCGTTCTTTGTGCCTTCACATGGCATTCTCTCCACTGTGCGTTCCTGTGGCGTTCTTCTTTCTGTGCGCTCACTGGAGGTTCTCTCCTGTGTTGAAATTCTAATCCCAAGGTGTTAATACCAGCACCTTGGGATTAGAATTTCAACACAGGAATTGGGGGGACAAGGGACAAAATGTTGATTCCATATCAGGGTAAAGCCCTGGCTGGCTGCTTAGGTCATAATCACTTTGGGACTCCATGCTCGATGTGCGTTCAGCTGGCGTTCTTTCCCCTGTGCGCGCACCCGGCGTTCTCCCCCATGTGTGTTCATGTGGAGTTATTACCCGTGTGTGTTAGCGCGGTGTTCTCCCCACTGTGCATTCACCCGGCGTTCTTCCTCCCCTGCGTTCACCAGAAGTTCTTCCCAGGGAGCGTTCACGTGGCGTTCTGCCTCCTGTGCTTTCACCCGGGGTTTTCCACCCTGTGCGTTCACGAGGCATTCTCCCCCGTGTGCGTTCACGAGGCATTCTCCCCCGTGTGTGTTCACGTGGCATTCTCCTCTCTGTGCGTTCACCAGGCCTTGTCCATTCTTTTTGCGTTCACCTGGCGTCCTCCCCCATATGCGTTCAAGTGGCGTTCTCCACACCCCCCGCCGCCCCGCCACCCAGTGCATTCACCGGCGTTCTCCCTACTCTGTTACTCTGTGGTTCAACCGGCATTCTCCCCCTCTATGAGCGTTCACCTGGCGTTCTCCCCGTTGTGTGCGTTCAACCCGCGTTCTCCCCGCTGTGTGCGTTCACCCGGCGTTCGCCCACCTGTGTGCATGCATCGCCCTGTGTACGTTCACCAGGCGTTCTCCCCTCTGTGTGCGATCACCTGGAGTTCTCCCCGCTGAGTACGTTCATCCGGTGTTCTCCCCTCTGTGCGTTCACTGGGCGTTCTCCCCACTGTGCGCGTTCACCCGGCATCCTGCCCTCTGTGTGCGTTCACCGGGCGTTCTCCCCCCTGTGTGCGTTCACCCGGCGTTCTCCCCGCTGTGTGCGTTCACCCCGCGTTCTCCCAGCTCTGTGAGTTCACCCAACTTTCTCCTTACTTTGTGCATTCACCCGGCATTCTCCCGACTGTGTGCGTTCACCCGGCGTTCTCCTCTCTGTGTGCGTTCTCCTGGCGTTCTCCCACCTGTGTGCGTTCACCCGGCGTTCTCCCCTCCATGTGCGTTCACCTGGCGTTCTCCCCTCTGTGTGTTCACATGGCGTTCTCCCCGTTGTGTGTGTTCCCGTGGCATTGTTCCTGTGTGTGTTCACCTGGCATTCTGCCCCAAGTGTGTTCAAATTTCTCTGTTCTCATTAGGACACCAATCATTGGCTTAGGGCCCACCCATGTGCAGTATTCCTTTATCTTGCTAAATCTGAAAGATCCTATTTCCAAATAAGGTAACATGTACAGGTAGGGCGTGGTCCTGAGTTTGGGTGTTAGAGCACTTACTCAATGCCAGTGTTTGTCGTTCCTGTCTGTGTTTGGGGGTATCTGAGTGCTCACATCACATTTTATCTCCTACCAGTGAGCCTCACAAGCCCAAGGCTTTAAAAAGACAGAGGCATATTGCCCTAACGATGCTTTAACTCTGCTTCAATTGCCCATTTTTTCCCTCCAAGCAGAGGCCATCCTTTTAGAAGTAAATGAGCGATAATGATGCAAATGGAAGAATGTTGTCGATATTGTGTTTTCTTTTCTTACACAGCAGGTAGACCTTCAGCAGACACTTTTTTATTTTATTTATTTATTTATTTTGCAGTTGCAAGATCTAATAGTGAAAACAGAGCTCCCATACAAAGGGAGGGGACCCAAAGAGGGTAGCATTTGCTAGCTCAAATGCCTGGGTTCATGTCCTGATCATTGTCCCTCCTGCTGTGCTCTCAGGCAATAGATGATTGGCTATTTCTTTACCTCATGTTGTTGCATAATTAGCATTTTAGTGAGCTCTCTTTACTATCTGATTGGTCGGATGTGAGCTAAGTTGCAGGCCCCGTGTTTAAAGGTGGAAGCCATCACCTTCCCAGCTAGGCTTAGGGATTCTTAGTCAGCCTAGAAAATCCAGCTAGTCCTGTCTCTCAGTACCCCCTCTCAACAGGAAAACCCAAGTGCTGCTGGGGAGGTTGGCCGACAACCGCTCTAACTGCTTCCTGCTGAATTGGGGCATAGTAGGGATGGTGCAGTTGAGATTTCCTCGGGAGGGGTGCCTTCAATGTCATTAACATCAGAGCATGGGCTAGCAGGCCGGTCCAGGGGTCCACGGTAGATCTTAGTCATGGACTGCATCTGGGGCACCATTTGAAGAACGATTTGTAGTTTTACAGCTTTGATTCTGGAAGAGACAAACTTAACAAGGAGGTTAAAGATACAGGGATTGAAATGAATGGCCTGCAGTGCAGGGGATTATTTCTTTGGCACAGTTTACAGGCCTTGACTATCTGCTTGATAGTTTTGACAAGGCCTGGTCCAGTAAATAATGATTTGGCCACCTGATGGGTGCTATTAATGCCTAAGTGAAAGGTTTGGTGAAGGGTTTTAAGTAATTTCATTGGTTAGCTGCAGGCAAAAGTATTTTTCCTTCTTCGGTGGCTAGCCATGCTGAGGGGAGGAAACTATGTCCTCGTGAGGCTCCCCATTCTATTTCTTCTTCTGAGTACTGGGGCTTGGTTTCCTGGAGTGGATTACCCCATACTAGGGGTCCTTCTATAAGCATTTCTAATGGAGTGTCCGGCCTTGTGGCTCTTTTGGCTTTAATATCCGCTTGGTGGTTCCCTTCTATTTCCTTTTCCTTTCCTTTCTGATGACCCCAGCAGTGTAAGACTGCCACCTCTTTAGGTTTCTATACAGCCAATAATAATCTCCTAATGGCTTCCTGATGTTTGAAAGGTGTTTCCTCGGAAGTTAGGAATTCCCTTTCTTTCCATAGTGCTGTGTGGGCATGGAGGACTAGGTAAGCATACTTAGAGTCTGTATATATATTTACCCTTTTTCCTTCTCCCAATTCTAGTGCCCGAGTGAGGGCTATTAGTTCTGCCAGCTGAGCACTAGTTCCTGGAGTGAGGGGATTACTTTCAAGTATTCTGTTATCACTGACCACCGCATAGCCCACTTTTCGAAGTCCTTTTTCTACAAGGGAACTTCCATCAGTATACAAGTTGAGGTTGGGATCAGTCAAGGGAACCTCTAAAAGGTCCCCTCGAGCAGCACAGGTTTGAGGAATTACTTGTTGACAGTTATGTTCTATCTTTTCTTCATTGTCTGGAAGAAATGTGGCTGGGTTAACAGTACTGGCCCTTCAAGTAATAGAGCCTGATAGTTAAGTAAACAGTTGTCTGACAGCCACAAGTCTTCTTTAGCAGTGAGTATGTCATTCACGTCATGAGATGTCCATACAGTAAGATCTCTTCCCTGTATTATTTTAACTGCTTCAGACACTAATACTGCTACTGCCGCCACTACCCATAAACAATGAGGCCAACCCTTTGCCACTACATCAATTTCCTTATTCAGGTATGCCATGGGTTGCAAGCTCATCCCTCGGACCTGTGTAAGGACTCCTAGAGCGATTCCTGTTTTTTCTGTGGCATATAAAGAAAAATCTTGCCCTGTTGGCAAGCTGAACACTGGGGCTTGGGTTAGGGCCTTCTTTAGGGCCTGGAAAGCCACTTCTGTTTAGGTGTCCATCTTACTAAATAGGTATTGGCTTTCTGAGTTTCCTTAATTAGTGTATATAATGGTCTGGCTATTTTGCTGTACCTGGGAATCTGTTTTCGGCAGAAACCTGTTATGCCAAGGAACCCTCTTAGTTGCTTTAGGGTTTTGGGATGAGGATAAGCCAGTATAGGCTGGATACGTTCCTCACTGAGGGCCCTGGTGCCTTTGGATAATTTTAGCCCTCAGTATCTAATCTGCTGTGAGCAGAGCCGAGCCTTTGGTTTGGAAACCTTGTAGCCACAGGTAGTGAGGAAATTTAAGAGTTCTTGGGTGGCTTGATGGCACAAGGTTTCTGAACGGGCGACTAAAAGTAAATCATCCATGTACTGAAGGACAAGAGTGTCCAGGTATGAGAATTGGCTCAAGTCTTGGGCTAATGCCTGGCCAAATAGATGGGGGCTATCCCTGAACCCTTGGGGTAAAACAGTCCAGGTGAGTTGACAGGTTGTGTTTGAAGGATCTTCAAAGGCAAACAAGAATTGAGAGTCAGGATGTACAGGGATGCAGAAAAAGGCATTCTTAAGGTCCAGGACTGTAAACCACTCTGCTTCCTCTGGTATTTGGGAAAGCAGAGTATAAGGGTTAGGTACAGCTGGGTATAGAGGGACAATGGCCTCATTGATAATCCTGAGCTCTTGTGCAAACCTCCACTGTCTGTTGGGTTTCTCTACTCCTAAAATTGGAGTATTGCAGGGGCTATTGCATGGTTTTACTAGGCCTTGGGCTTTTAGGTCCTTAACAATCTTTTGGAGTCCTTGTTGGGCCTCAGGTCTAAGGGAGTACTGCCTTTGGTAGGGAAAGGAGGCGGAATCCTTTAGTTTAACTAGAACAGGATGGGCATTCTTTGCTCGTCCATATTGTCCTTCTGTTGCCCAGACTTCAGGATTAATTCCTTCCTCAAGCAGGGACAACAAATGGGTGTTCCTTCTCCTATGTTCAGGTGTATAATGGCCCCTGCTTTTGCTAGAATGTCTTTCCCTAACAAGGGAGTGGAGCTTTCAGGCATAATTGGAAAAGCATGAGAAAAGAGTAAAGTTCCCCAGGCACAACTTAGTGGCTGGGAGAAGTATCTAATGACTGGCTGTCCTAGGACCCCTCGGAGAGTGACAGATCTGGAGGACAGTTGTCCGGGACAGGAGAGTAAGACTGAGAAGGCCGCGCCAGTGTCCAGGAGACAGTTAACCTCCTGGCCCTCAATGGTCAAGCATACCCGAGGCTCTGTGAGGGTAATGGCATGGGCTGGTGCTTGCCCCGGTACCCTCAGTCCTGCTGCTGGATCATCTGGTTAGTGGCTTCTGACTCAGAGGACCTTCATCCCCTGGGGCAGTGGGCCTTCTAGTGATTCCCTTGACATAATGGTGGACGAGGAGGCAGCTTATTTCTACTTGGATGATCTTTTTTAACGTGTGCTTGTAGACCGCACTGGAAGCAAGCCCTGTTAGGCATTCGATTTTCCCAGCTTTTCCTTTTCCAGAGCCTCCAAAGTCCACTTGCCTGAGGGCCATGACTAAAGCAGTGGCCTTTTTAAATCCCGTTTGTCCTGTTCCGCCTGCTCCTCCTGATCTCTATTATAAAAAACCAAGGTTGCCAAGTTCAATAGGGTTTCTAAGTTTTGCTCTGGGCCTAAGGCGGACTTTTGAAGTTTTTTTCTAATGTCTGCAGCTGACTGAGTGATAAACTTATCCTTTAAGATTAGTTGGCCTTCAATAGAGTCAGGTGACAGAGAGGTATGCTTCCTCAATGCCTCCCTTAGTCTCTCCAGAAAAGCAGTAGGATTTTCTTCCTTTCCCTGTGTTATAGTGGACATCATTGAAAAATTTGTAGGCTTCTTCCTGGTTTTCCTTAGTCCTTCCAGCACACAAGTTAGCAAATGTCTGCAGCACCAATCTCCATGTTCTGATTCTGCGTCCCAGTGAGGGTCTACACTGGGAACTGCCTGCTGGCCTGTGGGGAATCATTCTCTTTCCTCTGTTATCATCCTATCATTGACCTGACTGAGATACCAGAGATCGCCAAACTCTCAGGCTGCAGTTATGGTGGCACTTCTCTCATTTGGGGTTAACGTCTGATTTAGCAGTAACATTATATCTCTCCATATCAGATCGAAGGATTGTCCTAACCCCTGTAAAACATCAATATAGCCATCAGGGTTATCTGAGGATTTACCTAGGTCTATTTTAATTTGCTTTAAGTCCGAGAGAGAAAAAGGTACATGCACTCTGGCTGGGATGAATTCTCCTCCTCTCACTGCTTGGAGGGGGCATAATCGGGGAATATTGGCACCTTTGATTCATTGTTTACCCCTTTGTCTATCTCCTTTTGGACCGTTTGGGTTCAAGGGGGGTCCTTATTAGTTGGGGGAGGAGTTGGGGGGATGGTGGGGTAGGGAGGTAGACTCTGAAGGCTTCTTGTAGGGCATAAATCACACTTTTTACATAATTGCGAGTTGTCTCTTAATGAAAAGAAAGTTTGTACATATGGCACTTCACTCCAGTTGCCTTCTTTTTTACAAAAGAGTTCTAGCTGTAAGATGGTGTTATAATTTATACTTCCCTCCAGAGGCCAGGTTTCTCCCCCTTGAAGAGGATATCGTGGCCAGGCGGTACTGCAGAAGAAAATGAGTCATTTCTTTCTTAGCATCTGAGGGTCAAATTGGTCCCAATTCTCCAGAATACATCTTAGGGGCATTTTTGCCTTGGGCGGAACATTTCCTATCTGAAAAAAGAACTGAGGGATGCCAGCACCCCTAGTCATTTTCCGATGTGCATTAATCTTAGAGTGTCCGCTGTGGTCCTAATGCTTATTCCTTTCCAGGGTGCGTAACCACCCATGGACCTCGGCTTATCGGATTAGTTATGCTCACCGAAGTAGCAGTCTTGCACCCTTTTCCTGCCTTTCTTGACCACAAAGAAAGGGGTCCAGGCTGCTGGATTCTAGTGGTCCTTTACCAGCGTACCCAACATTGCCTTTGTGCTCAGGGGTGAGTCCTAGAGCTGGGCTGGGTTCCTGAGTATTTCATAACAACCCAGCTTCCCCATCAAGATGCATTCCCATAAACAACAGTTCTTATGCAAATTCATTTCAGAGAGGGTGTAGGTAACCTTTTGAGTCAGGATTGAGATAGTCTTTTTTGATTCTGTGAGTACTTTAAGGCTTGGCTGAGTGCAAACGGCTCGCACGTTTGAGGAGACCAATTATTAAGCAATTTTTCTAACTCTGCTTCCACAAGAGTCTCCCTACCAATTACTGAATGCCCATTGTGGTTTTTTCCTCAGTCACCAGGGAAGAACCATCTACTGTCCTGTCCTGAAGGGAGTTCCTCCTAGATCTGGTCGGACCTTTGTATGGTAATTAAGATTTAAATCCTTTGTTGGGAAATCTGCTGGGTTAATGGGATTATCAGTGGTTGGTGTTAAATTACCTTTTTCTAACAGAAAAGCCGCATGCTTTAAGATTTTTGAGTTAGTAAGCTACCTTTTTGCTTTTTTGACTTAGAATAATTCTGAACTGATTAGGTGTGCTCACAATGAGGTTTCCTCTAAACGTCACTTTTCTACTTTCTTCTGTTAGCAAAGCAGTTGCTGCTACAGACTGTATGCATTTGGGCCATCTGCGGGTCACTGAGTTGAGGAATTTTGATGGGAAGGCTCCTGGTTGTTAGCGGTCTCAGTGTTTTCAGGCTACGCCCTTGTTTACACTAACAACAAGGTAGTATTGGAGTGTTATAGGGTCATGGAGAAGACCTTCAATTATCAATTACAGGTTTTAAATTTACCCTGGCTTTTAAAGGAATAGGGCACACTGTTTTTTACTATTTCTATCTTTCTCTGTTTTTTTCTCTTTGACTCCCTCTTTCTCTCTCTCTCTCCTCCATCTCTCTCTCTCTCTCCCTCCTCTGTCTCTCTCTCTCCTCCATCTCTCGCCTTCTCTTAGCCATTACAAATTTGGGGCCCTGGCAAGGGTGGTGGGGAACGGGTCCAACATAACTGCCCATGTCGAGAGCTGTATACTTAAATCGGGTGGGACACCAGGGATAACACTTCCTGGGTTTGTAGCCTAGATGCCTAAGAACACAGCGTAGAGCTTCCTTAGATCCCTTTGGAGTTACAACTTGCCAGAGGAAATGAAAGTCTGAACCATTAGTACCTAGGAGGCAGGGATCAGAGGAAGAAGATTCAGAGGTAAGGAGAATTTTGGGGCTACACTTTCAAGAACGTCGTGGTTGGGACCCAGGATGTATGGGTCAGAAGGAAAGGTAGGGGTGCATGCATGGGCAACTGTTGAGGAGAGACTTCTGGCTGCACCATGATCTCAACTGGCTAATGCCGGGAGTTCGGGATGACAGCTTTCTGCCTCTAGTTGGCCCCTGGCTTCCCCAAGAAAATTGAAAGTGGAAGCTGGCTCCAGGCAGACCAATGTCCCCAACCCAGAAGGGTTGGGGGTTGTTAGAAAGCCCTTCCCCAGATAGCCTCACACCTGAGTCCTAAGTCTGGACATAGGCATGGCATGTCCTATGTCCTAGGCTATATGCCTAGGACATAGGCATATAGCATGGTTAAAAAGCCATGCTAATGGTTTTTAACTGGCCGACAGGTGCCCGGTATTTTCCTCCAATTCTAAGGAAGGATAGGACAGAATAGCAAGTGAAAGTGGTCCAGTATTACCACTTTGGAGGTCCCTTCATGGTCACCAAAATGTTACCAGGGGGTCCTTGCTCACAGAGCTCCCAAGGTGGTGGCTGGCTGCTTCCAAAATGGCGGTGGGCTGCTTCCAAGATGGTTGCAAGCCTCGTGTTCTCTGACCTGGGGTTCTTGGTCTCACGGATTCCAAGGAATGGAATCTTGGGCCATGTGGTGAGTGTTATAGCTCTATTAGAAGCCGTGGGTCACAGAAGAGAACTGTGGAACCCAGTGACTAGTGTTCAGCTTGATTAGGACGAACCCGGACACTTAGCAGTGCAGGAACAATGGCAAGCCTTTTTAGCCTGATCAGGAGCGGCAATGGGCACCTCGCTGGATCAGGAGCACAGCGGACACCCTGCAGGATCCGGAGGGATGGAAGTCAGCGGCGGGTCTGCGACAGCAGTAGTGGACAGCGAGTGAAAGCTCAGCTCAAGCCGACACAAACATAGACCAGAAGAGAGTGCAGTTGCAAGATTTAATACAGTGAAAACAGAGCTCCCATACAAAGGGAGGGGACTCAAAGAGGGTAGCCCTTTTTTTTTTATTTTTAATTTTAGGACTAATTCTTTTCCTGGAGGGTGTTTGTTGGCAAGTAGAACATAGGGATCTCAGTTAAATTTATTCTTTTTTTTATACTTTAAGTTCTAGGGTACATGTGCACAACGTGCAGGTTTGTTACATATGTATACATGTGCCATGTTGATGTGCTGCACCCATTAACTCGTCATTTACATTAGGTATATCTCCTAATGCTATCCCTCCCCCCTCCCCCCACCCCACGACAGGCCCTGGTGTGTGATGTTCCCCACTGTGTGTCCAAATGTTCTCATTACTCCATTCCCACCTATGAGTGAGAACATGCGGTGTTTGGTTTTCTGTCCTTGTGATAGTTTGCTCAGAATGATGGTTTCCAGCTTCATCCATGTCCCTCAGAGGACATGAACTCATCCTTTTTTATGGCTGCATAGTATTCCATGGTGTATATGTGCCACATTTTCTTAATCCAGTCTGTCATTGATGGGCATTTGGGTTGGTTCCAAGTCTTTGCTATTGTGAATAGTGTCGCAATAAACATACGTGTGCATGTGTCTTTATAGCAGCATGCTATATAATCCTTATTATGTATACCCAGTATATAACCAGTGTATACCCAGTAATGGGATGGCTGGGTCAAATGGTATTTCTAGTTCTAGATCCTTGAGGAATCGCCACACTGACTTCCACAATGGTTGAACTAGTTTACAGTCCCACCAACAGTGTAAAAGTGTTCCTATTTCTCCACATCCTCTCCAGCATCTGTTGTTCCCTGACTTTTTAATGATTGCCATTCTAACTGATTTGAGATGGTATCTCATTGTGGTTTTGATTTGCATTTCTCTGATGGCCAGTGATGATGAGCATTTTTTCATGTGTCTGTTGCCTGCATAAATGTCTTCTTTTGAGAAGTGTCTGTTCATATCCTTCGCCCATTTTTTGATGGGATTGTTCGATTTTTTTCTTGTAAATTTGTTTATGTTCTTTGTAGATTCTGGATAATTAGCCCTTTGTCAGATGCGTAGATTGTAAAAATTTTCTCCCATTCTGTAGGTTGCCTATTCACTCTGATGGTAGTTTCTTTTGCTGTGCAGAAGCTCTTTAGTTTAATTAGATCCCATTTGTCAATTCTGGCTTTTGTTGCCATTGCTTTTGGTGTCTTAGTCATGAAGTCCTTGCCCATGCCTATGTCCTGAATGGTATTGCCTAGGTTTTCTTCTAGGGTTTTTATGGTTTTTAGGTCTAACATTTAAGTCTTTAATCCATCTTGAATTAATTTTTGTATAAGGTGTAAGGAAGGGATCCAGTTTCAGCTTTCTACATATGGCTAACCAGTTTTCCCAGCACCATTTATTAAATAGGGAATCCTTTCCCCATTTCTTGTTTTTGTCAGGTTTGTCAAAGATCAGATGGTTGTAGATGTGTGGTATTAATTCTGAGGGCTCTGTTCTGTTCCATTGGTCTGTATCTCTGTTTTGGTACCAGTACCATGCTGTTTTGGTTACTGTAGCCTTGTAGTATAGTTTGAAGTCAGGTAGCATGATGCCTCCAGTTTTGTTCTTTTTGCTTAGGAGTGTCTTGGCAATGCAGGCTCTTTTTTGGTTCCATATGAACTTTCAAGTAGTTTTTTCCAATTCTGTGAAGAAAGTCATTGGTAGCTTGATGGGGATGGCATTGAATCTATAAATTACCTTGGACGGTATGGCCATTTTCACAATATTGATTCTTCCTATCTATGAGCATGGAATGGCCTTCCATTTGTTTGTGTCCTCTTTTATTTCGTTGAGCAGTGGTTTGTAGTTCTCCTTGAAGAGGTCCTTCGCATCCCTTGTAAATTGGATTCCTAGGTAATTTATTCTCTTTGAAGCAATTGTGAATGAGAGTTCACTCATGATTTGGCTCTCTGTTTGTCTGCTATTGGTGTATAGGAATGCTTTTGATTTTTGCACATTGATTTTGTATCCTGAGACTTTACTGAAGTTGGTTATCAGCTTAAGGAGATTTTTGGCTGAGACGATGGGGTTTTCTAAATATACAATCATGTCATCTGCAAACAGGGACAATTTGACTTCCTCTGTTCCTAGTTGAATACCCTTTATTTCTTTCTCCTGCCTGATTGCCCTGGCCAGAACTTCCAACACTATGTTGACTAGGAGTGGTGAGAGAGGGCATCCCTGTCTTGTGCCAGTTTTCAAAGGGAATGCTTCCAGTTTTTGCCCATTCAGTATGATATTGGCTGTGGGTGTGTCACAAATAGCTCTTATTATTTTGAGATACATCCCATCAATACCTAGTTTATTGAGAGTTTTAGCATGAAGGGCTGTTTAATTTTGTCAAAGGCCTTTTCTGCATCTATTGAGATAATCATGTGGTTTTTGTCTTTGGTTCTGTTTATATGATGGATTATGTTTATTGATTTGTGTATGTTGAACCAGCCTTGCATCCCAGGGATGAAGCCAACTTGATCATGATGGATAAGAGTTTTGATGTGCTGCTGGATTTGGTTTGCCAGTATTTTATTGAGGATTTTTGCATCGATGTTCATCAGGGATATTGGTCTAAAATTCTCTTTTTTTGTTGTGTCTCTGCCAGGCTTTGGTATCACTATGATGCTGGCCTCATAAAATGAGTTAGGGAGGATTCCCTCTTTTTCTATTCATTGGAATAGTTTCAGAAGGAATGATACGAGCTCCTCTTTGTACCTCTGGTAGAATTCGGCTGTGAATCCATCTGGTCCTGGACTTTTTTTGGTTGGTAGGCTATTAATTATTGCCTCAATTTCAGAGCCTGTTATTGGTCTATTCAGGGATTCAACTTCTTCCTGGTTTAGTCTTGGGAGGGTGTATGTGTCGCGGAATTTATCCATTTCTTCTAGATTTTCTAGTTTATTTGCATAGAGGTGTTTGTAGTATTCTCTGATGGTAGTTTGTATTTCTATGGGATTGGCGATGATATCCTCTTTATCATTTTTTATTGCATCTCTTTTCTTCTTTATTAGTCTTGCTAGTGGTCAATGAATTTTGTTGATCTTTTCAAGAAACCAACTCCCAGATTCATTGATTTTTTGAAGAGTTTTTTTTTTGTGTCTCGATCTCCTTCGGTTCTGTTCTGATCTTAGTTATTTCTTGCCTTCTGCTAGCTTTTGAATGTGTTTGCTCTTGCTTCTCTAGTTCTTTTGATTGTGATGTTAGGGTGTCAATTTTAGATCTTTCTTGCTTTCTCTTGTGGGCATTTAGTACTATCAATTTCCATCTACACACTGCTTTAAATGTGTCCCAGAGATTCTGGTATGTTGTGTCTTTGTTCTCACTGGTTTCAGAGAACATCTTTATTTCTGCCTTCATTTCGTTATGTACCCAGTGGTCATTCAGGAGCACGTTGTTCAGTTTCCATGTAGTTGAGTGGTTTTGAGTGAGTTTCTTAATCCTGCGTTCTAGTTTGATTGCACTGTGGTCTGAGAGACAGTTTGTTATAATTTCTGTTCTTTTACATTTGCTGAGGAGTGCTTTACTTCCAACTATGTGGTCAATTTTGGAATAAATGTGATGTGGTGCTGAGAAGAATGTATATTCTGTTGATTTGGGGTGGAGAGTTCTGTAGATGTCTATTAGGTCCGCTTGGTGCAGAGCTGAGTTCAATTCCTGGATATCCTTGTTAAATTTCTGTCTCTTTGACTTGTCTAATGTTAACAGTGGGGTGTTAAAGTCTCCCATTATTATTGTGTGGGAGTCTAAGTCTCTTTGTAGGTCTCTAAGGACTTGCTTTGTGAATCTGGGTGCTCCTGTATTGGGTGCATATATATTTAGGATAGTTAGCTCTTCTTGTTGAATTGATCCCTTTACCATTATGTAATGGCCTTCATTGTCTCTTTTGATCTTTGCTGGTTTAAAGTCTGTTTTATCAGAGACTAGGATTGCGACCCTTGCTTTTTTGTGTGTTTTCCATTTGCTTGGTAGATCTTCCTCCATCCCTTTATTTTGAGCCTATGTGTGTCTCTGCACGTGAGATGGTTCTCCTGAATACAGCACACTGATGGGTCTTGACTCTTTATCGAATTTGCCAGTCTGTGTCTTTTAATTGGAGCATTTAGCCCATTTACGTTTAAGGTTAATATTGTTATGTGTGAATTTGATCCTGTCATTATGATGTTAGCTGGTTATTTTGCTCATTAGTTGATGCAGTTTCTTCCTAGCATTGGTGGTCTTTAGAATTTGGCATGTTTTTGCAGTGGCTGATATCTGCTGTTCCTTTCCATGTTTAGTGCTTCCTTCAGGAGCTCTTGTAAGGCAGACCTGGTGGTGACAAAATCTCTCAGCATTTGTTTGTCTGTAAAGAATTTTATTTCTCCTTCACTTATGAAGCGTAGTTTGGCTGGATATGAAATTCTGGGTTGGAAAGTCTTTTCTTTCAGAATGTTGAATATTGGCCCCCACTGTCTTCTGGCTTGTAGAGTTTCTGCTGAGAGATCTGCTGTTAGTCTGATGGGCTTCCCTTTGTGGGTAACCCGACCTTTCTCTTTGGCTGCCCTTAACATTTTTTCCTTCATTTCAATTTTGGTGAATCTGACAGTTATGTGTCTTGGAGTTGCTCTTTTCGAGGAGTATCTTTGTGGCCTTCTCTGTATTTTCTGAATTTAAATGTTGGCCTGCCTTGCTAGGTTGGGGAATTTCTCCTGGATAATATCCTGCAGAGTGTTTTCCAACTTGGTTCCATTCTCCCCGTCACTTTCAGGTAGACCAATCAGATGTAGATTTAGTCTTTTCACATAGGCCCATATTTCTTGGAGGCTTTGTTCGTTTCTTTTTACTCCTTTTTCTCTAAACTTCTCTTCTTGCTTCATTTCATTCATTTGATCTGCAATCACTGATACCCTTTCTCCCCCCTGATCAAATTGGCTACTGAAGCTTGTGCATTTGTCACACAGTTCTCGTGCTATGGTTTTCAGCTCTGTGAGGTCATTTAAGGACTTCTCTACACTGTTTATTCTAGTTAGCCATTCGTCTAATCTTGTTTGAAGGTTTTTAGCTTCTTTGCAATGGGTTCAAACATCCTCCTTTAGCTTGGAGAAGTTTGTTATTACTGATCGTCTGAAGCCTTCTTCTCTCAACTCATCAAAGTCATTCTCCATCCAGCTTTGTTCCATTGCTGGTGAGGAGCTGCATTCCTTTGGAGGAGAAGAGGTGCTCTGATTTTTAGAATTTTCAGCTTTTCTGCTCTGGTTTCTCCCTATCTTTGTGGTTTTATTTACTTTTCGTCTTTGATGATGGTGATGTACAGATGGGGTTTTGGTGTGGATGTGCTTTCTGTTTGTTAGTTTTCCTTCTAACAGTCAGGACCCTCAGCTGTAGGTCTGTTGGAGTTTGCTGGAGGTCCACTCTAGACCCTGTTTGCCTGGGTATCACCAGTGGAGACTGCAGAATGGTAAATATTGCAGAACGGCAGATGTTGCTACCTGATCCTTCCTCTGGAAGCTTCATCTCAGAGGGGCACCCTGCTGTATGAGGTGTCAGTCGGCCCCTACTGGGAGGTGTCTCCCAGTTAGGCTACTCAGGGGTCAGGGACCCACTTGAGGAGGCAGTCTGTCCATTCTCAGATCTCAAACTCTGTGCTGGGAAAACCACTACTCTCTTCAAAGCTGTCAGACAGGGATGCTTAAGTCTGCAGAAGTTTCTGCTGCCTTTTTTTCAGCTATGCCCTGCCCCCAGAGGTGGAGTCTACAGAGGCAGGGAGGCCTCCTTGAGCTGCAATGGGCTCCATGCAGTTCGAGCTTCCCGGCCACTTTGTGTGTCTCTGCACATGAGGTGGGCACTTATTCACGGCCGCTGAGACTACTCAAGCCTCAGCAATAGCGGATGCCCCTCCCCCAGCCTCCCTGCTGCCTTGCAGTTTGATCTCAGACTGCTGTGCTAGCAGTGAGCAAGGCTCCGTGGGTGTGGGACCGCCCCCACCAGCCAGGCACAGGATATAATCTCCTCGTGTGCCTTTTGCTAAGGCCATTGGAAAAGCACAGTATTAGGGTGGGAGTGTCCTGAATTTCCAGGCACCATCTGTCACGGCTTCCCTTTGCTAGGAAAGGGAATTCCCCAACCCCTTGCGCTTCCTGGGTGAGGCAATGCCCCGCCCTGCTCCATGGGCTACACCCACTGTCTGACAAGCCCCAGTGAAATGAACCCAATACCTTAGTTGGAAATGCAGAAATCACCCGTCTTCTGCGTCGCTTACGCTGGTAGCTGCAGACTGGAGCTGTTCCTATTTGGCCATCTTGGAACCTCTATGCTTGTATTTCTTTACCTCGCCCTATTGCACTGTCTAGAATCACTCGGAGAATGTTGGGTAGACACGGTAAGAAGAAGCATCCTTGCCTTTTCCTTGACTTAAGGGGAAGCATATAATAATTTACGTTTCAGCTGTTTTTACTTATAACATTTCTGACACCAAGGTATGGGGTTTTTGCTTCATACCAACCAATTCTCTGATTCTCTGGACACCAACTGTGAGTTCAACAATCCAATTCAATTCTGACATTAACCCCTTGGAGTTAGTGCAGACCCCACAGCTCAAAGGCTCGATCCGCTTCCCCCCACTTCAGATGCCAGTCACAGGTTGAGGGCTTCCTGAACTTCTGATTGACCAGGTAGAAATTGAGGATTCCCATGACTCCTTCTGCAGGTTTGATAATTTGGTGGAAATTACCAGTTATTATAAAGAATACACCTCAGGAACTGCCAAATGAAAGAGCTGCACAGGGCAGGGTATGGAGGAAGGGGCAGGAGCTTCCATGTTCCCTCTGGATGCGCCACCCTCCCAGCACCTTGATGTGTTCACCAACCTGGAAACCCTCCCAACTGTCATTTAGGGTTTTAATGGAGTCTTCATTATGTAGGTATGATTGATTAAATCATCAGCCAATGGTGATTCGCACAGTCTCCAACCCCTTTTCCCTTTCTATAGGTTGAGAGACAGGCCTGAGAGTTCTAAGCTTCTAATCAAGGCTTGGTCTTTGTAGCAACCAGTCCCCATTCTGAAGCTACCTAGGGGACCCCAGCTACCAGGCATCTCATTATCTTACCAAAGACAATGACTCTTTTAGAAATTCCAAAGGTTTCAGAAATGCAGGCATTGGTGGTATAGTGGTGAGCATAGCTGCCTTCCAAAGGTTTCAGAAGCTTTTTGTGAGGAACCTAGGGCATTTCATTTATTTATTTATTTACTTAATTGATTATTTTTTAATTAAACCATAACCATTAAGGATGTTATTAGCTGTAGATCTTTTCCAGATATTTTTTAGTAGGTTGAGAAAGTTCAGATCCATTTCAGGATTTTTGAGAGTTTGTTGTTTTTTAAATCATGAACAGGCATTGAATTTTGTCAAATGCTTTTTTGGCACCTATTAAAACAATTGTATTGCTTATTTTTTTCTAGTAATATTAGAAATGACTTTTTAAAGATGTCATCTGCTAATATGGTAATTAATTGTAAAATGTTAAACCAACTTTGCATTCTTCACGTAAAACTTACTTGATAAAACCTACTTCTTTTGACATATTCAATTTATACTTGCGAGTGTTTTCTTAAGAAAATTTGTGTCTATGTTTATCAGTGTTACTGGCCTGTAATTTTTGTAATGTCTTTGTCAGGTTTTGATATTAATATTAGACTTGACTCATGAAGTAAATTGGTCATGTTTTCTCCTCTATTTTCTGAATTTAACATGTTTACATGAAATTTATATTACTTTTTTCTAGAATGTTTGACAGAATTCACCCAATATCTAGCCAGTTGAATTAATGTTGGATATTAATTCAATTACTTTAATAGATATAGAGCTATGTAGATTTTCTGTTCATCTGTGTCAATTTTAAAAGTTGTATTTTTAAGGAATTTATCTGTGTCATCTAATTTACAGAAATTATTGGCATAAGGTTGCTAATAGTACTCACTGTCCTTTTGGTGTCTATAGGATCTGTAGTGATAACCCCTCTTTCATTCTTGATTTTCACAATATGTATTATCACTCTTAAAAATCAGTCTAACTATGGACTTATCAATTTGCTTAATTATTTCAAAGAACTAGCTTTTGACTTTGTTGTATTGTTTGTCTACAAATTTTACTTACGTCTGCTCTTAGTTTTATCATTTTCTTCCTTTTGTCTACTTTGGGTTTTCTTTGTTCTTCTTTTTCTAACTTTTTAAAGTCAGACCTCAGATCGTTGATCTTATATCTTCTTTTTTAACACAAGCATTTAAAGGTATAAGTTTTTTTCTGAGAATTGTTTTGTAACTTCCCACATATTTTGATATGTTGATTTATATTTTTATTAGATTTAGAATATTTTGTAATGTCTACTGTATTTTTTATGTGATCCGTGAACTATTTAATTTTTAATTTCTATATATTTGGGGTTTTCCTAGATATTTTTCTGTTTAATTCAGCTGTGCTTAGAAAACATACTTTGCATAATTTCAATCCTTTTAAATGTAATATGATTTACTTATTGCCCAGCATAAGACTGTATTTCTTGTGTGCATGTATAAAAAAGTGTGTATTTTGCTAACAGTGCCTCCTGGTAGAACATTCTAAAAATATCAGTTTGATTGATATTTGATCAAATTGATATATAGATTTTAAATTGGTTGATAGTATTATTTGTCTTCTATATTCATTACTAATTCATTACTAATTGTCCACTTGTGCTATCAATTAATAAAATAAGACTTTTGAAAGCTCCAACTGTAATTGTTGGTTTGTTTATTTTTTCTTTCAATTCTGTTTTTACTTTATGTATTTTGAAGCTTGTTATTTGGAACATAAATATTTAGGATTTTTATATATTCTTGATTTTGCTTCTCATGGATCTGTTTATCATTATGAAATATCCAGTTTTATACCTGGTTAAATTCTCTGTACTGAAACCTATTTTATCTAATATAAATACAGTCACTCCATTTCCTTTGATTAATATTTGCATGACATATCTTTTTCTATCCTTTTACTTTTAACCTATTACTTACCTTTGTATTGGCTTTGTATATAAAGGAGGTGTTTTGTAGACAGCATTTACTTGAGTCTTGCTGTTTAATCCAATTTGACTGCCTTTGCTTTTTAATTGGAGTGATTAGACCATACTATTATCTGAATGTTTTTTTCCACCACCAAATTCATAGGTTGAAACATAAACCTCAGTGTAGTGGTATTAAGAGGTGCGGCCTTTGAGAGGTGATTAGGTTATAAGAGAGTCACTCTAATGAATGGGATTAGTGCCCTTATAAAAGAGGCATGAGAGAGCTTCTACCATGTAAAAACACTGCAAGAAGGTGCCATATGTGAAGCAGAGAGTGAGATCTCCCCAGACACCAAATTTCTTGATCTTAGACTTCTCAGCTTCCAGAACTGCAAACAATACATTTCTGTTGTTTTAAATTATCCTGTCTTTGAATAAACTAAGGGATACCATGGACATTTAATGTGATCATTGACAACTTTGGGTTTAAATCTAATATTTTCTATTATTTTATATTTTTCTTATTTGTTCTTTGTTCCTTCCACCCCTCTTTTCCTTCCTTGTTTTTTTGGAATAATTGAGTATTTTATGACTCAGCTTTAACCCTACTATTGGCTTAGTAATTGTACACCCTATTTTTATAATAATTGCTCTAGCAATATTACATTATAACTTCAAAGATTATTATAACATTTCATACTTATTGAAATGTTTGGTCCTTACAAGAAATACTTCCCTTTCTTCCTTCCTATCCTGTTTGCTATTATTGTCTATATTTGCTTCTATATGTTATAGATGACACAATATGTTATTATTTTTCTTTTAATTAGCATTAAGATATTTTAAAAATTAAACAATCTTTTCTATTGATTTACATACTCATTTTAAATTACTTTGATTTCTTTTCTAGGTTTGAATTACTGTCTGATGTCTTATTTTCTCTTTCTGAAGAACTTTCAATTCTTTTTTTTTGGAGGAGATATTTATTAACTTTTATTTTAGGATCAGGGTACATGTGCAGGTTTCTTATATAGGTAAATTGCATATCATGGGGGTTTGGTGTACAGATTATTTAGTCATCCAGGTAGTAAGCATAGTACCCAATAGGTAGTGTTTTGACCCTGTCACTCCTCCCACCCCCCCACCTTCCAGTAGGGCCCAGTGTCTGTTTTTCCCTTCTTTGTGTCCATATGTACTCAACGTTTAGCTCCCACTTATAAGTGAGAACATGCAGTATTTGGTTTTCTATTCCTGCTTTAGTTCACTTAGGATTATGGCCTCCAGTTCCATCCTTGTTGCTGCAAAGAACATGATCTCATTTTGTTTATGGCTATGTAGTATTCCATGGTGTATGTGTGCCACATTTCTTTTTTTTCAGTCTACTATTGATGAGCATTAGGTTGATTGTATGTGTTTGCTATTGTAAATAGTGCTGAAAGAACATATGCATGCGTGTGTCTTTATGGTAGAATGATGTGTATTTCTTTGGGTGTATACCCAGTAATGGGATTGCTGAGTTGAATGGTACTTCTGTTTTAAGTTCTTTGAGAAGTTGCCACACTGCTTTCTACAATGGCTGAACTAATTTACATATCTACCAGCAATGTATGCATTCTGTTTTTCTCTGCAGCTTTGCCATTTATAGTATATGTACTATATATTATAAATTGATTCTTCATAGTATATGTGCTTTGGCAAGTTTTGTTTGTCTGAAAAAAGTTATTTTACTTTCATTTTAGAAAGATATTTTTCTGCATATAGAATTCTAGGCTGACCTTTTCCCACTACTTTAATACTGCCATACCACTGTTTCTTTTTTGTTGTTTTTTTTTTGTTGTTGTTGTTGTTTTGGTTTTTTGGTTCTTTGCCTTACATAATTTCAGACAAGAAGTCTGCTGTAATTATCTTTGCTTCTGTATATACTTTTTTTCTTCTGGTTGTTTTTAAGATTTTCTTTTCTTGATGGTTTATGGAGATTTGACCGTGATATGCTATTTTTTTTTAATGTGTAGTACTTTGGACTTCTTAGATCTGTGAATTTACAGCTTGTTATCAAACTTGAAAAAATTTTAGCCATATTTTATTAAATATTTTCTTGTATCTCCTCCCCTTTGCTCCTTCTGGGTCTCCAGTTATTCCTGCCTCTTACCACTTGATATCGTCCCAGAGATCATTGTTGCTTTGTTCATTTTTTTTCAGTCTTTTCCCCTCCTTCTTTTATTTTGAATAGTTTCTATTGTTATGTCTTCAAAATGTATAGATATTTTCTTCTTCAATGTCTAGTCAGCACTTAGTTTCATTCAGTGTGTTTTTCATTTCAAATAATTTATTTTCATATATAGACATTTCATTTGTTTTTTATATTTTTGGTTCTTCTGCTCATCATGTTTAAGCTTTTTAAACATGATATATATATTTATATTTATAATAGCTATTTTAATATATTTTCTATTACTTCTGTCATCTCTGTCATTTCTGAGTGTTTCTTTGAGTGATTTTTCTCCTGGTTATGGATCATATCTTCTTGTTTCTTTGGATGCCTAATAATTTTTGACTGGGTGCTGAACATTTTAAATTTAACATTTTTGGGTACTCAATTTTGTTGTATTATTTTAAATATTGCAGAACTTTGGGATGCAGTTTAGTTACTTGTAATTATTTTAATCTGTTCAAATCTTGCTGTAAGGCTCTGTAGCATGGGCCCATGGCAGCCTTAGTCTAGGGCTAATTTATTTCTATTACTAAGGCAATGTTCTTTTGAAGATTCTACTGATGCCTTATGTATTGGGTGGCTTTTAACTCTGGCTGGTGAAAACAAACTATTCTCATCCCTGTGTAAGCTCCAGGGATTGTACCACCTACTCCTTTACAATGATTCTTTCACTTGCCTTTGTATTTTCTTCATATACATGCTCAGATCATTATCAGTCACACTTTCAAGGGCACCTCTCTTCCTATTTCTGGAGCTCTATCCTCCTTGGTTTTTATCCCACAGATTCTAGCTGCTTTGGACTCCCTAAACCCCAAACTCTGTCACCTCAATTCAGGGGGACCACCAGGCTCTGTTTGGGCTCTGCTTCTTGCCCTGTCACCTAGAAACTCTATCCAGGCATTGATATAGGACAACGTTAGGGCTTACATTATCTGTTCCCTTTCTCCCAGATGAGATTTCTGTCCTGTGTTGAAATTTTAAATGTCTAGCATCCAATAAAAAAATTAACAACTATGCAAAAGAAACGCAGAAAAATATGACTCATATCCATTGTTTTATATATTTTGGAAAATATATTTATTTTATATATCTTTTTGTTTAAGGCAGGAGGACAAATCTAGCACTCTTCCTTCATCACAGCCGGAAATAGAAGTCTCTGAGTATGGGTTTTCAACTTGTGTTTTAGTTGTGCCGTACTGTGACTATGACTAAGAATTATATAATGAAAAACTCACAATGTGATATTCCTTTCTTTTAAATTGTGTCTCCCTTGCAAATCTGCCTGCCTTGGTATACTCTCACAGCTTTCAGGTAGTTGTTTTGTATTTTTTACTTAGTCAATGATTATTACTTTCAGGAGGTTTGGTCTATTAGAGATGAAACCAAACTATATTATTATTTTTGTAGGTAATTTAATCCTTAACAGGATCCCTACTGGTATTTTCAACCAATGTAAAAATATCTTCTCACCTTTCTTCTTAATGCTCTGGTTCTTTCTAGACTGTCCCCAGGCTGGGTCAATCCTGAAATCTTTCCTAGTTAACCCATCTTACCATCTTCCACACCATTTGGTCCAGTTACATATCTCTTGCCTGACCTACTCTATCTAGCCCTGTTGTCAAAGGTATTTGAATCAGGGCAACTCCATCTTGAAGAGGGGCTGGGAAAAATGAGGCTGAGACTTGGGCTACATTCCTAGGAGGTTAGGCTTTCTTACTCACAAGATATTTGTGGTTAAGGGAACAGACATTGCGACCACTTGGCATACAGTCCTACCTTAAAGGGCATTTGATCTGTAAACCAAAAATAAAATTCTAAGCACCTGAACCATCTGATGGACCCTCCCCTCAGCCAAGGGCATTCCAAAGTTAACCTGAAAAACTAGTTCAGGCCATGAGGGAAAGTGGGGGTTAGACATGCCTCGTTATGTACACCTCCCAGTGGAATTCAGGCACAGATGACCAGCATTAACATTAAAACAGAGACTTTAAGACTGATAGAAAAGACTTTTTAAGTCTAATAAGAAACATTCTCTTCTATTGATTCTGTTTGCATAAGGGGAATCTTGTTCTCTACAACCGCTTATCTTAACCCAGACATTCCCTTCTATTGATTCTAGGTCTTTAGACAATCACTTAACTCTTTCAATCAATTGCCAATTAGAAAATTCTTGAATCCACCTATGACCTGGAGGCCCCTGCTTCAAGTTGTCCCAGCTTTCCAGACCAAACCAATGTAGGTTGATCGATTGATGTCTATGTCTCCATAAAAGGTATGCAACCAAGCTGTATCCTGACCACCTTGTGCACATGTTCTCAGCATCTCCTGGGTCACAGAATATTGATGAGTCATATTCGGCTCACAATAAATCTCTTCAAATGTTGTACAGAGTTTGACCCTTTTTGTTGACAGATCATTCTGTAATAAAAGCAGCTTTCAAGTTATAATGTAATAATTCATATTATTAATTTATTAAGCAAATTTCCAGGTACTTTGCAAGTGTTAGAGATAAACATTTTAAAAACAAAAGTCTCTATTCTCAAATCCTGTAATTTTAGGCCAGAAGAGTGAACAGGTGGGAGTAAAGCATCAGAGAACAAATGTTGCATTAAGTATAGTATCTGTAGGCAATTGTTCTAGAGGCCCTCATAAAGTGCAGTGTGGATTTAAGAGAAATGTTGCATAAATCTCTGCATGGGGGTCAGGGCTCTGCATACAACTGTGTAGGCTGTACACAGGGCAGTGCTGAGCACCACTGACATTGTAGCCCTCTAGAGTTGTGCACTGTAATACCTGCACAGCCATACACAATGGCGTTGAAAAAAATACTGGAAAGCCTCCAGAAGAAGCAAATGTTGAGATAAAAGTTGATGGATGAGTAATCATTTGCCAATAATGATAGAACAAATTAATATTTGTATAGTTAATTGTGATATTCAAAAACTCCTTACCCTCACAAGTATATTTGATCCCTGCGTCAATTTGGTGAGATTGATAGAGGTGAAGGATCTCTGTCACTCTATACCCAGCTGATGTTCCCACTCACGAGGTGGCAGCAAGCCATGAAGACCAGCAACTGGGAACAATGCTTTTTCGGCCCAGTAGAGCCCACTCCTCCCCACTCATGCCAGGTGTTCCATGCACTTAGCTCCCTGCCCTTCGGAGCCACAGAGCAGCTTTCGGGAGGCGTTTGGCATGCCCTTCCTTCCTGGGCTCTGGGTTTATGTCATTCCTTGGTTTCTGTGCTGCTCGTAGCTTAAGAGGGAAACATTCCTTCTGCCAGCTCAGCCCTGGTGGTAGGGAAATTCATTGATCACCCTGGGGCTGTGGTATTAGACACATGTGGTTGATGTTGTTGTTGATGATAATGCTAATACTCTTATTTCTGTGGAGGAAAGAGAAGGTCAGAGAAAGGAAGCCACCCACTTAGATCACATGCTAATGAAATCGCGGAGCCAGGGTGTGGAGTTTTCAGTCATTTTACTCCAAGCCCTGTGCTCTTCCCCATACCTGGACTTAACACCTTCCCTTTATTCACGTGGTTACGTTTGTATGTCAAGTCATCGCCTCAAATGCTGGCCGCTGGCTTCCCTATCCTTTTAGCTCTTGTGAGTATCGTGTTCTAGTCTGCTCTTGTTCTGATCCGACTCAGTTGAATCTAGTTGTGTGTGAATGTGTGTGTGTGTGTGTGCGTGTTTTCTATCCTCTTGAAAATTTCCTCCAAGTCTACAAAGTAATGCACATTTCTGGCTTCTCAAAAACACCACGGATTTCAGGACTGCTCTTACATTCCACCTGATTGTCTTGAGCTGCTTGTTGAGGACATGATTTGCTAGCCTGCAGTTGCCTCCTCATTTCTCACAGCCCTTAGCTCAGATGGCAACAGTTAAATCACAACCAATAATGCAATAAAAAAACGAGTCTATAATTCACCCAATTACTGATTTCTCAATTTTGAAAATAAATTTTGGACAGATGGTTCATTAAAAAGTAGTAGAAAACATCAAAAGTATACAGACACATAATGAAATATACGGATAATGCTTAGATTTCATGTTTTTAAAAAAGACTGCCTCCTCCCAAATCAGTAGAAAGGTAAGTTTTTGTTTCTAAGCAAAAAGGAAAGGGAAGATTTTATAAATATATTCACATTGATGAAGATGTATATTTGTCCACTTATTTCAAATCTTATATTACATAAGTTATCAAAAAGTGATTGTTGCAAACCTTTATGTTACTTTGGAATATTAATTACACTCTTTACATTTTATGTAGACATATCTATTAGTCAATTTTTTGAAATTTATTCCTTTTTTTATGCTTAAAATGTTATTTTCAAACCAAGTCAGATAAATATTCACCTTTTTTTCTTCTTGCTATGATTTCACATTTTTTACAATATAGAGTTTATCCCTAATTTTATGTATTTGGGAAATAAGATTTTAAACTAATTTTTTTTCCAAATGGCCAATATCCCCCACAACACAACACTCATAAAAATTCTGTCACTTTGTAATTTGTGTACAGTATTTTTCTACCACATTTTAAGTCCATATATATTTACCCTAGTTACGAGTTGAACTGTTCTTTCCCATTGATCTATGTGTATTTGTTCTGCTCCCACTCCACTTTCATCTGTGTGCCTTTAAAGTTTCTATAAATATTACACCTGGCAGCGCAGGTGTTGTTCCTGGTATTCTTATCCTTTTCATTCTTGTTTAGTTTTAAACTCTTGCTTATTTTCTTAAGTCATAAATCACAGTTTGATTTGATTATAGCCACAATGAAATTCAGATTAATTTTAGTAGAATACACATGTTTAAACTTTTCAGTTTTCCTAGCCAGAAATGTGGCATCTCTTAATTTATTTGGGTCAGTAAGTCAATCCTTTAATACTCCCCAATAAGCTTTCATAATAAAAGATCAAAATGGAAAATATGTTTGAGTTGGGAAGATCTTTCAGGTCACTTTTTAAAAATCACTCGCAGAAGCAAAGCTCATTTTTCCTATTTGTAAGAGGACCCTCTGTTAAAACATACTTTACTGTATTTTAGGGTGTTTTTTTTTTATTTTATGAGGTAAAAAATGCTCATAATCATTTACCAAGGAAGGTCGCATTTGGGGGCTTGTCCTAAGCATAGGGCAAAAGCCTTATGCACAGAGATGTTAACTGAAACAAAAATATTCCCCTATGAGGAATGATTCCATGCATGAAGATATGTCAATAGAATGGAATCTTACACAGAAATGTAATTTTGAGGGCTGTTATAACATTGGAAAACATTTTCACTAGGCTATGTTTTAAAAGATGGGAAACATTTTTAAGATGCTGTTACAAGACAGTATGTTCCCTGCAGGCATTTCTTCCCTGTAGTTCCTGCTCCTCTGGATTTGCTCACCCTTCACCAGCCACGTTCACCCCCTGCTGTTCCTTGCACCTGCCAGGTGTCCCCCTCCCATGCCTCGGACTCTTGTGCTTGCTGCCAGGACTGCTCTTCCGCCCGACACCACAACCAAGTCCCCTGCCTGGCCTGGAGTCCTCGCTGATGTCATCTCAGTGAGCGCTTCCCTGGCCGCTCCAGCTAAGGTCCCACCCCTGCCCGACATGCTCCATCCACCTTCTCTGCCCACCTCAGGACACACTGTCCAGTACTTCTTTTTTTTTTTTTTTTTCTTGCTTTCCTCCAACTAAAACGGAACCCGGGCAAAGATTTTTGTCTGTTTTGTCCAGACCAGGTGCAAAGGAACCTGGGCATATGAACGGTCTGTGAAATGAAAATGTACAGAAGTTATAAATACTAGGGAACCATGGACATTATTTTATTAATTTCGTTTTAGCTATATTAGCTTGTCAGTCATTATGAAAAAGAGCTATCTTGCTAGAAGCAGCCCTGCCCATCTATTTCCTTTACCTATAGGGTAACTACAGATAAGAAAAACCTGGCTGGCGTGATAGGGGTTGCCTGAAAGAGGCTGCAGTTCTGACCATTTGTTGGGCAGTCTCAGGAGCATCAGGGAAGGACCTACTTCCCTTGGCTGAGATTTAGGAGGTGGATGAGTCTCGCCGTTTGGGCAGTGGAGAGAGCCCTCCATAGCCACGTCTGTCAGCCCTCACTTCGCTTGTGCTGGAGGAATCTCTGGTTTCAGGTGAGTTGTCTTTGTCTCTGGCACAATGCTGGTCTAGTGCATGTTTGTATTCATGCCTTCCAAGGTCTGGGGGCTTTGTGCTCATGAGGGGAGGGGGAAAGGCTGACGCAGAAGAGGGGAGGTCAGAGTTCCCCAAGTCCTGGGGCTCACATGTGTCACGTGGGCCTCCATGGAAATGTTCCTGGCCAGACTCATGCTGACCACCCACTCCACCCCACTGTGCCCCACTCCCAAGAGGAGGGGTGACTGACGGGCATCCCATCTCACTCCAGCCATGTCCCCAGATCTGCTCTATCAGATAAGCAATGCACACGATCCAGAGATTTAAAAAATTACATATATTCATGGATATTTATAGCACTTCCTTTTCCTCTAGCTTTTCAAAAGTTCATTAGAAAATATTTTTTAAGAAGGGCAAAGATTTATATTGATGGGGGATCAGCATCTGACAATGCAGAGAAACTTCCACAAGCTCCAATCAGAATTCATCTATTTTTACTGAAGCAGAAGGAAAAAGTATCTCAGCTGACAGCAGTGCCATCTAAAAGGCTGCGGTAATCAGCTGTGGGGCAGAAAAACATCCACATCACGAGACAAGACTGTTTTTAAAGAAAATCAAGCCAGATTTTTAAAAAATGCTGGATGAAATAAACAAATCAGAAGGCTATTTAGCTTGTTTTAAATAGCCAAGACTTCAGTATTTTTCTAGGAAAGGAATCCAGGTTTCTGAGAACACGTGCTGCAATGGAATGCTGCGGAAAAGCCTGACTGCTGCTGCTCCTGCGTCGGGCTCCAGGTGGACCCCACTTACAGGAGCCCGCCCAGGGAGGAGGTGAGAGGCTGGCCTGAAGAACCACACCCATTATAAAAGTTCCATTGTGGATACTGCATGCTAAGAATCAGATACAAGAGCTGAAAAGAATTGCAAAAAGGAACTTTCCCTCATTATCAAGGGTGTTCAGGCTTGCCTGGTTCACATGTATTTTTATTATCCAAGAAACTCATGAGGCTTGATTGCCGCATCCTCACGTTCAAGGCAAGGCCAACTCCCCGGCCATGGTCCATTGTGTCTCCTTTCGCTTCCTTGTAGGTAGGACACTCAGCCCATAAATGAAGGTATACAGGAACTGTTCATTTCTTTTCTTTAAATCAAATTTAGCCTGAGAGGAATCTTGATCATCTTTAGCCTCCTGGAGCGCCTTAGGAGGTTTCCCACCCAAAATTGTTCAATGGCCGCACAGCACGGGGCCCACACTGGTCACTCACTGCCCCTGCTTACCAGCTCCCTCCAGCCCAGCTGCTTCTTGGCCCATGCCCTTCTCCCAGGCTGGGGAGTCTCATGTGGAAGCTTGGAGTGGGTTAGGAGTGAATGGGATGTATGGAAGGCAAGGGAGGCCTCTGCTGAGGTGTGAGCATCCGCCGCAGAGCCACTGCCCACTCCAGCCTGGGCCAGGAGCTTGTACAGGGGCCACTCTGCAGGCTGCATGCCTCCCACCAAGGTGTAGAGAGGGGTCCCCTGGGGACTTGGTAGAGAACCAGAAAGGGCTTTTCCGAACACTTCCTCAGCAAGAGAAGTGCAATCCACTTAACTAAATTCTGTGGGGTATGAGGGGGTGGGTGGGAGAAGTATTAGAAAAAAATAAAGGGTTCCTTTATAACAAGTAATATATCATTACAAGAAATACTTCTTACTTTATTCCCTAAATTAGTATAAGAATTCAAGGTTAGGTTGAACTATTGTCAAGAAATACTAATATTAAAGAGACATTTTAAAAAATGTTCTCCTGCCGCGCACGGTGGCTCACGCCTGTAATCCCAGCACTTGGGGAGGCCGAGGTGGGAGGATCACAAGATCAGGAGTTCGAGACCAGCCTGACCAACATGGTGAAACCCCGTCTCTGCTAAAAATACAAAAATTAGCCAGGTGTGGTGGCACGTGCCTGTAATCCCAGCTACAGGGGAGACTCAGGCAGGAGAATTACTTGAACCCAGGAGGCAGAGGTTGGAGGTTGCAGTGAGCCAAGATCTCGCCACTGCCCTCTAGCCTGGGAGACAGAGCCAGACTCCTTCTCAAAAAAAAAAAGTCCTGCTATGAAATTTCTTTACCAGTGTTCTTGTTAATATAATCCATGTTCATCTTGTAGAATTTTCATTTAAAACTAGAAAAAAAAAAGTCACTCTTCTGCCCCGTAACAGTTTGACAAAACGAATTATCACTGCATTCGTACTGGGAAGTCAGTTCCTCTGGGTCTTATCCACTGTGTTTATGGCCTACCTCTACCCCGGGAGCGGAGGGCTTCCAACCCTTCAAAGCCTCCAACATTCCTTTGTTTGGCAGAATCTTGTCCAAAGACTGAATGTGGACTAAGCCCTCTGCTTGGCCCTGTTGAGACATCAGGAACTCACAGGAGCCCTCCCCATCTCAAGACGCCCCCATGGGTTGTGGTCACTGCAACACTTTCTTTTGTTTGGATGATTGAAGAACTCAGTCAAAAGGGCTAGTGAGGACTGGAAAATTCTGTAATTTAATTTTTTTTTCAGGAAATCAATGGGTTATCCTTACACACATGTACAGACACACACAGATACACACATCGTTTTGCTGATTCTTTAAAAAATTCCCTCAGCAACTAATCAGTTGTCATTTATCAAGCACCTAATGTGCGTTCAGCCCTGCACAGCGTGGTCAGCGCCGCACAGCTTGTTCTCTGGGGTTTATCAATGCTCCGCTTTATGTTGAGAAACGTAAGCACAGTTCTCAGCACACCGCGGGGCACCTTCCACCCTCTGACTGGGCGCAGCCTGTCGTTTGGTTCACAGCTAGTGCGACTCTGGCCAGGCTGGTCTTTGAGACGGCCCTTCCTCATTGCCGTACCGACGCCTGGCGTCCAGCCCCCGGAGGACCTCTCTCTGGCTCTGTCTGCTTCTGTGGTGACCTGATCTTCCACGCCTGTGCTTTCTGACTCACCTCTTCATAGAAGGAATTTTAACGCCCCTTTGAGATCAAACAGGACAGGTGAAGATAAAATACTGGGTTTGTTGTTAGTGGCAGTCTTTTAGTTTTGCTGGTTTATTATCCTAAGGATTTCCTTCCATGACTTTGCTTTTATAATTCTTTCCACATCTCAAAAACGGAGGCAGAAACAGTTATTCCGGTAATTTTTACTGTTCTAGTCATTCTTTAAGCTAAATACTTCAGGAAAAAAAAAGTTCTCTTGCACAGCTGTGTGCCAAGTTTGGCTAGTTCATTCTATTCTGACATTTTCCTGACAAGGTAAGCAAGCATGAATTTAAAAAAAAAATGTAGAAATTAAAGTTGACAGCATGAAAAAAGCCAGCCTGTGCCAGCAGAAGGACCAAAGCAGGGCTTTCGGGGCCTGTAGTTTAGACATATTCTTGCAATTGGAAACTTAACATTTCACATTGGAAGCTCTCCTGTCTTCCATTCTTCTCCTCAGAAGCCTAGTTCAGTGGTGGCATCAGGTGACACACCATATCTCAAACTTCACCTTTTATTAAAGAGAATTTTATGCCACTATAGTTATTATTCCTTTTTTTTGTTTGCTTGAGCTGGAGTTTCGCTCTTGTTGCCTTGGCTCACTGCAACCTCTGCCTCCTGGGTTCAAGCGATTCTCCTGCCTAAGCCTCCCGAGTAGCTGGGATTACAGGCGCCCGCCACCATGCCTGGCTAATTTTTGTATTTTCACTGGAAACTGAGTTTCACCGTGTTGGCCAGGTTGGTCTCGAACTCCTGACCTCAGGTGATTCGCCTGCCTCAGCCTCCCAAAATGTTGGGATTACAGGCATGAGCCACTGCCCCCGGCCTAGTTATTATTCTTATCTGTGACCTTCAACTACCTGAAGTAGTTGAGTATACTTCAACTACTTTCACCAGGAGTAGAACATCAATTCCACAGATTAACCAGAAGATTCCTATACATACTGTTTTTACTGATAATTTATATTTTGAGACAGCAGCTACTGTAGTTTTGAGAATTTGCTAAGTCCCATTGGTGCCTATGTTTAATTTTTAACTCCTAATACCAGCCTCCAAGAGGAGTTGTTCCAGTTCCCTCCCCAAGTCCAGTAAACACAGAGCCATCCTCTTAAAGTCACTCTTTCCACCCTTTAGTCATTTTTATATACTTGTTTCTTGCTGTGGTCCACTCTTAACCAGGTAACGCATGTTGCCCATTATTATAATGCAACAAGCACATCAGTCAAACCTGCATGCTACTGCTGCGGGCTGCTTCACCCTACCCTTCACTTCTCCTCGAAGCCAGTTGTTCTGTCTCTACAGCTTCCATAGACTTCACACCGGGTTTTTTAAAAGGCATTTTCCATATTCAGATCACAGATGCTAATATACATATTTTTGTTTTCAAAAGTACTTGAGTTGGTTCAATAGAACATAATTGTTTTCAAAGTCTTGAAATATATTTGTTTTGCTTTAAAAATCTTCCTTGAAGGCTGTATTAGTCAGGGTTCTCTAGAGGGACAGAACTAATGGAATATATATATATATATATTATTCGGGACACCCCCAAGTCTCCCTATATGTTGTGAAGGCTTCCCATCTCTAGAGTATAAATGCAACACGAGGAAAATGCCTATCGGTTTTAGTTGCATGAATCTCATACTTAAGAACGTGCCGGCTGGGCACCGTGACTCACGCCTGTAATCCCAGCCTGTAATCATATATATATATAAAATAAAGGGGAGTTTATTAGGTATTAACTCACCCGATCACAAGGTCCCACCATCTGCAGGCTGAGGAGCAAGGAGAGCCAGTCCAAGTTCCAAAACTGAAGAACTTGGAATCTGATGTTCGAGGGCAGGAAGCATCCAGCACAGGAGAAAGATGGAGGCTGGGAGGCTAGGCCGGTCTAGTTTTTTCATGATTTTCTGCCTGCTTTATATTCTAGCCACGCTGGCAGCTGATTAGATGGTGCCCACCCAGATTAAGGGTGGGTCTGCCTGTCCCAGCCCACTGACTCAAATGTTCATCTCCTTTGGCAACACCCTAGGATCAATACCAACACACACACCTAGGATCAATACTTTGCAACCTTCAATCCAATCAAGTTGACAGTGTTAACCATTACAATGGCCATCTTTGCTCACATGAATTCCAGTGGTATATATGATGCCAAGATCTTTCAGGTGAGGTATGGCATGGGGGAAATGGCATGTGCCCAATCTTCCAGATCCTGGCTGCTCATAGTATATTCGTTGACTTTTTATATGATTAGGCTTATGAAAACTGAAATAAATTTTAGAACCAATATGTCTGGCTTGAGGCTAAATTAAATAAATCCCTACGAATTGCTTAATTGACAATTATTGCGTAGTATGGTAAGTCAGTGAAGAGTGCAGCTTTGGTCTTACCATTTCTGCAGGACCAGCAAGCCAGAGGGACTCCCAACCAGGAAGGCTGGTTAGCACTAGGTTGTTTTTTAAATACGACTGTGGTAACTCCTGGGTAATGTTACATGTGGACAAATAAGATGGGTGACTTGAGAAGGAAATGCAGGTGTTTCAGCATTTTCACTTCTCTCTGTTTTTTGTGTGTGCTTGTATGTGTGTGTGCATTTTTTTTCTTTCTTTTTTTTTTTTTTTTTTTTGAGGTGGAGTCTTACTCTGTCACCAGGCTGGAGTGCAGTGGCGCTATCTCAGCTCACTTCAATCTCTGGCTCCCGGGTTCAAGCGATTCTCCTGCCTCTGCCTCCCTGGGATTACAGGCACCCACCACCACACCCAGCTAATGTTTATATTTTTAGTAGAGATGGGATGTCACTATGTTGGCCAGGATGGTCTCGTCAATCTCTTGACCTCATGATCCGCCCACCTCGGCCTCCCAAACTGCTGGGATTACAGGCGTGAGCCACCACGCCCGGCCTGCACTTTCTTAAGTATGAAATTCATGCAACTAAAATGAGTAAGCATTTGCCTGGTGTTGTATTTATACTCTAAAGTTGGGAAGCCTTCACAACATGTAGGAAGACTTGGGGGGCGTCCCGAGAATCTGGGCAGTCCAGATCACAATGACTTTTCCTACCAGTGAGATGAAAAGCTTAGTTGGGAAGACTGCAAAGCAATAGCTCCTTTTTACAAATGTTCTCCTAGCTTATAATTTATTTTTCATAATAGAGGCTGTTTACTCTGTACTCAGCCTTTTTTTCTTCCTTGTGAATAATTTCTTTTGAAAACAAGCTGCTGTTACGGTTCTGAGTGTCACGACGCTGCTGGGCTGGAAATGAGGCTTTGAGGGCGTCCTGCCAAGGCGGCTGGCCTGGGCCCCAGGCACCTTAATGCCTTTCGGGACCAAGCTGCCGGCTGCCAGTATATAAAGTGGCTTCTGTGAGCCTCTGTGCACCTTGGAAGCTAAGCCATTTGCAGCTGAAATGATGTCCCTCTTGCCCTGACTGGTCCCTGTGGAGAAAAGGTGTCAGTGAAGATCTCTATGCGCCGGGTTTCTCTTGGAGTTCGGGTTCTGGTCACGACAGAGCTGTGGCCTTAGGGCACTGTTGGATTTGCTGTTGTGTGCTCACCTCATCCCCCAGCTGGTATGTTAGTCGGCTTCCGTGCTGCCATCACAAAGTATCACCAGCTGAGTGGCCAAAACAACAGAATATGATTGCCTCCCAGTTCTGAAGGCCCAAAGTCTGAGGTCAAGGTGTGAGCAGGGTCGCACGCCCCCTGAAGGTGTCCGGAAGGGGTCTGTGCGGGCTCTTTCTCAGCTTCTGGGAGAGCTCCCAGTTCCTCAGCTCGTGGCAGCAGAGCTCCAGCGTCCCAGTGCTGTTCTGCTGTGTGCATGTCTGTGTTCAAATCTCCCCATTTTATGAGATCACATAAAGCCCACTCCACTCCAGCATGACCTCACCTTAACCAGCTACTTCTGCAGGGACCCTGCTTCCATGGAAGGTCACATTTGGAGGTAGTGGGAGTTAGGGCCTCCACACAGGAATCTGGGAGGTAGAGGGACATGGCCCAGCCCGTGACAATGGGTCACATGCATTTTTGTTAAAATTTAAATAAATTTGGTTTTAAGTTTTTTGGAGAATTTTGTGAAACTCCGGAGAGTGAAAATACCAAAGCTGGTGACCATGTCACTGGAAATTAGTAACTGTTGTTTTTTTTTGAGACAGAGTCTTGCTCTGTCACCCAGGCTGGATAGCAGTGGCACAATGGCACAATCATGGCTCACTGCAGCCTCAAACCATCCTCCCATCTCAGCCTCCCGAGTAGTTGGGACTACAGGCATGTGCCACCATGCCTGGCTATTTTAAAAAAATTTTATTCTTAGTAGGGACAGGGTCTCACTGTGTTGCCAAGGCTGGTTTCAAACTCCTGGGCTTAAGTGATCCTACTGCCTCGGCCTTCCAAAGTGCTGAGATTACAGGTGTGAGCCACTGCATCTGGACACTGTTTTCATTTTTACTAAATCTTTCATCCATCTCAAAATGTACAATATTGCAAAACGGAACAGCCCAGAATAAAACATTTGGGTCTTTTAAAAATGTCCGTCGGATTCAGTGTGGAGGTCAAGCACGTCTGTCCATCAGAAAACTTGGATTTCTTTGGGCCTTTTCTCTCAGATCACGAAACACATTTCGTTGCTGTGTATTCTGTGAGTCAGGCCGTGGCAGCCCCCTCTGTGGGGAAACTGAGCTACAGAAGATAGCTATTAGTAGCAGAAGTGGGACCAGGACCAGATTCCTGATTCAGCTTTTCTTTGGTTGTCAGAAATCCGTGGAATGGATAAGCTCTCTCCATCCCTCCTTCCCTCCCCTTCTCCATCCGTCTTTCCTTCCTAAGAGAAAAGAGACACTTTAAGATTGAAGAGGCAATGAACACAGAGGAGTGCTCTTCCTTCGTTGGAGCAAGAGAGTAATTTTCACTTGGGGCTGGGTCTCAGTGAGTTTCATGCCAGCTCATCCATCTCATCTCACAATGGCTGTGACTTGGGACACTTAAAATACTTCCCATTGCTTTTCTTTTGCAGAGTTTGGTTCATTAAGGACCCATTTTCAGCAAGGCTGCTTCAACAGTTCTTCTTAGAAATTGATGCTTTGGAGGTGAATATCTCAGAAATAGCTTTTTCAGGTGGTGTTCTGTTGAAAGTGTTGTTCAGGCCGGGCCGAATGACTCAAGCCTGTAATCCCAGCACTCTGGGAGGCCGAAGCCGGCAGATTGCCTGAGTTCAAGAGTTTGAGACCAGCCGGGGCAACATGGCAAAACCCTGTCTCTACAGAAAACACACGCACACACAAAAATGAGTGGTGTGGTGGTATGCGCCTGTGGTCCTAGCTACTTGGGAGGCTAGGGTGGATCTCTTGAGCCCAGGAAGTCGAGAAGGCAGTAAGCTGAGATCGTGCCACTACACTACAGTCTGGGTGACAAAGTGACACCCTGTCTCAAAAAAAAGAAAGAAAGAAAAAGATTGTTCAAGTTTTCTTGGGATTTATTTGAACATTTTAATTCCAACGCATCTAATTTCCTGGGTTCTTTATTTGAATCTTTATCTTCGTAGGTATTTAAATGTAATCATTATTTCCTTTCAGAAAAATTATTCCTTCTTACCTCTAATTGTTTACCTTTCCCAACACAAACTTTATAAGTGGGGCTGTTTTCCCAGATCAATATCACCTTTTGAAGATTTCAGTTTGTTGCATTTTATTTTGTTTTATTTTCTGGCTGTTTCCAGGTCCCCTTCCCCAGTGTCTGGCACACCTGGTACTGCATCTTGGTGGGCAGCAGCCCTGGGAGTGCCTTGCATGTAAAAAGCTGATGGAAAGGAACCCATCCGGGAGGTTTCTGCTTTGGGAGGACCCCGTAGGTGTTTTACAAGGCAGCAGTGCAGGGAGTAAGTGTGGGAATTCCAGCCCAGAGCCCTGGCCACATGAACTCTCGTCTCACTCCCTGGTGATCGCTTCATCTCTCCAGGCTCTCTGCTTGCCTGTGAGATGCCCAAATAATGTGCAGTCTGTTGATTAGTGTCATATTTGCATAGTTAAAAAAAACACCATGCTAAATTATGAGCCACATTTTCAGCAATTCCTAAGATACCCCTTAAAATGAGCTCTTTTTTGCTAGGGACTCTGGCAGGCTGTTCACCCATGGCCTCCCAGGAGCTGGGCTTCCCTCAAGTTTCCTAGGACACACTGCCAATCACAAGACAGCCCGTCCAAAGGACTTTTCCTCCCTCATATAAAGGACCTCTATTTCCTTCTTCCACAACAGAGCACTTGTGGAAACTTCCAGAAGCTGGAGTCTTTGTAAATACACAGTAAAGAATCTGAGTTCATTTCTTTCCCATTGCCTTCAGGAGTCCACATTTTTACCATCAGATTAAAGATTCTTGACATCTCTTCACTGTCTTTTATGAGTGACTCTCCTAGCTTTTTTACAGAAAAACCAAAAACCATTTTTTTTTTTTTGAGACAGAGTCTCGCGCTGTTGCCCAGGCTGGAGTGCAGTGGCGTGATCTCCGCTCACTGCAACTTCCGCCCCCTGGGTTAAAGCAATTCCCCTGCCTCAGCGTCCCTAGTAGCTGGGGTTACAGGCATGCGATACCACGCCCGGCTAAGTTTGTATTTTTAGTAGAGACGGGGTTTCACCGTGTTGGCCAGGCTGGTCTCGAACTCCCGCCTCAGGTGATCCGCCCGCCTTGGCCTCCCAAAGTGCTGGGATTACAGGCATGAGCCACCACCCTGGCTTTGTCTGTTTTTAATCTGTGACCTTTTACAGCATGTACAAAATCACCTTATGATTGTTAACACAAGAAAACCTTCACTCTGCTCTGTCAATCACAGAATCTCCAATTTGAAAACGAACAATATTGCTATTTTTAAAATTCTGAATGCAATTGATTTTAAAGGTCCTTCTGGCCTAATTTTGTAGAAAGATAAAGTGACTGTCATAAATCAACACCAAGTACAGAACCCCTCTGTTAACTTTGGACTCTACTTTGCTATGAGATACAAAGTATCTGGGATTTGGGTTTTTCTTTTTTTCCAGTGAATTGAATTTCTTAGTGATTGCATAAAGTCGAAAAAGAAAAAGGGATTGATAATTTTGGAGAACATTAAGCTATTTTTAAAAAGATATTTCTCTCAAAGATAAAGGAATTTGCTATAGAAATGAATACACTTACTCCCAAAGCAGCATTAAATTGTGTTAACTTTAACACCCTTTCCTAAAAGAGGGAACCATAATGCTTCAGGATTAGCACTTGGACGATTGGAGAAATGAATATGTCTTTCACCCGCACGCACCTTTCATTATCCAGGACAGAAGGGAGTAAGGAGGGAGGCAAGAGAGATCCCCCCACTCCACAACCCAAAAAAGGGAAACAGGGAGGGGAATTTTCCCCTGGTTCCTTTCCAAGGAGCGGTGGCCCAGGAGGCCTTGCTCTCCCGCAGGCGCCTGGCTGTGTCTTCGGGGGTTCCTTCTCTGAGCCTCAGGACTTTGTCACCTGTGAAATAGGACGGGGTGGAGACCTGAAGGAGCTGAGGGGCAGGATACACGTTGTTTGAATTAATGTTTCTGTCCCTCGGGCCCTGCCACTGGGAGCCCCAGCGGCCCACGTGCCTTTCATCCTGGCCCGCAGAGGCCTGAGTGCTGTTTCGGGCAGCTCCGGGCAGGGCTGGGTAGGGCCCAGCGGACCCCACGGGCCGCCCCCCCCCGCCTCTCCCCAGCTATTTGTCTGTCGTCCCTCTTCGTCCCTCTTCTCCTGAGGTGCTGTCCCGGCCCTCGGGGCGGGGGCAGCCGCGGGCAGCTCAGTCCGCAGCGCTTCCAGAGGTGCCCGAGTCTCCTGAACGCTCCGCAGGAAAGCAGCTGTGCTGCGTGGAGCCCTCCCCTCGTCCCGGTCCCTCCGTCCGTGTTCCTGTCCCTCCCGTTCTGCGGCGGGAGGTGGCGGTGTGGGTCTCCGGGGAGGCGCGGCGGGCTGGGGAGGTGGGGAAGGGTGTGCGCGTGCTGGGGGTGGGGGGGAAAGACCTGCCGCCCCCCCCCCCCGCCTCCCCAGCCCTTGGTTGCTATGCAGTTTCTATGGCAGCGGCATCCTCAGACTCAACTTTCACCCTCGTTTAGAGCCAATTAAGGTAAAATAGTGAGGGGAGGAGGGAAGAGCGTGGCCAGGGAAGGGAGGGGGGAGAGGCAGGAAATTCAATTCGAAGCTGCAAGTGCAGCGTTTACTCTGCCAAAGTCGCAGTACAGATTCCGAAGCCGCAGCGCCGTCCCCTCCTTTCCTCGCCCCAGCCCGAGCGGGAAGCGGCAGCAGCTCCCCAGAGCCCTGGCTTGGCAGGGAGGGGACGGCGCCCGAGCAGCCATATTGCAGCCCCCCGGGTCCCTCCTCCGGCCGGCGCAGGCCCCGCGCTCACGACCTCCTCTGGGAGCCGGATCTGTCCTCTCCATCGCCGCCACCCGCCGGCCTCTGCGTCCCTTGGCTTCCGACATCCCGTCTGGCCGTCCCCCTGTGCCGGTCCGAGCCTCTGTTTATTTCCTTTCCTACTATCAATACTCGACCAGCAGAAAAGGAAAGTTTAAAAATGCCAATCGCACAGTTGCTGGAACTATGGAAAAAGATCGAGGTGGAGCCTATGGAAATAGAGGTGAGTGCAGGAGAGAACGCACTTTTCACAGCATCCTCAAGAATCCGAACTCTGCAGCCAATGCATTGCTCATTTACTATAATCAGTTCATGTCCATTAGGTGACTATGATGGGTCAGAGAGTTGGCTATCCAGTGTGTGTGGATGTATATGTTGCGTTGTGTATGCACATGGATAAACATTGCGTGTGTATACACGCACGGCATTGTGTGTGGTGTAAATACATAAATGATAATGAGTACAAGAAACAAATTGTTGCCCTTAAGGAAACTTCAGGATGCTTCTTAAAGTCTATGTAAGTCTTAAAGTATTCCCGTTTCCAAACTAATCTGCATCAGTTTGATTTTCCTTCAACAAGTGGCTTTAAATTAGAAGCCTTCCATTTGCTACAGTGAAAGATGAAACCAGAAGGCAAAAATCAATGATGAATCAAGGAACAGAGAGCATAAAGATAATGTGATCTTAAACGAAAAAAGATAATGCAACCTTAAAAGGATGAATGGTCAGATAAAGAGGTGTGATTAAAGATAAACAGAAAAGATAATGAAATCAAAGTGTTCCTTGCCCGTCCCAGGGCTGGTGGGTGTGCAGGAATCACTGCTGAGAGTTTTTCACTCCATGCTTCCCTGGGGACACGCAAACCTCTGCTCCACGGAATCTGATTTGCTCCATTTGAATTGGAGATGGTCAACATACATTTTCCTAGAAGAGAAAGTTCCCCAAATTTATTAACGTCTACTAAATTATTAGATATACCTGTTCTGTGTTTATAGCAACTCAAATGGCATTTAAACATGGCTCATTTGTAATCACTCACCAAACCTCCTCAAAGTCCAATTTAATTTTTGCCTATCTCCTACTCCCAGCACTGTACTTATAAATTCAATGCTATTTTAAATTTTATTTATTCTTATATGTACGTCTTGAGATAGTCACATAACATACCTTTGAACTGAATGAGAGATTCTGTTTTAGAAGAGAATTTACTGAATGCTTCATATTGAATAGTTTTCTTGGAAAGCCAAGCTAAATAATGCTCGACATATGTATTGATGTTTAGCAGAGACTGTTGGGCATAGCACGGACATTGAAGTCCATTTGTTTTAGATGGAACAGCCCAGATACTGCTGCTCATGGAAAGTACCTGGGGTGGGAGAAGGATGACACCAGGGCTCCCTACTGTTACTGATTCTTCTGTTTGTACATGGGGTTGTTCTTGGTGTTGAGGATGGTGCCTTGGAAAGATCCATTCCCTTACTGCGGTTGCCATTTCAAGTCTACTTTTTTTGAGAGAGAGAGAGATTCAATTTTTCTAAATATTGAATTAGTGAACGAGCAAGTGATCAGCTAGAAGTTCTTTTCTCATTTACTAGTGCTTCCTATAGCCCAGCTGGTCATCGTCAGCACATTGGCTTGTGCTGAAGCTGTAAGGTGCTCAGCCCTCACGAATGAAGGGCTTGTCCAGAGGGAGGATTCCGCCCTGGGCTCAGAAAGGATGGGAGAGAGGGGGCCAGGGGCTTTACAATTCCAGGTGGGACCCTGGTCTTTACATTATTTCCAGTGACCAAAGCCATGAGGAGCAGCTTGTGTTTCACATATTTCTCAAATCGCTCATAAATGGATCAGCAATGAATAGATTCCCATGATTTGAAAACCATGCCATGAGCCTAGAAAGCACTTGCAAGTGGCAAGAATTTGGAGCCGAGTTGACTGATGGTCTGCCCTGCCTTGCCAGCCCCAGGAGAGGGCAGATGGTAAAGGTTTTGAGGAAAATTGGATACATTAAATAGCTCTTGAAGCAAAATAAATTTTTTTCAGGCTTCTTAGCTGAATTTTTTCAGGAGAGCACAGCTGGTGGAGTATGGACAGTGTTAAATTCCTATTTACTTGGAACCCAGAAAACCAGAGTTCTTTCTATAGAAAAATGAAAGCTTAAATATTAACCATGAGGTACTTCAAGTTTCTGAGGAAATTTCCAAATCCACAAAATCCTCTGTGTTTTGGAATTCACAGTCTGAATTTCCTCTCTAGTTTTGTCCATGTTTTATGTTGCATGGTATTAAAATAACTCACATATCAAGAAATGTGGCAGAGCTATATGGAGCATATCTGGCCTCTGAACTCCAAGTTAAATGCCCTAAAACCCTTGCAGGAGGAGCCTGCATGCTTTTCTCATCGGAAAATCTGCTAAGAGATTTTAGTGCTTATTTTTTAGTGATTTAGTTTAGATTTTATTGCTTTAGTTCCTTGCTGTTATGCAAATGTGACAGGACTGATGATTGGATTTCCAGGGACTAGAATCAGCATTCCTGGATTCATGTTTTGCTCTAACCACCTTTTCAAGCTGCTATCCTTTCTGGCCTGTTTTCTCATCTGTAGTCTGAGAGAACCGAACTGAACTGGGTCTGAGGTCCATTGTACTAGAGAACACTAAATACAGTTTATAAAAATTGTAGACCAGGGGAGATTCATCTGACTGTCCAGGGAAAGTCTTTGTGGTTCTCTGTGTTGTTCTGAGATATTTCAGATATATAATTAACCCATAAATGGGTGTGTTGACAAGGCAACGTGCTCATTAAGAGCCAGAACCTCCAGAAAACCCCGGCAGAATCTAGCATGAAAAAGAAACATGTAGTATTTCATGAATTATGTTCTGGCAAGTTGAAGGCACATCTCAAACACAGGACTTTTCAATCATTGCTTTCAGCGGGGTTACAGCAGCCAAGGGCGTGCTTTGGGGGCAAGATAAGAAAATGGGAGAAATGATGAGTAAGGCAAGTCCATAAGCCAGCCCACAAGGTCTGGCTGACCCATTTTATTTGTGTTCTCTTGGAGGAATAAGCATGATTTTTCTCTCTGGGATGTCATAATACATTAGATAGAGAAAGAGAAAGCTCCGTTTTTAAACAATGCAGATCAAACATGATTCCCTGAAGATTCATAGTCAAGCTTGGATAGAGATGATTATCTCCTGGCTACTAGGTGAGAAGATGAAACTAGAAATAGTAATAATGACAGCAGTTCACTTTGCGTGTCTGCTGCATGGCAGCTGGTGCTGATGGCTGGCTGGTGTTCTTCCGTGGAGCTCTCCCGTGTCTGCTGCATGGCAGCCGGTGCTGATGGCTGGCTGGTGTTCTTCCGTGGAGCTCTCCCGTGTCTGCTGCATGGCAGCCGGTGCTGATGGCTGGCTGGTGTTCTTCCGTGGAGCTCTCCCCACATCTCTAGGCAGAAGCACTGCCATGTCTCCGAGGCCCAGGTTAAGCAGGTGGCTCCAAGTTGTTAAGTAGAAACCAAAGACTCAGACCCAGATGGTTCCACTTAAACCTTGTGCCAACCACAGAAACACTTGCTTTACGTTTTATGGGCTGGGCCTCATTTCTCTGCTAGAATCCATTCTCCCAGCACTCACTTGGGACTGTGATTTGGTTCCGTTCTCATGGGAGTGGTCACACATGCCTTCACCGCTGCTCTGTGCTTCCACATCAGCTCCGTTCGTATTTTAGCTTCATGAAAATCCACGCTTTCTCCACTGGCAAGAATCACCTTGTCGTCCTTTAGATTGTACCGTAAGTCACACTCGCTTCATTGATTTAGTCGTTTGAGTTAGGGTTTAGTGTGAACACTCCTTGCCTTACTTACCACCTGTTGTATAAAGGATCCATCTCGGACATGAAGCATCACACAGTTAAACATAAATTCAGGTGGGAAGGGACGGTGATATGGTTTCCATGTCCTACAGAAATCATGCGGGATATTTAGTTAGTACTTTTTCATATTGGTAACCTGTATGAGGCCACCTACAAACACATGGCAATGCTAACCATCTTTAACATCTATCTTTGTTATCAGACCACAGAGGAGGATCTCAACCTGGATGTGGAGCCCACCACAGAAGACACTGCAGAAGAAGTAACTATACACGTTTTATTACACTCTGCTTTGTTTGGGGAGATTGGGCCCAGAAGGTGGTGAAGGGGGAAATGGAAGTTTGAAATTAAATATCTGTGAGCAGTTATTTTAGTGACATATGTGTCTCTATACATACACATGCACAAACGTGTATATATGCATATGTACATATCATGTGCTTATTATATTCGGTAATCTCCCTCAAAAAGAATAGCTGGAGCATAGGACGGAAGGCTGTCCATCGAGGTAAAGTTCATGGTCTCCTGGCATGGGCACTTGTGAGGGTCATGGTGCATTAGTACCAGTCAAGGAGGCCTGGGAGTAACCAGCTGGCATGGAAGCCTGGTGTGGGGCTCCCTGTACTGGAAGTCATGTGACACAGCTGCTTAAAATGTCTGATGAGGTGCTCAGCAGAGCTGGGGAGAAGAGCGGATTCCATCCGTGGGGAGTTGCCTTTCCAGTGGACGGAGAGGAGTCCCAGGGCCTGTAGGGGTTGACTGGGAAAGAAGGAAAGAGAGACAGGGTATCAGCCCGAGGTGGTCATCAAACGGAAGAGAAGAAAGAGCTCTTGCTGCTGCAGGCTGTGCATTTCTTCATTTTCATGCTGTGCAGGAGCATGGGCCTGATCCAGGCAGCAGAAAACAGACTTAGACTTTAATAAAGTGAGAGTATCTCGGCAACACTGGTGTTCTCAGGGGAGATTTTGGTAACGATAAGTGTATCCATCAGGGAGACACTGGCCAGCAAAGAGGTAAATTGGAAGGCTGAGTTGAGGCTGTAGTCAAGGCATTGTAGTTACGCAGCCACACTTCCACCACTGGTAAAGCAAACGCTCTCAGAGGCAGCCGGAGCCGTGGGCCATTGACTTGGCCATTAAGAAGACTGAGTCGCTCAGCCACATGCCACCTGGAGCCAGAACAGTTAGAAAATTTGCAACTCTGTTGACTTTTAAAATAGCTGGCAGATATTGCAGACTGGAAGGGCTGGATCGATGAACATTACTGGTTTTAGAAAATGGTCTGCTCAGATGCTGAACGCTACGTTTCACTACCATCTAAACCTATGCACACCAATGCAACATTTAAGCCAAGTGTCGCTGGATCTTATGATCCGATGACATAGCCCACTGGTTAAATAAAGAAAAATGGCATTCAGCTGCCTTACGTTTATCCAGCTGCCTTTCGGTTCTGTGCATTTTCACTAATCTGGGAGTCTAGAGTCCAGCTCTCTTCTAGCTGCGCAGCGATCCAGCTGCGTTCTTGAACACTATGCTTGGCCTGGCCTTGTACCTTTGCATCCCCTGGAAAAGTAGATAGCGCTGCTTTTGCCAGTTCCATGATGATCAAAAGGTAGGCAGGCATGAGGCAGTGACTCTCCTGAAAATATGATGCTCAATCTGATACTTGCAAAGTGGTAGGGGTAGGAAAGGAAGATGTACCTTCCCAGCAAATTCATAAGGCCAAAGGTCTCAGAGAAATGACTGGCTGTCATTTTTCAGAATACTTGCCTAGGCTTTTGTAGGAACTGTGATTTCCAGGGAACTTTCAGTGTGTTTACTGCAGACAGACTTATGTGATGACTTAGTAGTTGGCTTCAGGAGGCTGACGACAAGGCCCTGAGCCAGGATGGGTGGAGCAGACTCTTCATTCTGCTAGGTTCAGTTGAAGCAACAAGATTCCATAACACCATGTCCTGCTGCATTCAGGCTGCCATAGCAGAATGCCACACTGGGAGGCTTCTACACAACAGAAAGATATTGCTCGCAGTTCTGGAGGCTGGGAAGTCCACAATTAAGGCATGGCAGGTTTGATGGCTGGTGAAGGCACACTTTCTGGTTCATGGCCAGCCGTCTTTACCCTTGTCCTCACGTGGTGGAAGGGGCAAGGGAGCTCTCTGGGGTCTGTTTGATAAGGACACTAATCCCATTCATGAGAAGTCCACCCTCAAGACCTAATCACCTCCCACAGTTCTCACCTCCTAACACCATCACCTTTATTGCTAGGATTTTAACATATGAGTTTTGGAGAAATACAAACATTTAGACCATAGCACATGTTATGCCCCAAAGTGCATGTATACAACTAACAGAAAATCCTTTAATTCATCAACAGTGTTTATTTTTTAAGAGCTCCTAGTCTCAAGTTGTCGTGTTCTCTACATTTTTGGTGGAAATCTAGATGTGAATCTATCATAGAATGTAATGAAAGTAACCAACCTCTTTAAAAGTTGTTTTTGATAACGGAATATCAGATGGAGGAAATTATTACTGTTTCCTGATGCTTACTGTATCTGGATAATAGAAAACCAGTATATCTTTGCATCTTAATAAATGAAGGAATAGAGTTCCAAACAGATTTTAGGAGTATTTTGCAGAACTATAATCTTGATATTTAGGTACATTTGCAGTATTTGTGGGAAGAATGAGAAAATACTGGAGAAAATTACTTGTTTACTTGATGTTTCTGATAGATGATGCTGAAAACCCAACATGGAGTTTTTTAGTCTAGCTGCAGATGAATGTCATTTGAATACTCTATGATGTTGTGTAACTTTTGTTAGAGACAGGCTTTCGACATCCTTCTTGGCCTCCAGAGGGGTTATTTGCAAGGTCTTCTCTAGGTTAGGGATTTATGGCTCAAATAAAAGAGCCATATTCTGAACCACAATCACAAAACCCTTCTTATTCTTCTTCTTCTTCCTCTTCTTCTTCCTCTTCTTCTTCTTCCTCTTCCTCTTCCTCTTCTTCTTCCTCTTCTTCTTCCTCTTCTTCCTCTTCTTCTTCCTCCTCCTCTTCCTCCTCCTCCTTCTCCTTTTTCTTCTTTTCCTTCTTCTTCATCTTCATCTTTGTCTTCTTCGTCTTCTTCGTCTTTTAATAGATTTAGGGAGTATAAATGCAGTTTCGTTATGTGGATATATTGTGTAGTCATGAATTCTGGACTTCTAGCATAGCCATTACCAGAACAGTGACCACAGAACCCAACATGTGATTTTTCATCCTCGCCCCCACTCCCACGCTCCCACCTTTTGTAGCCCAGTGTTTACTCTTCCCCCTCTATGTTCACGTGTGCTCATTCTTTAGTCCCACTTATAAGTGAGAACATGCGGCATTTCTGAGTTACTTCACTTAGGATAATGGCCTCCGGTTCCAACCACGTTGCTGCTAAAGGCATGATTTCATTCTTTTTTATGGCTGAATAGTATTCCATGATGTATCTGTATCACATTTTCTTGATTGAATTCTTCGATGTTGGACACTTATGTTGATTCCATGGCTATGCTATTGTGAATTGTACTGTGATAAACAGATAAGTGAAGGTGTCTTTTTTATATAATAATTTCTTTTTCTTAGGGTAGATACCTAGTAGTGGGATTATGGATCAAATGGTAGTTCTGTTTTTAGTTTTCTGAAAAGTTTTCATATGTCTTTTGTAGAGGTTGTGCTGATTTACATTCCCACCAACAGTGTATAAGCGTTCCCTTTCTCTGCATCCTTGCCAACATCTGTTGTTATTTTGAAAAAGAAAGAAATTTTGTGGCAACTAAACTGATAAACGTTTCATGCCTCTTGCCAGTCTGAACATATATGATAAAAAGTCATCTTATTTAGGAAAAAAATCATTCAAGTCAGCAGCAGTTTTCCCATTCATTTATTCAGCCAAGAATATTTATTGATAATCTGTAGGCCAGGCATTATGGTTCATGGAAAAGAATAAAAAGGTGAGCGAGGCTTGCCCTGGAGGAGCGCAGGAGGTGCTGTGATCACTCCAACTTGTGAGTACTTTCACTGATATGAGTTTCGTGGAGTAGACTTCTCACATAGTTTTTGAAGTGTAGAAGGCATTTGGGATAGCTCACATAGGATATCTAGGCATGTGATTCCTCACGTTACGGTTCTGTGCAGCTTCCAAGAAGGTGAGTTCTGGTGAAGGTCCCGTGTGAAGCTTGGGTGTAAGACAAGATGTCTGTTCTTGAGCTTGGGTGTTACTGCAATACACCTTTATTCACCATTGCTGAGGGAACGGCCTCCTCCCTCAAGAAGGCAGTAGTGATGTGGGGGAGTTTGTGTCATAAATTCACGGGATGGGTGGATTCTTGGTCTAATTTCATCTGACGCATCAGAGGCAGGCATCCTTCATATTCTGAACAACAACCACAAAACCCAGCAGATTCTGTCAGGCAATACGTCTTTAAGAGATTACTTGAAGGGGCTCAGTATAGCGACATCACAGTCGTGGAAGAAAAATCTAGAAGCAAAATGACTCCTGTGAGCAGGCGAGGCCCTGGCTCCCTGAGGCTCTGGCCTCTCCCCATCCTGCCTCTCTCCTGCAGGCCATGTGTACTGAGGCAAAGGAGCACCGGGGCTGAGAGCGCCTCCATGAGGCGACAGCTCCGTGCAGGAAACAAGCTCGTGGCTCCCCTGGGGACTGCCCTGCAGGCCTAACTGGGCGGACTTGTTGAGGGTCTAGAGGCAACCTGCTGTCTTGTTGCCTGGGAACCTGATCTGGATGTTGGGCCAAGTGTACTCAAACGAACCTCACAGCCACACTCGTGAGACTTAGGTGGCCACGATGCTGAGCATGGATCTTTGGTGGGATAGGACGTGGCGGCGGCTGCGCTCGGCCAGCCTCCTCTGAGCTGCTGTGCTGGGCGGTTGGGAGGGCTGAGGCTGTCCTGATGGAGGAGGAGAGCCAGCTTCAATGGCTTTGGGCCAGGAGAGGCCCCACCTGTCCACTTCCACGGCACAGAGGCGAAGTCTGTGCAGGGCCAGGCAGCCCCAGGCTCCCGGGTCTCTGTGCTGTTTTATCGTCTTTGTTCCCTACATGTTCTTAGATACATAGATGATTTTTAGGTGAGTTTTTATTTCACAGAACAGCCTTTGAAAAATATTAGAATTTGTTGCATGAATTTAATTAGTTTTTGTTTTGTAGACACAGGGTCTCACTATATTGCCTAGGCTGGTCTCGAGCCCCTGAACTCAAACGATCCTCTCGCCTTGGCCTCCCAAAGTGCTGTGACTACAGGCATAAGCCACCACACCTGCCCTGTTGCATGGATTTTTAAAGCGCTTAGATTTCAGGGTTATGTTTATTGATAACAATAGGACCATTTTCTTGTTAGGTCAACTTTATAAAACCAGATCCAGGTGTTATTGAAAATGTCAGCGTGATTCCACTTCATTTCCTTGTGGCTACGGGGGTACTTTCCCTTTCCTCTCAAATTTTACTCTGTTTTTCATAGCAGAATAGAAAGTATCCGGGCGAGGGGGCAGGGCAGGTGCATTTCCTGCTGTCACCATCAGTTGGCAGGACACAGCCACACGGGGATCACAGGGTTTCGGCTGCCAGATGACAGTCTCTTTGAGCCAAGGAGGGTGCTGAAGACACAGCACCAGCTGAGAGGTCACAGAGGGACCCTCAGGCCTGGGCAGGAAGCCTCCTTACAGGGACATCCAGGGGCCTGTGGGCGCTCAGGGATGAGCTCCTGAGCGTGTCAGCGTGGCCTCCTCCAATGCCCAGCTCCCGGAGTTGCCGAGCCGTTGCTGCTTGGACCCCTCGACGAGTCCCCTGGTGAGGAAAAGGGTCAGGAAGAGACTCGTGGCAACAGGCAGAAAGGGTGAAAGAGAGAGCCAGGCCGGGTGTGTTCAGGAGCTCTGGGCCAAAGCTCCAGCAGGATATGGCCCGGGACAGGCTAAACCGCCTGTGCGGCCACGTTGCCTCTCATGTCTCTGCAATCCAGACAGAATTCCATTGTTCCTCATAAAAAAACAGAAAGAAAAACAATCTAAACTGGTCTGAATAGAAGTGAGACAAGGTGAATAATGAAGCCCAGGCACTAATGAAGCAATTAAGAGCAATGCAATTACTGTTTACAAGAAATCACTAGTAGATTTGAAAGAAGATTGATAAAACAATCTTCCAGGCCCTGCTTATTACCTCCTGTGAATCTGTCTCTGTGGCGTCTCTGAAAGCTGGTGTTACATAAGTCACCATGATGGCAGTCTATTTGCATTTGTATTTCTTACTGTTTCTCTGTCCAGCAGACAAGAATCACTTTAGTCCTTGCAGAAATGCTAGAAAAGGGTAGGGTAAGCATCATGCCTCCTGGAAAGCGGGTGATGCGGCTAAGCCACTGCAGGCCCATCTGTGTTTAGACGCACTGTGGAGCGGGTGAGAATAACATTGGCTTCATGGAACATTAGCATTTATTGAGGCAGAAAAGAAGAAAAACGTATGATTTTGTAAAGAAGATTGGGACAGCATATCATTTGATGTGTAAGTGGTAATTATTTGCAAGAATCCACAAAAGACAAGAAGTCTGGCTCTTGTCATCTGCAGACATCCCTCCTTCTGGTTATTCCTTTCTCACTGAGTGTTTGTCATTTGTCATTCCTGGGCAGATGAAGACAGTGTATAGCTCTTTTCAGTTTCTGGGATCCTCATTTTTCTGCTTCTGTAACAAAGTCAGCCTTTGCACATTTCCCAGAGTGCTTTCTTTCCGAGAAACAGAGGATTACTCAGTGCGAATGGGAACAGTCTCTAAAATCGTGGGCACCGGCTGGAGACTGTGTCCCGTGGTCTGAGAGCACCAAATCGGGAGCCTGGAGCGGAGCACTCACCGCTGGCTCCTCACGCATGGCTCCAGGGAGTGTGCACCAGCAAATGGCCTGTGGGGGCTTCCTTGTAGCCTCTGGGGCAGAGCAGTAACTATCTCTGCTGCCTGGTGATTTTATGGGGGTGTCTCATAAAGAAAACGCCGGTTCTCCAGAAAAAAATTGTGCTCATCCGATCACAGCCAAGAATCACCTTCTGCGTTGAGGTCGTTGCTAAATCATGAAGCAAAAGACCCAAAGAAAGCTCCGTTTTCTCTGTGTCTAGTGTGCGGAGCAGCAGGTTGGAGAAGGCGATGAGATCCAGTTTGGGTGTCTGTAAGGCCTCCCAGGTCTGAGCCCCTGAGGACTGGTGGCGTGGCTCTCCTCCTGCCTGCAGAGGACTGGCTGTGAAATAACAACCCAACTCTTGATGTGCGCCTGTTTTCCACGCCTTGCACCCTCCCTCAGCCCTGGGAAGTGGGCAGGAGGTCTGTTAGTTTTCCCCCATTTTTCAGGTGGTGAAATCGAGGCACCAAAGGTGATGTAATTTGCTAAGTATAGCAGAGAACTAATGAGTGAGGGAATTTCAAACAAAGGCTTTTTCTACAGACTTATTTTCTCCTCCTAGAACCCTTGATTTCCCACAGTGTACTCAACAATGGGGGCAGATTTTTTATTTTTGGCTAATGCAGTCAGGTCATGGGTCAAACCTGGTGGCTCAGTCCCTTCCTTCTGTTCAGGCCTTATCTCGGTGCTACAGGCATCTCTGGTCACACAGAGGGTGCTGGCCACGTTGTCTGTCCCTCCATGTCCCTGTCATCTCCCTCCTCACCCACATGTGGGGGAGCCCACCTCCCATAGGTTCATCCCCCGTGAGACCTCAGAAGCAGCCTGGCTTCCCGCTGAGCCGCCATCCCGAGCAGAGCTTTCCTGAGGAGGACGCAGGGGCTCAGATCTGTGACTCTGGCCGAGGCTGCGTGGAACTCACGGGACCTGCGTTGCCACACTGAGACCCTTTCTCCTCTCTTTCCAAAATCTCTCTCCTCTCTTCACACTGGAGAAAGACAAGCATTATTTCTTTATGAGTGCACAAAAATCCGGGGGCTTTTAGATGGAGCTGCTTTTAAAAATTATACCTCCCTATTCACTGCTATCTTGTCATAGGTGGGATGTATTATTGATTTACAAGAATTACAAAAGCTCCTTATATTTTATTAATCCTAGATGGACAATTTAAATAATTTTGGTAAGATTTATATACATATATAGGTTTTTTTTTTAATTGAGTGGATTTTCTCCCATAGATAATGCTGTGTGTGTTTGGGTAAGATGCAAGGTGTCAGTTAGAAAATTGTATAGTTTGTTATCCTTCAGGTATTTTGAAGTAATAAAATGGGGAAAAAAAATCCTTGTACCCTTGTAATGTACATGCAGCTGAGAGCTGGGTGTGGAGACAGACTTTGCAATTTATGTGAGTCATAAAATTCTCCAGGGAATCATGAAGACATATTTTTCCAGGATGTAGAACCCAAACATCCCACTTGCCAAATGCACGTTGAGTGGCCACCAAGAAGGAAACGCCTCCGCTCCACGTCCCTGGCGGAGGCCCCGTGGGCATAGCAGAGCCATGCGTGAGTGCCCCTCGTTCCTGAACCCGGAGTCTCACACTTCTCTGGTGGAGGCCCCGTGGGCACAGCGGAGCCAGGCATGAGTGCCCCTGGTCCCTGAACCCGGTGTCTCACTTCTGTCTTATGTAGAACAGATGGAGCAAACCCTATAAAACCATTTCCAAAGAAAGCGAAGGCGAGAATTCAGTCAGCTTGAGGAAACGGCTGTGAACACATGCTGGTGTCAGTCTCAGGCCACACACTGCGCCAGGCACATGGGACTGAGTATGCATAGGACGCAGCTCCTGTGTTGGGAAAGCTCATTCTACGTGAGGATTTAGCCCAATAAATGCCTATCTCCAAGTTAATAGGGTAAACATTGCAATGTCCTTCTTGAAACGATGAACGGTCTCATGGATTTCCACGGGCGGGGGTGGCCTGGGGTCCTCCACTGTCAGCTACACGCGTGGTGACTCAAGCTGATCCGCCCCCACCTCACCCTCCCTTCTTCTTTTATTCTTCGGGCAAAGTCTGGGGAGTGATAACTGTGTGTCTGGCCCTGTGCTGGGCACCAGGATTCTATGAAAAAGAAGACAGCACGAATCTTATATTTTAGCATCCTCGCAAATAAACAACTAGCTCAACAAGATGGTTTCACACGGGGGTAAGTACTGTGCAGAAATAGGGTGACAGGGAGTGCTCTGCGTGGGCCATACCAGCAGAGGCATGGGGCATGGTTACCGTAGACTTCTCTACCCACGCCATGTTTAGGCCACGACCTGACTGATGAGAAGAAACCAACCAGCAAGACCAGGGGTGGATTGTCCCAGACAGACAGACAGACAGACCCTGGCATGGCCGGACCAAGGAAGCCTCAGCTGGGCTTGGCTTCAGGAACCATGTGCAGGCCTGGGGCTGCCCAGGCTGGCCTGAGATGCATGTGGAGAGAAGAGTGTGATGTCAGGATTCGAGGCCATGGCAAGGTCTTGGATTATATCCTTTTTTCCTGGAAGCCTTTTGGGACTTCTAAGCAGGAGAGTGATGGGACCCACATATATATATATATTTTTAAAATTAATTTTTTAAAAATTAATTTTTTATTTCAATAGGATTTTGGGGAACGGGTGGTATTTGGTTGCATGAATAAGTTCTTTAGTGGTGATTTCTGAGACTTTGGTGCACCCATCACCCAAGCAGTGTACACTGTACCCAGTGTGTAGCCTTTCATCCTTCATCCCCCTCCCACCCCTTCCCGTGAGTTCCCAAAGTCCGTTGAATCCTTCTTATGCCTTCGTGTTCTCATAACTTAGCTCCCAATTATGAGTGAGAACATACGATGTTTGGTTTTCCATTCTTGAGTTACTTCACTAAGAATAATGGTCTCCAGTTCCATCCAGGTTGCAGTGAATGCCATTACTTCATTCTTTTTATGGCTGAGTAGTATTCCATGGTATATATACCACAGTTGCTTTATCCACTAATTGACTGATGGGCATTTGGGGTGGTTCCACATTTTTGCATTTGCAAATTATGCTACTATAAACATGCATGTGCGGGTATTTTTTGGTATAATGACTTTTCCTCTGGGTAGGTACCCAGTAGTGGGACTGCTGGATCAAATGGTAGATCTACTTTTAGTTCTTAAAGGAATCTCCACACTGTTTTCCATAGTGGTTGTACTAGTTATACATTTCCACCAACAGTGTAAAAGTGTTCCCTTTTCACTGCATCCATGCTAACATCTATTATTTTTTGATTTTTTAAATTATGGGCATTATTGCAGGAGTGAGATGATATTGCATTGTGGTTTTGATATGCATTTCCCTGATAATAAGTGATGTTGAAGCATTTTTCCATGTTTGTTGGCCATTTGTATATCTTCTTTTGAGAATTGTCTATCCATGTTCTTAGCCCACTTTGATGGATTGTTTATTTTTTATTTCTGATTTGTTTGAGTTCCTTGCAGATCCTGAATATTAGTCCTTTGTTGGATGTATAGGTTGTGAAGATTTTCTTCCACCCTGTGGGTTGTCTGTTAACTCTGCTGATCATTTCTTTTGCTGTGCAGAAGCTTTTTAATTTAATTAAGTCCCATCTATTTATCTTTGTTTTTGTTGTATTTCCTTTTAGGTTCTTGGTCATGAACTCTTTATCTAAGCCAATGTCTAGAAGGGTTTTTCCAATGTTATCTTCTAGAATTTTTGTTGTTTCACGTTCTTAGATTTAAGTCTTTGATCCATCTTGAGTAAATTTTTATATAAGGTGAGAGATGAAGAATGAATTTCATTCTTCTACATGTGGGTAGGCAGTTATCCCAGTATCATATGTTGAATAGGGTGTCCTTTCCCTACTTTATGTTTTTGTTTGCTTTGTTGAAGATCAGTTGGCTGTAAATATTTGGCTTTATTTCTTGATTCTCTATTCTCTTCCATTTGTCTATGTGCCTATTTTTATTCAAGTACCATGCTGTTTTGGTTACTATGACATTACAGTATAGTTTGGAGTCAGGTAATATAATGCCTCCAAATTTGTTCTTCTTGCTTAGTCTTGCTTTGGCTATGTGGGCTCTTTTTTGGTTCCATATGAATTTTAGAATTGTTTTTTCTAGTTCTGTGAAAAATGATGGTGGTATTTTTATGGGAATTGCATTGAATTTGTAGATTGCTTTTGGCAGTATGGTCATTTTCACAATATTAATTCTACCTATCCATGAACATGGAATGTGTTTCCATTTGTTTGTGTCATCTATTATTTCTTTCAGCAGTGTTTTTACAGTTCTCCTTGTAGAGGTCTTTCACCTCCTTGGTTAGGTATATGCCTAAGGTTTTTTTTTTCAGCTCTTGTAAAAGGGGTTGAGTTCTTGATTTGATTCTCAGCTTGGTCACTGTTGGTGTGTAGCAGAGCTATTGATTTGTGTACATTAATTTTGTATCTGGAAACTTTGCTAAATTCAATTACCAGTTAAAGGAGCTTTTTGGATGAGTCTTTAGGTTTTTTTAGGTATTGTCAGCAAACAGTGACAGTTTGACTTCCTCTTTACTAGGGTTTTCTAGGTATACGATTATATTATCAGCAAACAGTGACAGTTTGACTTCCTCTTTACCAATTTGGATGCCCTTGATTTCTTTCTCTTGTGTGATTGTTCTGGCTAGGACTTCCAGTACTATGTTGAATAGAAGTGGTGAAAGTGGGCATCCTTGTCTTGTTCCAGTTCTCAGGGGAAATGCTTTCAACTTTTCCTCGTTCAGTATAATGTTGGCTGTGTGTTTGGCACAGATGGCTTTTATTACCTTCAGGAATGCCCCTTCTATGCCAATATTCCTGAGGGTTTTAATAATAAAGCAATGCTGGATATTGTCAAATGCTTTTTCTGCATCTATTGGGATGATCACGTGATTTTTGTTTTTAATTCTGTTTATGTGCTATATCACATTTATTGACTTGTGGATGTTAAACCATCCCTGCATTCCTGGTATGAAACCCACTTGATCATGGTGGATTATCTTTTTGATATGCTGTTGGATTCAGTTAGCTAGTATTTTGTTGGGGATTTTTGCATCTATGTTCATCAGGGATATTGGTCTATAGTTTTCTTTTTTTTTATGTCCTTCCCTGATTTTGGTATGGGGGTGATAATGGCTTCATAGAATGATTTAAGAAGGATTCCCTCCTTCTCTATCCTGTGGAATAGTGTCAATAGGCTTGGTTCCAATTCTTCTTTGAATGTCTGATAGAATTCAACTGTGAATACATCTGGTTCTGGACTTTTTTTTTGTTGGCAATTTAAAAATTACCACTTCAATCTTGCTGCTTGTTATTGGTCTGTTCAGAGTTTCTATATCTTCCTGGTTTAATCTAGGAGGGTTGTATATTTTGAGGAATTTATCCATCTCCTCTAGATTTTCTAGTTTATGCTCATAAATGTGTTCATAGTAGCCTTGAAAAATCTTTTGCATTTCTATGGTATCCAGTTGTAATATCTCCCATTTTGTTTCTAATTGAGTTTATTTGGATTTTCTCTTTTTTTCTTGGTTAATCTCGCTAATGATCTATTGATTTTATTTATCATTTCAAAGAACCAGCTTTTTGTTTCATTTAATTTTTGTATTTTCTTTTTGTTTCTATTTCATTTAGGTCTGCTCTGATCTTTATTTCTTTTCTTCTGCTGGGTTTGGGTTTTGATTGTTCTTGTTTCTCCAGTTCCTTGAGGTGTGACCTTAGATTGTCTATTTGTGCTCTTTTAGACTTTTTGATGTAGATATTTAATGCTATGAACTTCCCCCTTAGCACTGCATTTGCTGTATCCCAGAGGTTTTGACAAGTTGTGTCACTATTATTGTTCAGCTCAAATAATTTTTTAATTTCCATCTTGATTTTGTTGTTGACCCAACAGTCGTTCAGGAGCAGGCTATTTGATTTCCATGTATTTGCCTGGTTTTGAGCCTGCCTTTTGGAGTTAATTTCCTATTTTATTCCACTGTGGTCTGAGAGAGTACTTGATATAACTTTGATTTTCTTAAATTTACCTAGCCTTGTTTTGTGGCCTATCATATGGTCTATCTTGGAGAATGTTACATGTGCTGATGAGTAGAGTGTATATTCTGCAGTTGTTGGGCAGGATGTTCTGTAAATATCTGTTAAGTCCATTTGTTGTAGGGTATAGTTTAAGTCCATTATTTCTTTGTTGACTTTCCGTCTTGATGACCTGTCTAGTGCTGTCCATGGAGTATTGAAGTCCCCCACTATTACTGTGTTGCTGTCTCTTTATTTCTTAGGTCTAGTCATAATTGTTTTGTAAACTTGGGAGCTCCAATGTTAGGTGCATATATATTTAGGATTGTGATATTTTCCTGTTGAACTACTGCTTTTATAATTATGTAATGTCCTTCTTTGTCTTTTTAACTGCTGTTGCTTTAAAGTCTGTTTTGTTTGATATAAGAATAGTTACTCCTGCTTGCTTTTGGTATGCATTTTCATGGAATATCTTTTCCACCTCTTTATCTTAAGTTTATGCTACTCTGTATCTTTTAAGTGGGGCATTTAGGCCATTTACATTCAATGTTAGTGTTGAGATGTGAGGTACTATTCTTTTCATTGTGCTATTTGTTGCCTGAATACCTTGGTTTGTTTTTTTTGTTGTTGTTGTGTTATTGTTATATAGGTTCTGTGAGATTTATGTTTTAAGAAGTTTCTATTTTGGTGTATTTAGAGGATTTGTTTCAAGATTTAGGGCTCCTTCTAGCAGTTCTCGTAGTGCTGGCTTGGTAGTGGCAAATTCTCTTAACATTTGTTTGTCTGGAAAAGATTGTATCTTTCCTTCATTTATGAAGTTTAGTTTCACTGGATACAAAATTCTTGGCTGATAATTGTTTTCTTTAAGGAGGCTAAACATAGGACCCCGATCCCTTCTAGCTGGTAGGGTTTCTGCCGAGAAATCTGCTGTTAATCTTATAGGTTTTCCTTTATAGGTTACCTGATGCTTTTGCCTCATAGCTCTTAAGATTCTTTCCTTCATCTTGACTGTAGATAACTTGATGACTATGTGTCTAGGCAATGATCTTTTTGTGATGAACTTCCCAGATGTTCTTTGAGCTTCTTGTATTTGAATGTCTAGATCTCTAGCAAGGCTGGGCAAGCTGTCCTTGATTTTTCCCTCAAATGTTTTCCAGACTTTTAGATTTCTCTTCTTTCTCGGGAACACCAATTATTCTTAGGTTTGGATGCTTAACACAATCCCAAGCTTCTTGGAGCTTTTGTTCATGTTTTAAAATTCTTTTTTCTTTGTCTTTGATGCATTGGGTTAATTCGAAAGCCTTGTCTTTGAGCTCTGAAGTTCTTTCTTCTGCTTGTTTGAGTCTATTGCTGAGACTTTCCAGCACATTTTGTATTTCTCTAAGTGTGTCTTTGATTTCCAGAAGTTGTGATTATTTTTTTATTTATGCTATTTCACTGAAGAATTTTCCTTTCATTTTGTATAACATGTTTTTTTTTATTTCTTTAAGTTGGAGTTCACCTTTCTCTGGTGCCTCCTTAAGTAGCTTAATAATTGACCTTCTGAATTCTTTTTCTGGCAATTCAGAGATTTCCTTTTGGTTTGGATCCATTGCTGGTGTGCTGGTGTGATCTTTTGGAGGTGTTAAAGAACCTTGTTTTGTCATATTACCAGAATTGTTTTCTGGTTCCTTCTCATTTGGGTAGACTATGTCTGAGGGAAGATCTGGGACTCAAGACCTGCTTTTCAGATTCTTTTGTTCCATGGGGTACTCCCTTGATGTGGTGTTCTCCCCCTTCCCCTAGGGATGGGGCTTCCTGAGAGCTGAACTGTAGTGATTGTTTTTGCTCTTCTGGATCTAGCCACCCAGCAGAGCTACTGGCTCTGGGCTGGTACTGAGGAACGTCTGCAAAGAGTCCTGTGATGTGATCCGTCTTCACGTCTTTCAGCTGTGGATACCAGCACCTGCTCCAGTGGAGGTAGCAGGGAGTGAAGTGGACTCTATGAGGGTCCTTGGTTGTGTTTTTGTTCAGTGCACTGGTTTTGTGTTGGTTGTCCTCCAGCCAGGAGGTGGTGCTTTCAGGAGTGCATCAGCTGAGGTTGTACAGGGAGAAGACAAGCTTGCCCTTGGGTCACCTTTGAAGTATTCAGGTTTCTCCAGAGGTGGTCAGGGCTGTAGAGCTCCCAAGGGATTATGTCCTTCGTCTTTGGCTACCAAGGCAGGTAGAGAAAGACCCCCAGGTGGGACAGGGTTAGGTGTTTCTGATCTCAGATTCTCCTTGAGCAGGGTTTGGTGTGGCTGCTGTGGGGGATGGGGGTGTGATTCCCAGGCCAATGGAGCTATGTTCGCAGGGGGCCTCTGCTGCATCACACAGATCACCAGGAAAGTGGGGTAAAGGCGGCGGTCACAGGCCTCACCCTGCTCCCATGCAGCCCACAGTCCTAAAGGCTGGTCTCACTCCCACTGTGCCCCCAACAGCACCGAGTCTATTTCTAGGCAGCCGGTGACCTGGGCTGAGAACTTGCCCTCCCCACTGAGAAGGCAGGCAGACTCACGGTTTTTCAGCGTCTCATGGAGCCTGCAGCAGCGATAAAGTTCCTTCAAAGGGTCCGTGGATTCTCTAGGCTTTCCTGGTATGTTGCTGTGGTAGTTCTTGGAACAAAAGTTCACGATGTGGGTCTCTCCACATGCTGCTTTGTCTGTTCCAGCAGGAGCTGCAAGCCAGTCCTGCCTCCTATCCACCATCTTAATCTCCATTTTCCCTGTCTGTATTTTTAAGATAAGTAACTCTGGGTATTGGGCTAAGAAGCACGGAGCTGGCCGGAGACACAAGTTGTGGGACGTGATGCTCACAGAAGAGATTTGAAAGCCCTTCGGGTCCGTTATGGATACAGCCCCTCTGGCTTCAGTGCTGGATTAGTCTCCTGGAGCCTTGCAACAAAGTTCCATGCACCGGGCAGCTTAAATAGCAGAAATTCACTCCCTCACCGTTCTGGAGCTGGAAGTCTGTGATCACAGCATCCACAGGGCTGGCTGCTGCTGGGGACTCTTTGGGAGAATTTGTCCCAACCTCTCCCTGTCCTCTGTGCTTTGCTGGTGACCTCTGGTGTTCCTTGGCTGGTGGGATTCTCTCTCCAGTCTCCACCTCCATCTTCACATGGTGTTCTAAGAACGCAGTTATATTGGATCAGGGCCACCCTGGCGACTTTCATCTTATTACACCTGCAATGACCCTATTTCCAAACAAGGCCACATTTCGAGGGACTGGGGGTTGGAGACTCACGTATCTTTTGGGGAGCATAATTCGACCCCTAGCAGATACTGTGCTTGGGAACCCCCGTTCGGTTGGCGTTGTGGGTCAGGGTCTCAGAGTCTTTGCGAGAGAACCTGCTTTTTGGGGCATGAGCCAAAATCGATGAGTTGCACGCTGACCTGATTTTTTATCATGATTTTTGCTTCTACTACCGCTGGAGGTGTGTAGAGGCCTCCCTGCTGCCTGGGCACTGGCTTTTGTTCGCTCGAGAGATGCCAGATCCTGCTTGAGGCTTGTCCAAGGGCACCAGAATCACGGTGACCCTTAGGGAAGACCTGAGGCCACCACAAACTCCTGGTCATAGCGGGGACCAATTGGTGATTAGAGAATATTTTAGGGTGATTTTGTATCAGACCCTCTGTCCTCTACCAAACAAGCCTCACTCCTGGCCTCTTCCTCATCTCTTTAGAGAGTGGTCACGGGGTGTTACCGTCATACCATGTCAAAAGGGAGGAATGAAACACAGGTCCCATTACTTGCTGTCAGCCCCCTCTCACCTTTTCCTTAGCAGTGAAGTGCAATCACTAGGTCCTTTCTGACTCAGCCTCTGCAGGCCTTCGGCTGTGGGCCTCTGGAGGCTGGGTGCAGCACCTGCTGTGTCTAGATCAGAGCTGCCATCTCAGACCTGCTGAGTTTTTCTATTTTTCCTCTGCAATTAAGTTTTTGTTCTTGTGTTCTCACCTTACCCTCCTATAACTTTGAAAAAACATACAGTATTCTTCTGACACTTTCATCTTCAGGCTTTGGAAAAAGCTCATCGTCAGCTCTGGGACCACTGTCTTTGAAAGAGCAGGTGCAGCACGCACTTTGCCTGGCTCAGCATGGCAAGAAGCACGCGTCAGCGCTGAAGCTGCAGACATGGCCTTGACTCTTACTAGAATGCAGTATCTTCCTTTTAACGCACCAGGGATATTCAGGTTTTTATTTTTCATTTTTTATTTTTTTGATACACGATCTCACTCTGTCACTCAGGCTGGAGTGCAGCGGTGTAATCTCACCCTCAACTTCCTGGGCTCTGCTGATCCTCCTGCCTCAGCCTCCTGAGTAGCTGCCTGGCTAATTTTTTTTTTTTTATTTTTTGTAGAGACAGGGTTTGCTTTGTTGCCCAGGCTGGTCTTGAACTCCCAACCTCAAGTGATCCTACCACTTTGGCCTCCCAAAGTGCTGGGATTACAGATGTGAGCTACCACACCCAGCCTCAGCTTTCTTTTTTTCTTTTTTCTTTTTTTTTCTTTAGACAAAGTTTCGCTCTTGTTGCCCAGGCTGGAGTGTAATGGCACGATCTCAGCTCACCGCAACCTCTGCCTCCTGGGTTCAAGTGACTCTCCTGCCTCAGTCTCCTGAGTAGCTGGGACTACAGGCATGCACCACCACACCTGGCTAATTTTTTGTATTTTTAGTAGTGACAGTGTTTCTCCATGTTGGTCAGGCTGGTCTCGAACTCCCGACCTCAGGTGATCTGCCCGCCTAAGCCTGGGATTACAGGCGTGAGCCACCACGCCCGGCCCAGCTTTCTTTTTAAACAATGTGAGATGGTACATTTCAAGGTTAGTGATTAGTTAAGCCTCCTGGGCTCAGGACACAACTCACTGGCATTTTGTTACAGTAAGGACGTGCTGTCTAGCATTGCATATCCTCAGAGTGCTGCTGGAGAAATGGCGAGGAAAGGAAAGCACCACACCTTGTTTTCCTAGAGGGTTGTAAAGGAGCATTTGAAAACCAGCTCCCCAAACCATTTGCCCAGTCCTGGAATGTGTCTGTGCCAGGCAAACTTTCTCTGTTTTTCAGCCACAGAGGGTCCCCGGGCAGCTCTACTCGTGGGGAGGTAGAGAGAGGAAGGCCGTCGCACTCTCACATGAAAGCCTGGAAGTCTGTTTCTTTTTGCTGTGCATGGAAACCACCAAGACTTTGATAAAACTTCAGGTTCTGGTCCAGTGGATTTCTCACAGGCTTTGCAGGAACTTGGTGCCCAGGTGCCAGAGCATGCTTGAGTGTGGATGGTGCAGGACACTGCAGATCAAGGAGCAAGACCACAGGCACACAGCAGCTGGAGGTCTGTTTTAGGAGCAAAGGAGTCATTTGGGGGCAGCTTTGCAGAACAGTTTCCAGTGTTCACTTTCAAATTTTTACTTCCTGCAAACAAGTGGCATTATGGCATCTATTTTTTATGTTAACACTAAGCTTATTGCTTACATATATATATATGGAATAATACTAATTTCATTCAATAGTTGAACTCATTACCTATTGGAGAGGTCGATTTTTGTCCTTTTCTATTTTAGTTAATTTTAAAAGTCCACAAATTTATCATCTTACCACTTTTGAGAGCAGAAGTCCAAAATCAGTCTCACTGGGCTGAAATCCAGGCATCAGCAGACTGCCTTCCTTGTGGAAGCCCAAGGGAGAACCCATTTCTGGGCCTTTGTCCACATACCCTGGCTGGAGGCCCTGTGCTGCGCCTCCAGAGCCTCCAGTGCCGCCTCTCCTCTCCTCTCCTCTCCTCCCCTCTCCTCTCCTGCTCTGATTTCCACCTCCCTCTTATAAGCACCCTTGTGACTACATTGGGATGGCATCTATTTTTACATTGGTGAACCATACTATTCCAAAGCCCCCATTATAAACAAGAAGCGAGTCCATTTCATTTTACATTTAGAAAATAATGATAAATATACAGTAACTAACCCCTCAGATATGGTAAGGCTCAATTCCCCCTTATTCTAATGTCTTCCCTTAAAAGTTGCTACATCAATAGTACACATTTACTCACTTATTTATCTAACAAACATTTCTTCATAACGTATCCTGGAAAAGGCCACGTAGACACTGCAGTGATGAATGACAAGTCCTCTGGTTTTTGGGTGTTTGATGTGCAGGAGACGTGATCATCACAGTATAAAATATATAGCCATGAATTCACGGAACAATGCAGGAAGCTACTTTGAACATAACCAGCTAATTACAGGAAAAAAGCAATAAAGACACAAGGGGGGAACACCATGACTTACGCGCGGGTCCCCCAGCGGGTGGCTGTGAGTTCCTTCTGGCTGCTGGAACTAATCACCACAAACGTTGTGGTGTAAAACAACACACACTGGTTGTCTAACGGTTCTGGAGGGCACAGATCCTAAGATCGAGGAGTTGGCAGAGGCTGTGTTTCATTTCCAGAACCCACTTCCTGCCTGTGCCAGCCTCCAGAGGTGCCAGTACTCCTTTGCTCACGGCCCTTTCCTGCAGCGGCCTCACTCCCATCCATCCCGACCTCCATGGCCACATCTCGTCCTCTGACTCTGACCTGCTGCCTTCCTCTTATGAGGGCCCTGGTGAGATTAAACTCACATAGAAAATCCAGGGTGGTCCTCCTTGTTTGTCCAAAGCTGCAAAGCCCCTTTGCCGCATACCATTCTCACAGGTCCTGGGGCTTATCACGTGGACATCTGTTAGTATCTTTGCGGCCAAGATTCCGAGTCCTCCAGTGGTGAGGCCTTGAGGATACCTGGTCTACCTGCAAGAAAACAAGACTGACACAAAAGACTGGGAAGGACTGCTGTGTATTAATGACACGTAGGGACATGATAATACAATGTAACATTTACTTGTTGGTTCCATTCTGATTTGAAGAAACCAGCAGTAAAGTATATTTCTTTGGACAATTGGGGGACTTTGAACGTGGACTAGATAAACTTTTTTTGATTTTGTTTTATATTTGTATTTTTTTGTGAATATTTTTTGCTCAAGTATTTTTTTGGTGATGTATATAAACCATAACATTTCATTCCTAAATTTTTCAGTATGGCTCTCTGAAAAATAAATACATTTTCCTCCATAAGCACAATGCTATTATCATTGACACGCTGACACTCTCATCCTTGCCTTCCCCAGAACCATTGCGTTAGGAAGGTCGGAAGCACTTCACCTTGTAAGTTAGAGGCTGACCACCCTTCTTCAGTGTTATTTTACTTCCTTGAATCAATTATAGCTCAATTGTACCTCTGTTGGACAAGGCATTGATTTCCAACTGTTAATTTTAGCAAATAATGTTAGCCGCTGACCGGCTGGTACAGGGCTTTCAAGCCTGAGGTCCTCAGCCCATGACTCAGGTGCTCCCTGTGAGCCAGTAAGGGCTTTGACTTTGTGATCTGGGGCTTTTGCCAAGGAGCCTGTGCTCATGCAGAGCCTGCGTTGCGTTTATGTGTCTCAGACACAGAAGTCAAACCAACTGTCAAGCTCATTTTGAACCAGAAAAACTTCTGTTTCTTAATTTCCATTTCCATGTGCAAGCTTTATTTTCATTCCGTAGAAGATATTTGGATAGATTATTGGTAAAAAGCAAACAACCAACCAAGTAAAACAAAAAGCTTCCAGTTATGCCTAGGACTTAGAACGCAGTGACAACCTGGTTTGCAATGAAGCCCAGCCAGGTCATCTGGGAACCCCACCTTCCCTGAACTTATCGGGAGCAGGGCGGCCAGGTGGCAGCCTGAAGGGTGGGGAGCCCGGGAGGGGCAGAGGGCGGGTGGAAGACACAGCCACCCCCACAGAGGTGATGAGGACACAGCTGGGTGTGGGCCCAGCACCAGCCTAGGACCCCAGAGCCCCAGCCACGGGGCCATCCTCACTCCAGTGTCCTCTGCAGCCTTCTCGCAGGGGGAGGGGACTGGGGGCTAGGCAGGAGCGGGGAGCCCTCAGGTGGACAGACACAGAGGTCCACCCTGCGGTCGCCTTTTCCCTCTTGTGGTACAGAGCCCTTAGCCAGTGGGAGGGGGAAGGCCCTGCTTCGGGGAAGAGGTGGGAGCTCTGAGAGGGTCCGGAGTGACCCCTGCTCCACAGTGAGCCTGAGCTGAGAAAACTGCAGTGTGGCCTCTGGCCCAGGGAAGGGCTGCTGAGGCCAGGGGTCAGGGAGCGGCCGAGCCTTCCACCCCGGGGAAGGGCTGGGAGAGCCTAGAGAAGGCTGCTCCGTGGGGGTGGGCAGGGCGCCCTCCCACCCCAGACCCTTGAGGCCTGGGTCCTTGGGCTGCCTCTGAGACAGGCTGGACAGGAGGCCTCGGAGCCCCCTGGCCTCACCACGCACCTCCCAGCAAGAATGGACAGCGTCGGTCTTCCTCGGGCGGGGCACGCAGTGAAGAGCCGGCTGTGGCCAGGTGAGCGGCACCTGCTCAGCGCTGAGGGTGCAGCGGGTACTGGAAATCCCGCTGTGCTGGGCCAGGTCCCAGGTCCCAAGAGAAGCTCAGCTGCAGGTGCCCGAGCGGGACTGAAGACGGGGCACACTGAAGGCAAAGACCAAGCAGCGAGGCCTGGTCAGCTCCTGACAAGACAAATCCCGGCTCAGGGACCGAGGTGGGCCAGCTTGGGTGCAGGTGTAATTTAAAGTCATCTCGGCCTTTGCTGTTCCTCTACTCACCATACCCAGTATTTGATTAACAATTCGAAGACACATACCAAAACAAACAAACAAAAGCCAACCTGTCCTCGAGACTGGCCCAGACGCTAGAACCAACAGACGAGACTTGAAAGTAACTATAATAAATATGATGAGAGATCTACCAGAAAGAGTGGACAGTGTGTGTGAGGAGACACTGAGTTTTAGCACAGAGGGGAAAGCGATGAAGATAAGTCACATGGCTGTGTTTAGAAACCTTCAGAAGTGATACCAGAGGTGAAGTATTCTGTAATGAGCTGATTAATACATTGGGCACAGAAGTGGAAAAAAATCAGAAAACTTGGAGGTAGAAAAATAGAAAATAATTAACATGTATATTTACTCACTGTATAGTCTTATATTTATTAAAGGTTTTTAATTTGTTGTTAAAAACCCCCACAAGGAAGTTTTCAGACTAATTGAATTCACTAGTGAATTCTATCGAACATTTAAGGAAGAAATATTACCAATTCTACACAAATATGTCCAGAAAATAAAAGAGGAGGAAGTATTTTATGAAGCCAAAATTACCCCGATACTAAAACCCGTGCAAAGACATTACAAGAAAAACAAAAACAAAAACAGAAAACTATAGGACCATGTCTCTCCTAAATATACACTTAAAAAATAATATATATTTTCCTTAGGAAAATATTAGCAAATTGAATCCAGCAACATACAAAAAGAATAATGCATCATAAAAAAGTAGAACTTATTCCAGCAAGTGCAAATTTGGTTTAATATTTGAAAATAAATGCATGGAATTTACCATATTAACAGACTAAAGAGAAAAACCACATGATCATCTTAATAGATGCATAAAAATCACTTGAGAAAACTCGAAATCTATTTCTCCTAAAATTCTAAAAATTATGGATAAAAAAGAAACATCCTCAATATGATACAGTGCTTCTACAAAAAGCTGACAGCCAGCATCACACCTAATGTGAAAGATGGAAGGCTTTTGCCTTCAGATGAGGACATTGCACCACTCCCATTCAACATTATACTGAAAATTATTGGTAGTGCAAGAAGGTAAAAAAGAAATGTAAGTTATACAAATTGGAAAGGAAGAAAGCAAGCTGCATTTATTTTCATACAACATTACTATTTACCTAGAAGATTCCAAATTATCTGCAAAAGCAGCTATTAAGACTCACGTGTTTAGGATGGTTGCAGGACGTAAGGTAAATATGCCAAAGTCAATTTTTTATTTCTTTATAAAGGAAACAAAAATGAGAAATTGAAATTAAAATGACATACAGTAGGATCCCAATATTACAAAACATGGGCAAGGTTTGTGTACTGAAAATTACAAAACATGGCTGAGAGCTTAAAGGGAGGTTCTAAATGAATAATGCAGGCTAAGGTCATGATCAGAAGACTTAGTGTTGTTAGGGTGCTGATTTTCCAAACTGATTTTGAGAATCCAATGCAACACCAATCAAAATCTCCACAGAATTTGGCAAACAGATTCCTAAACTTAATCAGAAGTTCAGAGGATGTAGAATAACCCAAAGAACTTTGCGAAAGAAGAATAAAGTTGGAGAACTCACACTGTCTTTTAAAGCTATACTACAGTGATGTGGTCATCAAGACAGTACAGTATTGGCATAAAAGTAGACATAGTCAATGGAATGAATAGAAACAGACTGTCACACTGTGGTCAATTGATTTTTGACACAGATGTCGGTGTAATTCAATGAGGGGAAAGATTATCTTTTTAACAAATGGTGTTTGAACAAGTAGATATTTATAAACAAAAAGATAAGCCTTGGTGTTTGCATTGTTTATAAAAGTAACTAAAAATGGGCCATTGACCTAAATTTAAGACCTAAAACAATAACACTGATAGAATAAATCATCGCTGGTTTAGGCAAAAGTTTTCTAGATATGGCACAAAAGGCATGAACTGCTAAATAAATAAATAAATAAATAAATAAATAAATAATAGGACGCCATACAAACTAAAGACTCCTGTCCTTGAAAAGACACTGTCAGAAAAATCCAAATACTGGCCAGAGTGGGAGAAAATATTTTTAAAACACATACCTCATAAAAGATTTATATCCGGATTACATCAGGAACTCTTACAACTAGAAAATAAGAAGACAACCACCCAATAAAAATGGGCAAAAGATTTAAACAGACATTTTTGTTTTAACTTTTACTTTAGGTTCAGGGCTGCACGTGCAGGTTTGTTATATAAGTAACCTGTGTCATGGGGGTTTGTGGTACACATTATTTCATCACCCAGGTACTAAGCATAGTACCCAATATTTTTTTCTGATTCTCTCTCTCCTCCCACCCTCTACCCTCTGATACACCCCAACGTCTGTTGTTCCTTCTTTTCTTTGTGTCCATGTCTTCTCATCATTTAGCTCCCATTTATAAGAGAGAACATGTGGTATTCAGTTTTCTGTTCCTGCTGAACAGACATTTTAACAAAGACATGAGAACGGCAAATGAGTGTGTGAAAAGATGCTCAACATCATGAGTCATTTAGGATATGCAGATTAAAACCACCGTGAGATACTGATACAAGCCTACTAGAGTAGCTAAAACTGAAAAGTCTGACAGCATCAAGTGCTGACAAAGGTGTGAAATAACTGGAACTCTCTTCCGTTGTTGGTGGGAATGCAAAATGACGCAGCTACTTTGGAAAATAGTTGGGCAACATCTTTTATAGTTAAACATACCCTTGCCATATAACCCAATGCTTTCACCCTTAGATATTTATGCAAAAGGGGACAGGCATGGTGACTCACATCTGTAATCCCAGCATTTTGGGAGGCCAAGATGGGAGGATCACTTGAGGCCAGGAGTTTGAGACCAGCCTGGTCAACATAGTGAAACCCCAACCCTGTAAAAAAAGAAAAAAAAAGAAAGAAAGAAAGAAGAAAAGGAATTTATGCAAAAGGAATAAAAACATACATCCATGAAAATGCCTGAATGTGGACATTTACAGCAGTTTACTCATAATCACAAAAAGCTGGAACCTGCTCAAATGATAAACTCGTGAATAGATAAACAGATTGTGTTCTGCGTCTAAACTTGGGACACTTCTCTGCAATGAAAGGAACAAACCAGGGGTGACTGCAGCAACACAAGTACATCTCACAAGAATTAGTCTGAAGGAAAGCAGCCAGGCCCAAATACTATGTATTGCATACTCCACTTCTACCTGTAGACCAGTGGTGTCCAGGATGTGTGGGCTGCCGGAGGAAACTGACAAAGGGACATGAGGGAAGCGTTTAGGGCAGGGAGATGTGCCATGCCTTGGTTGTCATCATGGTTACATGACTGTACAAATTTGTAAAAATTCATTGATCTCTACACTTAAAGGAAGTGAATTCGCCTGTAGGTAAATTAAACTTCAATAAATCTGACTTAGAAAAACATAAACTCTAGGGAGTTACAGTTTCAAATATTACATCATAAAGGAAAAGTCCATATTCAGTTATAGACTGACTTGCTTTGGATTCTATTAATGTAGATGTAGACAGTTTCATCTTTGTTGTTCCTGATGCCTTCCTTTGTTGGCTAAGAATGGTTTCTTCCATCAGATCACCTGGCTGTGAGTCTATTTCACCACTTTGGCCTTTTCTAAGCTTGTTTCATCACGTGTAGGATAATATTTGTATTTTCTTCATGGTTGTGAGGATGAAATGTGGTAGTACCATGCAAGTGCTTGGCTAACTGTGGGCACACAGTAAGCACTCAATAAATGTCTGCTATTATGATTATTTGTATTATGAAAGAAAAAGTTGCTAAACATCTTAATTAAGCAAATTAAACTGCATTTACATAAGAGAGCAAGCTGCTTTCAAACATATTGGCAAGATCTATTTGCAATGAGACATTTTAATGTGAACATTATAATTAAAATTTGCTCTTTAAGGTATCGTGATTAAAGTCTTGGCTCAATTCTTTTCTAACATTTAGTTTCTTTAATTATGAGTGCTTGGAAGTAATAAAATGACATTTAAATATACTTCAGTGATTCATGATCTTCGCTAATTCTGACAATTTCCCCAGTTAGATCAAATTAATGACATTGAACATCAAAAGTAAACATTTAGTAATAAATCTGTCAATTTTCTGGATCTCCTGCATTTCCTAACATTTAAACTGTGGGGCACTGCGACCTCCCAGCATGCTTCTTAAGAGAGGGATTCAGAAAGTTTATTTTCAAGATGGAGTTAGTTTCTCTTGACATGAGCGGACTTACCATAGAGAAAACACCAACAGAATTTCCATTTTTGGCTATTATACTTAAAAGTGTATTGCATTTTTGTCTCTAGAGTAATATCTTGGTGTAGCCAGGGGCAGTATTGCCTGGGGTTCCAAGCCTGGGCTCTGGGGTCTGTCAGAAGTAGATTCAAACTGGATTCAAAATCCAGCTCAGCCTCTGCTATCTGTGCATCTGTGAGTAAATCCAAACATGTGCTGAGAGCCTGGAGCTTCCCCCCCAACTTCCTCAGCACAGCCAATGTGTCCAAATCCCACTCCTCTTATCCTAACTCAGCTCTTCCTCCCAGGCCAGGCAAATTCCAACACCATCAGCCACTTTCTTCCTGTTTACTTCATTAAAAATACTCCCAGGTCACTTTCAAGGCCAAATCAGAAATCTGGTACGCATCTTATATTCTTCCTCGGTCATAACATGCAACCAACTCACTACTGTAGATTATCTATATCTATCTATCTATCTATCTATCTATCTATCTATCTATCTATCTATCATGTATCATCTATACATGTATGTATATATGTATCTATCATCCATATATCTGTGTATCTATTATCTACGTATGTATCTATGTAGCTATCTATCCATCCATCTATTATCTATCATCTGTCTATCTATCCATCCATCATCTATCTATCCATCTATCATCTGTCTATCATCTATGTATATATGTATCTATATATCTATTACCTATGTATGTGTCTACTATCTATCATCTATCTATCTATCATCTATCTATGTATCTATCATCTATCTAGTATGTAATTCTGTTATTGTGTGTATGTATGTAGATGTGGTAAAATACAATTTGTTTAAAAATATTTCCTGTTATAGTTTTTATTCTCAGTTTTGGAATTTCTCTCTGTGGTCTTTTGCTACCGAGCCCAGGCCCAGGGAAGGTGAGGGCAAATGCGGCATGGAAATAGAACAGCACCTGTTCCCTAAGGGAGCGTCTCTCAGTGGGGGCCAAGCCTTCCTCTGTGGGAAGAAGGAGCCTGTGAAGAGGTGCGGACAAGGCAAGAGTGTCTTGGTCCTCACTGCCCTTACAGCTGAAGCTTTCTGTCTGGCAGGGGCAGGGGGGAAGGTGTCATGCTGGTGTAGAAATACACAGAGTGGTTGAAGGAAGGGCAAATTCAAGTTGAAGTAGAGAAGCTCCATAGTCATCATGGCCACGGACCCACTGTGGACCTGAGCAGAAGAGAGATGGCAGGGAGGGTAAGGATCTGAGAAGGGATCCCTGGTGAGGCCTCCGGTCCTGGATGCGTGGAGCAGCCTCTGAGGAACCTGCCTCTGAGCAAGTTTAGTGAGGTGCGCAGGACCAACACCTGCGGAGAGTGGAGGAGGAGGTGGGGGCAGGGAGCAGCTGCATTGTCAGTGTGGATGGCCCAGGAGGGAGGCGCCTCTTCCATCAGGGGTTCTCTCCGTGGATGGACCCAATACCCCCTGCCACTGGAGGGTCTGGGCTCCAGGCCCTCAGAGGTGTGGTTGGCCACATGCGTGGTGAGTCAGGGGTCCAGGGAGGCCTTCGTTGCAGAAGAAACTCCCCAACCACAGCGTGTGACCCAGCCCAAGGGAGAGCCTGGGTCTGGCCAGAGTGCCTAATGGTCAGGGCTCTAGCTTGATAGGGGGGAGCTGGGAAAGAGGAAACAATAATGTCCCAAATCTCAAAGAAAAGGCCTTAAAAATCAACACAGTGCCAGGACGGAAGGCTGTGGCTCTGGGATCCCACACAGCCATGGAGATGACAGCTAAGGCAGTAACACAGGTTTCAGCCCCCGCTTTCAGATCTGGGTCTGAGAGGACTGACGCTTGGTGTGATGAGAAATGTCAGAACCCACAGCAGAAAGCTGTGGGCTCACACGCTAAGGCAGATTTAGAGGGCAGGCCTTACTTCCCTTGCCTCGTAGGAAATTGTCCATGAACTCTGCATGTGTCATTTCTTGTGCATGTATTGGGAGAGATGTTTTATACTTTGTATCAGCGATGAGCTTTTTTTAAAAAGAAATTATAAAAATATAAAATGTACCATCTTAACGGTTTCTAAGTATGTCAGAGGTATTCAGGGCTTTCACATCATTGTACAACCATCACCACCATCCACCTCCAGAATACTTCTCATTTTGCAACACTGAAACTCTCTGCCTGTTAAAAACTAACCAACTCTCTGTTCTCCACTTCCCTCAGCCACTTCCCCAATGAGACAGCAACTGTTCTACTTTCTGTCTCTATAATTTTGACACTCTAGGCACCTCATGTAAGCAGAATCACACAGCATTTGTCTTTTTGCAACTGGTATATTCACTTAGCGTAATGTCCTCAAGGTTATGGGCTCCATGTTGTAGCATGTGTGAAAATTCCTTTTCTTTTCTTTCTTTCTTTCTTTCTTTCTTTTTTTTTTTTTTTTGAAATGGAGTTTTGCTTTTGTTGCCCAGGCTGGAGTGCAATGGTGCGATCTCGGCTCATGCAATCTCCGCCTCCCAGGTTCAAGCGATTCTCCTCCCTTGACCTCTGGAGTAGCTGGGATTACAGGCGCCCACCACTACGCCCAGATAGTTTTTGTATTAAAAATTAAAAATACTAAAAGTAGAGATGAGGTTTCACCATGTTAGCCAGGCTAGTCTTGAACTCTGGACCTCAGGTGATCCACCTGCTTCTGCCTCCCAAAGTTCTGGGATTACAGGCATGAGCCACTGCACCCAGACAAATTCCTTTTCTTCTTAAGGCTGAACGGTGTTCCATTGTAGGTATATACACATCACATTTTGTTCTTCCACTCGTCTGCTGATGGACCATTGGGTTGCTTCCATCTTCAGAGTACTGTGAGTCAAGCTGCTGTGAACATGGGTAGACAAATACCTGTTTAAGTCTCTGCTTTTCAATCTAGCAGGGGAATTGATGGACCATATAATAATTTTTTTTTTTTTTTTTTTTTTTTTTTTTGAGACAGAGTCTCGCTCTGTTGCCCAGGCTGGAGTGCAGTGGCGCGATCTTGGCTCACTGCAAGCTCCGCCTCCAGGTTCACGCCATTCTCCTTCCTTAGCCTCTGGAGTAGCTGGGACTACGGGCGCCCGCCACCATACCCGGCTAATTTTTTGTATATTTAGTAGAGACGGGGTTTCTCTGTGTTAGCCAGGATGGTCTCCATCTCCTGACTTCCTGATCCACCCGCCTCAGCCTCCTAAAGTGCTGGGATTACAGGCGTGAGCCACCGCGCCCGGCCGATAATTCATTTTTAAATGTTTTTGAGGAACCACCGTCCTGTTTTCCACAGCAGCTATACTATTTTACATTTCCACCAGTAGTGCCACAAAGGTTTCAGTTTCTCCACATCCTTGCCATTTGCTATTTTCTGCTTCGTTGATAGCAGCTATACCAATGGGAGTGAAGTGGTGCCTTACTGTGGCTTTAATTTGCATTTCTCTCATGATTCGTGATGTTGAGCGTTTCTCCGTGTGCTTATTGGTCACCTGTAGTCTTCTGTGGAGAAATGTTTGTTCAAGTCGTTTGCTATTTTTTAATTGGGTTATTTGGTTTTTTATTGTTATTGAGGTTATTAAGTTGTAGGAGGTTTTTATACATTCCAGATATTAACCCCTTATCTGATATATGATTTGCAAATATTTTCTCCCATTCTGTGGGTTGTTGTTTCATCTTGTTAATTGTGTCTTTTGATGTACAAAAGTTTTACATTTTGATGACGTCTGATTTATCTATTTTTTGTTGTTGTTGCCTGTGCCTTTGACGTCATATCCAAGAAATCATTACCCGATCTGATGTGATAAAGCTTTTCTCATCTTTTCTTCTAAGAGTGTTATAGTTGTAGGTCTTACATTTAGGTCTTTCATCTATCTTTAGTCAATTTTTGTGTATGATATAGAGTATGTCCAACTGTATTCTTTTGCATCTTGATATCCAGTTTTCACAAGACAATTTGATGAGTCAGTGATACCACTTTTAAGGCACACTGAATACATTTATATCTCAAGCTCTGTTAGATTTTTATGTGATAAATTTATTCCCATAGATAAAGTACTTGCTCTACTTCTACCCTAGAAATATTAAGAGCAAAAGAATTCTGGAAGGAAGGGTGAAGGAAAGGGCAGATACGGCATGAGCCCAACGTGGTTTGTCATTTAGCACTGGGGACTGGCGTGGCAGTCTTGCCTGAATTCTGTCCCCACAGGAAGGTGGCGGGTGTGGAGTTGGGGAGGAAGGGGAAAGGAGGGCAGGTCTTTCAGAAGAGGCTCTGCAGGTGACAGGTTCACCTTCCGGGCCATTCTGACCACTGGGCTCTGATTCTGTGCTCACTTTGTGGCCATCAGAGGACTCCCTGAGGCCACAGCACTGTGCTGAAGCTGGGAGGGAACAGGTGGGATGCCCATGCCCCATGCTGACCCTGAGGTGTAATTGTCTCCATCATGAGATCTCATCCATGGGTTTGTACTTACTTTTTCCTCCAGCATGTTTCTGTGGTTTGATGTAGCAAATTCTGTCAGGTACCTGCAGCTGATTGCCATCTCTTCTAACAGAATATATGTGTATTTACAGATGTATGTTTACACCCAATCTACATTCCAAGAGGAAGTTGAGGCACCTTATTAATTTAAAATGCTTCTCACACAATAGACTGAAACTAAAAACCCGATTAAGGGTACAGAACAATGAAGGCAGAGCATAAAACAAGAGATCAAAGTGCACCAGCCTATCCTTACAGTTTGCTTTCACATTTTGTGTTGAAATTGTTATATTTAAGATACGCAGTGTGAGGTTTTGATGTCCATACACATCGTATTCTGATTACAACAGACAGTCTAATTCACTTCCCATCTCTTCACACAGTTACCTTGTTTTTGGTGGTGGGAACACTTGAGATGGACTCTCAGCAAATTTTCAGTACGCAACAGAATGTTAATAACCGTGTTCTCCATGCTGTGTGTTAGATGTTGCCAACCTTAATAACAGACAGTGGCTCTCTAAAAGAAAATGTTTATTTGCGAGTAGAGCATTGCAATGGGAATACATGTGCCATAGTAAACTATGTATATATTCAGGAGATAAAGACAGAGGTGTTTAAAGAAAAAAATGAGGAGGATTACATAATTGTTTTGCAATAATTATTCTTGGCCACAAGATCAATAACAAGGCTGAACGGTGTTCCATTGTAGATATATACACATCACGTTTTGTTCCTACAGTCCGAGGTTGGACAGGCAGTTTCGGGGCAGGTGTCCTTCCAGAAGCATTTTTTTTTTTTTTTTTTTTTTTTTTTTTTTGTATAAGGTTGTGATGGCCTTTGTGCAAGGTTGTGGTTTTTGTAAAGTCTTTTTCATTATCAGGTGTACAAGCCTGAGAACCTTTTCTTCTTGGCCTTCCCCAGCTCTATTTGTCAAGGTTTTCTTAACTTTAGTGACTCCATTTTTATTCTGACAACTTTAACAACCTTTACAACTTATCATCCTACATAACTAACACTTTGTGCTCTTTGACCAAGGTCTCCCCATACCCCCACCTCCCTACCCTTACTAACCACAATTCTACTCTCTGCTTCTATGTTAAAGGTAGGCTTGGAATTCAACCCTGACCTTTCTAGAGGCTTCAGTAAAATGAGAAACATAATCAGTTATATAATTCATAGCATCTGCACATTAAAACACAAGAAATATAGCCTTTCTGAGAACTATGGTCTGAGGTTAATTATTCCTGTATCTTCCCATGAAGAGTACCCTCAATAATCCAGTAGACCAAGCCCTATACTAAATCTAGTACTGAATTTCATATATGTCCCTCTTATAGGGTCCATAAATGTAAACAGAGAGTATAATGGCAAAATCGAGGTCAATGAAGACAGTTTTATGGGATGTGAGGCAACGTGGTACCCTAGCTATGGTAAGCCTAGCTTAATTCAGGGGACAATTTTATAATCCGTAGAAAAGCGCATCTTTCTGGCAATCTTTTGTAACAGTGATTTACCCAACTAATCTTTTGTAAGAGCCAAATCTCAGAGTTGTCTGCAAGGAGGTGTGTGGGAGATTCTCCCTTGAATTGCACACATACCAAGCAGCGCTGTGGATGACTTGAATCTGATTTAGGTCATCCCAGGACATGGCCCAGACTTTTTGAGTCCTACAGTGTGAGCAAAGTGCTCAGGACGTCCTAGGAAAAAGGAAAGGGCTCTTTCAATTGATTGTGTGTGAGAGAAGAGAACATTTTAAAAACAGCTAAGGTGTGGCAATGGGAAACGTATCTTTCTACTTTTCCACTTTCTCAGAACAAATGAAAAACATCCTATCAAGTTTTAGATGTAAAATATAAACTACATATGAACATAGAGTTTAATGGGAGGACAAAGAAAAATGTGTGAAAAATATATCACATGCTTTGTTTTTCCCAGCCGCTTAATAACATTTACATTTGTTTTTCTTAGTAAAACTTAAAATATCCACCAACCTAGGAAATTTGCCAAAAGAGAACATCTATTTATGCCCGAAGTGTTTTCTAATGACTCATTGTTGTGCTTGCCTTGGTTCATTCTTTCAGGTTAATTTGATCCAATTTTCTTTACTTTCTACTCACAAATGTTGACGTGAAAGGCAGGAGCTCAGATGACAGCCCAGTGGAGGAATCTGTTCCTTCCTGCTGTGGACATTTCATCTGTGCTGTGGTCTGAATGCTTGTGTCTCTCCCAGAATTCGTGTTGAAATCCTAACCCTCAAGGTGATGGTATTGGGAGGTGGGGCCTCGGGAGATGATGGGTTCATGAGGGTGGAGCCTCATTCATGGGATTAGTGCCCTTATAAAGGAGACCCCAGAAAGCTCCCTCACCACTTCCACCACCGGGGACACAGGGAGAAGTTGCTGTCTATGTACTAGGAAGTGGGTTCTCATCCAACACTGAATCTGCTGGTGCCTTGACCTTGGACTTCCAGCCTCCAGACCTGGGACCACTACATTTCTGTTGTTTAAAAGCCACCCAGTCTAGGGTAAGTAGCTAAGCTACCCAGTCTAGGGTAAGTAGCTAAGTAGCACCCTGAAGGGACTATAATGATTTGCCAGGATCTGGGTCATGTCAGGGGAAGCAGGCCTGCCCAGGGGTCCCTCTCTGCTGTATTCCACCTAAACTCCATTTCTTCCCCTAAGCCCGAGTTCTTCCTCAACTCCAGGCGTTACCTGGGAATGAGAGGTTAAAGTTATTCTCTTCAGAATAGTCGCCTTCCCCTCACAGCCACGGGTACCCTGGATTCCCAGCAGTCACGGCACCATCAGCCCTGCCTTTTATTCTCGGGACTCATGGGATCACTCCCCTTTGCCCCCTCCCCTCAGCATCCAGCACCCCTCAACTCAGAGCCCCCATTTGTGGGGAGCCCGCTCTGCTCTGGCTTTGAAATGGATTCCTGATCATGAAAGCGACATTTGTAAAAGGGTTTTTAGAGGCCCTGCTATTCCCTCGTGGAAGAACAGCGCTCTGCAGCACTGCTGTGTGGGTGGAGGCAGAAGACGGACGGGAAGGCAGCTCCCTGGGGTGCTCCGCTCATGGCTTCAAGTTAGCACCCCGGACAGGGTGAAGCACAGAACGCTGTGGCCTGCAACTGTCCTGATGTGATTGCCTCTTTTCACAAAGTTCAGACACACATACACACAGACATACATACAGACATACACACACAGACACACATAGATACACACACAAGCATACACACACACACAGACACACACAGACACACATAGACACACAGACACACACACAGACACACACGTAGACACACAGACACACACACAGACATACAGACATACACACAGACACAGACATACACACAGACACACACACACAGACACAGACACACATGTAGACACACAGACACACACATAGACACACACACACACACAGACATACAGACACCCACATAGACACACAGACACACACATATTAGACATGCAGACACACACACACAGACACAGACACACATAGACACACACATATAGACACACTCACACACACATGCCCTCATGCTAGCACAGAAGGATTTGACTTAGGGTCGGATTAAATATTCAAGTTTCCTTTTAAGTGAAAACTGCCACAGAGAAGTTGGGAAGTATGTCCCCCAGGCATCTTGCAGAGTGAGAACCCCAGCAGGTGCCACCTGCTGAGGCAGTGCCGGGCACCAGGGGGACAGGCTGCTATCTGGAGAGTCGCCCCACACGGCGGCTTCTCTGTACACTGGTGCACCAGGTCCAGTACTGGTTGGTCCATACCACATCTCTATCTCTGCTCCATGGGCAGCCCTCCCTCGCTGCCTCCCTTCATTCATTCATTTGCTATGACGTCCTTATACATGACACCTCGGGTACATGTGCAGGAGTTTCTCGTGGGTGCAAAGAGATGTGTGTACATGTATACACATGCATACACACAAGCATGTATATTCACATGTGTATACACATATAAACAAGCACATACACATCACACACACACATACACAACCAACCAGAGATAGAATTATAGAATCGTTGTATGGAATTATTGAATGGAATTCACATGGAGAGCATAAACTTTTGAGGAGAGCATGCCAAGCTTTTTTCCAAATTGGTTGTGCCAGTTTATACTCCCAACAGCAGAACGTGAGCATACTATCCCACGTATCAGAGAAGCTCTATGTCTTCCCTAACATGTGGTATCGTAAGACCTTTTAACTTTTTGCCAGTTGAATGGGGATAAATTGAACTTCGCTGATCAAATAAGGTTCACTTCTCTCTACATTTTTAGTGGCCATGTCCGATTCCTCTCCTGTGAAATGCCTGTCCGTGTTCATTGTACTGCATAGTTTCTGCTTTTATTTTGGAAAATTTTGAGCAATTGCAGAAGTTGAGGGAATAACACTAGGAACTTTCTTGCTCCCACTGTGCAACAAATATCACTCACAGAAAATTTTGTTCCACTTTAAACTCCATCTCTTCCCCTAAGCCCACATCCACCAGACTATTTTTGAAGAAGTTTATTATCACATTATTTCAGCTACAAGTATTTCAAGAAGTGTCTCTAAAGATAAGGTCACCCTTTACACACACACACACACACACACACACACACACACACACACTGCAAAACCAATACAGTGCATAACAATTTAATAATAATTTTTTAGTATCATCAAATGTCAGGTCTTTGACTTTCACCAGTTATCTGATCTGTAATAGTTTGTGTGAGTCAGGCTCTAAGAGAGGCTCATATACCGTGGTTGGTTGACACACCTCTTAAGTCTCATTTAATATGTGGTCTCCTTCTACATCTTGCATATTTCTTGCCTTGTTAAAGAAACTGGACCACTGTCCTGCAGTGTTCTGGGCATTCTGGATCTTTCTGCCTGCTTCTTCATTGCATCCTTGAACATGGTCCCCTGTCTCATGTAGCTCCTGTCTTTTGTCAGTTGGGTCTAGAGTCTCACCAATATTCAGGTGGGGTCGTCTGCCCTTTGGATGTCTGGTTGTCTTTTTCTTCAGTTTTGGTGATTGCCAAGATCCAATAACTCACTAGGAGTGATCAAAGAGTGATACCCTCATTCTAGCACTTCTTCATTGATGAACTGGAATACTTCCTTAAAAGAAACTTGTCATTCTACCAAGAAAAAGTTATGACTGAGGAACCACAACATTCTGTCTAAAAATCCACTTACATGGCTCCTTATGGAAAGTCCTTAGATCTGGCAACATGGGATTGCATTCATTCATTCATTCATTCATTCATTGGAAAACACGTGCTGAGCCCCTATGTGTGAGGCACTGCTTTAGGGGATAGACCTTTGCCTGAACAGGGCAGACAAATCCACATCTTTGTCCTGATTTTCTGCTGGATGGAGACAGACACATAAATAATCCATGAGCTGGATGGGGTGGTGGGAGGTGGTGGGGCAGGCAGGGAATGGGATGGACTCTCAGTGTAGCTGGAAATCGTTTGTGTCTGTGTCTAGGGCTGCCCTGACAGGGACCACAGACTCGGCAGCTTTCACAACAGAAAGTTACTTCCTTGTAGCTCCGGAGGCTGGAAATCAAAAGTCAAGGTGTCCACAGGGTGGGTTCCCACCCCACCTCTCTTTGGCTTGCCGGGGCACCCTCTTGCTGCGTCCTCACCTGGTTGTCTCTCTGCGCAAGCAAAGCCAGGGTGTCTCCCTGTGCCCTAATCTCTTTTCATGAGGATACCAGTCAGATTGGCTTAGGGTTCCCCTTGTGGCCTCATCTTAGCTGATTTACCTCTTAGAAGGCCTTGTCTTCAGACACAGGCACATTCTGAGGCGCTGGGAGTCGGGACTTCAATGCAGGAAGTTTGCAGGGACATATCCAGCCCGTAAAGCCCTTACCAATGTCAAGCATGGAATTGCTAGAGTCAGATTTTCTTTAAAATCCACTGCAGCTGTTCTGCAAGGACAAGACTGACAGGGCAGGGGGGAGGAGCAGGAGGCCAGCTCCAGGAGGGATGGTGGTGGCGCGAGCAGCGTCCATGGTGACAGAGGTGGAGGGCCAGGATCTGGGTGCGTGCTGGGCTTGGGGCTGTCAGACTTGCCAACGCATTTGATGGGAGGCTGAGGGAGAGGGATTCAGGATGGTGCCCAGTGTTGAACCTGAACATCTGAGTGTGCCGTTAACTGAGAAGGGGAAGAAGGAGAGAAGAGCGTGTCTGAGTGGGGAATCCAACACAACAACGTTAACTTCAGTATGCCTGTGAATAGACAGGTGGAGAGGGCAAGTAGGCGGCCTTAGGAGGGAGGTCACAGAAGGGTCAGGGCCTTACTACTGGGCATCCTCAGCAAACATGGTTTTTAAAGTGAAGGGAAGTTTGTCTTGGAAGAGGCTACAGATTATGAAGGGATGAGGGCTCCGAGTGGAAATCTGGGGCACAGCAATAGTGAAAGGGAATAAGTGAGGGGGAGGAAACCCAGGGGAGCGTAGGTGGTTACGGTGGGAGGAGGGATGGCCCACCGCACCCACACGGAGGATGCACATGGACAGGGCAGACCCGTGCCAGGCTAAGGATGGAGACTGACTGCAGCGTTTACAGGAGAAGCCGGGATTTCTGGAAGAAGACATAGTGAGGCCTCCTGTGTTTCTGCCTGCCTGCCTCTCCACCCCTCCATCCTACAGCCCCACGCATGTGAAGCGCACCCACAGGGCCTGAGCTGCTAAGCCACCCAAAGAGGACAACCAGGCCCCTCCCCAGAGGGAATTGAAGGCTGATTTGTCACTCCTGGGGTGCGCCTGCTGGAAAGAAAGAGAAATCCTTGTCTCGGTGTTACCCGATCACCTCTATATTTTAAAAATAAAGCCACTAAGCAATTCGAAATAACACTTCAAATTTGCTAGATGTGTTTTACATTTATACAATTTTATCCTAATTAATACTTATAATTCCTATGTGCTCACTCTGTGCCTAGCGTGTGATACAAAATATGGTAACCTAATTCAATATCCAAATCCCTATAGCCCTGGACCCATCATTCCAAGACACCTGCTTGTCCCTGCCCTTGGCTCCCTGTGATAAAATGCTATTTTGTGCTATGTTTAAAAATTCATCTGTGAGAGATACTTGTTAATTTTTACTTGCAGCGAACTTAGGCAAGGAGGAGTGCTTTTACATAATGTTCCTAAACTAGTGTGTGTGTGAACGTAGTAATTGGTTAATTATAATTGAACAAAATAATTGAGGTCATTATAAGTGGGTTAATTACTTTTTGTTAAGGAGGCAATTTACTGTCTTATAACAAATGCAGTTTAAAATGTAATGAGCACAATTCTCTATAATAAGTATGGAAAAATGTGTGTTATATTCATATATATATAAATCAAAATTACAAGTCAGCTTTTATTGGAATTATGGGAATAAACCTTTCAATATTATAAGAAAGCTCTTTGTTCTTTACAGTGGAAAGATCTGCACAGTAACTCAACTTTGTGGTAACAGAATAGAACATTTGCTTTAAATTGCATGGTATCAGGAATGTAAATGTTTTCTAACCTATTCTTCTATTTTTTCCACCCACCAAAGCCTTTATATTCCCAAGACAACTACCTTCACACAAGGCTTCTCATTAAATCCCAGTGAGACAGCCCACTCATCTAAACATAATTTTAACCAAGATTGAATCAGATAATTTGAGACCCAGGTGAGAGGCACTTAATCTGAGATTGAGATAGAGGAAGGAAATCTGGAAACCTTTAATGAGAAAAGGGCATTCAAGTGGGGTTCTGTGGATGGTTAGGAGTTGGACAGACATGGGAGGCTGGTCGGTGGGTGGGGCAGTTTTACCTGCACAGGTAACAGCATATGAAGACATCTAGTAGTGGGCTCAGAGCTTAAGGGAAAAGTTGAAGAAGGGGCTTTGTCCAACTATATGTACATGTCCCCTGGATAAAAGGACAAAGATACATACAGATAGCCCATGGCAAGCACCTTAAACAGTCATGGACAGAAAAATGCACTGAAAACTGCTCCAGCTACTTCCCTTCACCTCAGATTTGCAGGAGTTCCAAAGCTTGATTCCAGGCTTTGTTGACAAAACACACACTCTCATATAGTGCCCTTGGGGTAGAAAAGTGGAAAAACTCTTGAGGAGGAAAATTGGCCTTATAGGAAAATTATAGATGCATTTACCCTTTAACCCAGAGCTCCCCTTTCTAGTAATTTACCCTGAAGACCTACCTTCATAAATACAGTAAATACAAGATTATTCCTTGCAGCATTATTCATACAGCCAGTTATTGAAAACAACCTAAGTGCTACCCATAGGAGACCAGTTGAATAAACTACAGGATATCTATGCATGGGGCACTGCAGAGCCCTAGAAAGAATGAGCACAATCTCCATGAAATTCAGGTAATTTCCAGGATTTACTTTAAAGATTTTTACCAAAAGACTATAAATGAAGTATAGTATACTCATACTGTGCCCTATCTACACACAGTTGACCTTAAACAGCATACATTTGAACTGTGTGAGTCCACTTATCAATGCAGATGGAAAACACGGTACTTGCGGGATGCAAAACCCACCTATAGGGCTGACTTTCTGCATTCACAGGTCCTACAGGAGCGACTGTGGGGCTTGGGACTTGAGTAGTTGCAGATATGGGTATATGGGGTTGCAGAGGGACATGTCTTGGAACCAATCCCCAACAGACCCTGAGGTACAACTGTATACATGTGGATATATTTATGTGTAATGCTACCTTTCATGTAAGAAGTGAGGGCAAGTAAAAATAAATATTTATATATTTGCTTACCTTGTAAAAACAAAACAAAATAAACAAACAAAAAACCAACACATAGATGGAATTCCTCGGAAGAGAACAGAAACCCCTCTTATAGGGAAGAAGAATGAGTAGCAATGGGGTGCGAAAGCTAAGGTTGGCATGAAGACTCCTCAGAAGGCACCTTCAAATGATGTTGTGGGCTTCTGAGTGGCGTGTCCATGTGCTAAACCCCAGAAATTCCCAGCTCTGTCCACTGAAAGGGTTTCAAAGGCTGACACCCCCATAGTCATAAGAAAACATGCATCCTGAGCTTGGTGTGTAAGCCACACTCCCCGATGAAGGGAGCCAGGGAGCATCCTTGGAGCAGTAGCTGGCTCCAGGTCTGGAGCAGGCGACATACAAGATGAGCCTGGGGTATTTTGTTGGTCCAGGAAATAAGGGCATGTCCAGTTATCAGCGGGAACACGTAGAGAGGACACAGTCGTTGGTTCAAAGAGGCTCCTATGACCAAATTTTTAAAAACGGCATACTCGGAAGAATAATGATGGCATTGGATTATAACATCTCGACTAAAAAATAATTGATGGATTTATTGTGACAAAGGCACGACGGAATTATAAAATCACTGTTTTCAACCTCCACTTTAATAACAAGCACAGGCAACGGTCTCTGAATGGACGACAAAACTGGGGAAGGGGTGACTGTGCAGCCCGAAAGCATCACATCCCAAATCACTTATTCCTGAGAAATAGAAAGGGACCTTTGCAATGGAAAGGTCTGGCAGACACCACCTTAATCAGTTGATGAAACACAGCTTCATGAGGGATGGACCTGCCAGCTAACGTGCTGCAAAGAAGACTGCTTGGCAACAGCGATGCAGCTTTCTTGTCAAAAGGCTTTAATCTGATTCTAACATGAGGAGACAGAAAAAATTCAGGTTGTGGAAAATTTACAATGCAATTAGCCTGGACTCTTCAGAGATAAAAGGGAGGAAGGAAGTCCTACATCAGGGACTACAGAGACATCACAACGAAATGCAGCGTGATCAATCTATGATTTGATCCTGGATTTTAAAAAAACTACAAAGACATTTTTGGAGATAATTTCAATATAAACTGTACATTTAATAATATCATTATATTAATTTTAATATTTTTGAGCACAACAATATTATTGTCATGGAGAATATCCCATTTCTAAAGAGAAACACACTGAAATAGTGATAGATGAAATGTCAATATATCTGCAAGTTACTTTCAAAAGGTTTGGCCGGGCCGGGCGCAGTGGCTCACACCTATAATGTTATCACTTTGGGAGGCCGAGGTGGGTGGATTGCCTGAGCTCAGGAGTTCAAGACCAGCTTGGGCAACATGGTGAAAACCCATCTCTACTAAAATACAAAAAACTAGCTGGGTGTGGTGGTGTGTGCCTGTAATCCCAGCTACTCGGGAGGCTGAAACGGAAGAATCACTTGAACCCGGGAGGCAGAGGTTGCAGTGAGCCAAGATCGCACCACTGCACTCCAGCCTGGGTGACAGAGCGAGACTCCATCTCAAACAAAAAAAAAAAAGAAAAAAAGAAAAAAGATGGTTTGGCCAAAAAGGTGGTATTGAATTGCATACAGAAAGATAAAAAATAATGCACAATTGTAACAACTGGGGAACCAGAGTGAAGATCATGTGGGTGCTCCTTGTGCGATTCTTTCAACCTTTCTGTGGATTTTTACCTGTTTAAAATAAAACACTGGAGGAAAAGGTGACTTGCATGTAGAATCTCAGCAGATATTAAAGGAGTCATAGTATCTAGCAGACAGGTTTTAAAATTTACATGGAGATATCTCTGTGTGTTTCTGCTCTACTGTTTTATGGTTTAGGGTGTGTGTGTGTGTGTGTTTACATGCGTGTGTGTGTTTCTTTGTTGAGTTATATGGATCTGTGTTCCCCATCTAACCTTACAGTGGTGATCTATGCATAATACACATAATTGCCAGACTAAGCCACCATGATGAGTCTTGAGTTTTGAGGCTGGGGAATATCACTGTCCCCTGGTAACATTTTCAAATTTAGAGCTTTAATCATGGTGCTAAGGGGGGAGCAGCAGGGGAAGAAATAATGTCACTTTTTGGCCTTCAGGTCTGATTTCTGACTTGTATTAGAGAACATTACAAAGAAATATATATTTTCTCTATTCCTTTTCACCATTTACTCTGAAAGGCACACACATTTAATCTCATTTATGCACAAACTCAAAATCTGCCTTATTTGAATCATGGTTTGAGGTGACCACAGCATCATCTGAGAAAGCCTCCAGAAATGTGTGTTTGTGTTTGGGGCGTGGACTCGGAGTGAGAGGCCTTGGTGATTTTTTCCATGTTTCAACCCAAGCATTTGGGTTGGTGCTCTGTGGAGCAGTCAGTGGTGCTCTGTGGAGCACTACCTGTTGTTCTTTTGAACAATTCCCCTGTCTTAGGAGGGAAGCATATGAGTGTGTAGGAAATGTAAACATTTGCTTGTTTCCAACCTGACCAGTTGACAACAACCTCCTGAGAGTGAGTTTGACTCTAATTTTTGAATACTTCCTGTGGAGTAACACATATAAGAAGCACTGTTTAAAATGTCCTGTAACAACTGAGTCATTCTGTATCTACTTATATGTTTTTTCAAAGATCCATTAATTGGGGAAGGCGTTACTAACATCTTCCAATTCAGTTTCATTCAATAATTCTTTTTTTTTTTTTTTTGAGATGGAGTCTTGCTCTGTCACCCAGGCTGGAGTGCAGTGGCGTGATCTCGGCTCACCACAACCTCCACCTCCTGGGTTCAAGTGATTCTTTTGCCTCAGCCTCCCAAGTAGCTGGGATCACAGGTGTGTGCCACCACACCCAGCTATTTTTTTTTTTTTTTGTATTTTTAGTAGAGACGGGGTTTCACCATGTTGACCAGGCTGGTCTTGAATTCCTGACATCAGGTGATCCACCCTCCTTGGCCTCCCAAAGTGCTAGGATTACAGGTGTAAGCCGCCACACCTGACCATAGTTCAATAATTCTTTAATTAAATATGCTGGGCATGCTAAGAAAGCATGGGCCCTTTGAAGACCTTGGCATATGATGTACATGGTTAGGAAGGCACTGTTGTGGAGAACGAAGCAGGATTTTGCTTATATAATGCTGTAAAAGCAAAACCTAATCTTACCTGCTTTTTAGAATCTTGATGAAAGTGTTTTAATCATCTGTCAGCCACATTCATGTTTTAAAAACTAGGGTGTATTTTTTGGACTTACTTATTTTTGTCATCTTCAGAAGAGGTATCAACATCAACAGCATTAGGTTTGATGCTCTGTAGAAATAAGTAGCACAGCTACTACTCTTTATGAGCTACACTTTAGTTTCAATTCACTCCTTTTATTTTTGTAGAATGAATTATCATAGATGGAGGCCTAAGGAAAAGTAGGCAACGGCAAAAACCTCTGTCCGCGGTACTGAAACTCTCCTCTCCAGGGCTCAAAACTTTTGTGTTCATTCTATCCATCTTCAACCGGCAATTCTTTTGAAATTTTTCCTTTTATTGTCTCTTCCTCTTTAATTCCATTGCCACTGACATATATCAGGGCCACATTATTTCCTGAAATGCTTACCCCATTAGCTGAATGGCCCTGCATACTGGGGAGAAGAGAGGAGGATGTCATCTCTCCATGGAATTTTTCCTTTGCACATCAGATTATTTCCTAAATTAACTGATGTCTGTAGGTCTTAAGTTACAGGCCAGATGATATGATTTTGGTAGAGTGTATTAGTCTGAATTTAGATGTCAGTAGTATTTGAATGATAAAGGAATTGTTTTATTTTAGTGACTATAAATCACAGTGGGCTAAAAAGCTCAGCAGTTTGATGAAAAAAATATTCATTCTTTCCTCACCTCACATCCAGTGAAGCATGTGGCAGGCAGCATCCGCACAGGGATCAGAGGTCTAGTAGTGCCCTGTGCCTCAGTGACCCTCGAAGGCCTTGCTGTTATACAACTTTGTAAAGAATGTGGGAAATGAAAGAGATGAAAAATTTTCTAGACTATGTGGATGCCAACTTCAGAATAGTTCTTAAATTCATGTTTCATGGCCACAAAAAGTGACTTTTCATTAGTTTCTTTAATCGGTCATTTAGAAGACACAGAACTTCCCTTAGAGTATCTCTCGTTTTCTTTGTTGTACCACAGAATACCATTTTTCAAGTGCTAGGGTAAAACTTTGCTACCTTGAAAGCAGTGGTCCCCAACCTTTTTGGCACCAGGGACAAATTTTGTGGATGACAGTTTTTCCACTGACCAGGTGTGGTGGAAGAGGGGTGGTTTCAGGATGATTCAAGTGCATTACATTTATATGCACTTTATTTCCATTATTATTACACTGTAAAATATAATGAAATAATGATACAACTCATCATCACGTAGAATCAATGTGAGCCCTGAGCTTGTTTTCCTGCAACTAGACGGTCCCATCTGGGGGTGATGGGAGACAGTGACAGATCACCAGGCATTTAATTCTCATAAGGAGTGGGCAACCTAGAACCCTCCTATACACAATTCACAACAGGGTTCATGTTCCTATGAGAATCTAATGCTGCCACTGACCTGACAGGTGGCGAAGCTCAGGCAGTAATGTGAGCGATTGAGAGGGGCTGTAAATACAGATGAAATCTAATGCTGCCACTGACCTGACAGGTGGCGGAGCCCAGGCAGTAATGTGAGCGATTGAGAGGGGCTGTAAATACAGATGAAGCTTTGCTCACTGGCCACTCACCTCCTGCTGTGTGGCCCGGTTCCTAACAGGCCACGGGCTGGTACTGGTTTATGGCCCAGGGGTTGGGAACTCTTGCTTTAAATAATTCGTAAGAAAGTATTTGCACATATTACCAAGATGTTTTCCTTTAACTTCAGTGAATAAGAATGACCAATTTAAAGGAAAGATGTGAATCATTGCTTTACTATGCCTTAAAACCAAAGAACTCATATGATTTTTAAATTAGATTTTTAAAATATTTTGTCTTTGTTATTTACTGGTTAATATAGCCAACACTTAGAAAATGGTTTTAATTATAATTTGTTTTAACAGACAATTTTTTTGAAACATACTATCATCCATGTGGTATCCTAATGAGATCATCCTAATGCAATAAAAATTTAGGCATAAAACCATACGTATCTTTGAAAAACATTATGTATATTTCATGTTTATAATTGCAAAATGTATGCGTACCAACAATATGGGGTTGATCAATAATAATCAACAATTGATAAGTATTTATTTAGTGTTTGCCATGTGCCAGATAGAATACCAGACACCGGCCATCATTAAACATTGAAGTGCAAGACAGTTCTACTTAAATATCAAACATAAATGTGCTGAAGAAAGGTAGAGCAAAAATCTAGTCTATCTCCAATATCATCACCCCATTATGTATTTTATATCCAGTTACAATTTTGACCTATTTCCTTTTGAAAAAAGAATAATGTTCCAAGAGTTTTCAGTCATGAAAACTCAATGACATGACTGGCATCCTTAGAAGAGACACAGATACGGACTCACAGGGAGAAAGCCTCGTGACGGTGGACACAGAGACTGGAGTGACGCATCTATACACCAAGGGTCCCTGGGGATTCCCAGCAACACCAGATGCTGGAAAGGACAAGAAAGGGTTCTCCTGCAGGTTTCAGAGGGAGCACAGCCCTGCAGACACATTGATTTTAGGGTTCTAGCATCCAGAATGCAAGACAATCCACTTCTGTTGTCTTAAGCCACCCAGTTTGTGTATTTGGTTAGGGCAGCCCTTGGAAACTAATGCAATGTATTACCAATGAACTCGGAAAACAAATCATAAAATGTAGAATGAATTCCTTTTAATCTCATTAAAGTTAGACATAATCAAATCTACAGTTGTAACCAATCCTTTATAGGTTTGGCTGCTTCCAGGGAGCTCCACATGGAAGCAACAATGTGAGGTTTGGTCAGAAGCAGTGGGCGGCTCTTCCAGGGAATCGGAGCCCTGGCTGCTGCTGTGGGACCTTCTGCTCCACACCTGCACGTGTGCTGGCTTCCGCTTGTTAAATGCAGGCCTGTGGACCTACCTCCCCCATGTGTGATATGGAGGTACTATAAAAGATGTGGGGAAAGTCTGGATCCGTTCTCCAGGGAGCGGTGGTCTGGGTCACGGTGAGAAGCAGTGCCTCTCAACCCCTCAAGCCACAAACAAAATCAAGAGACATGGAGGTGCGTGAGTGTCTCAGGATTTAGTTTGGGTTAATTGAGTTATCTGGAGAAAAAACCCCATGAGGCCTTTTTGACTCTGAATTGTCTTAGCATTATTTTCAGTGAGAGCTGGAGAGTTTCCCGATTTCTATAGAAAACTGTCTTGGTGCTATTTAGTCTTGAGTGGGATTGCTGTAGTTTATAACCTGTTAAATATTCCTTAACATATTTCTCAGTGATGTGGCTGTGAATCTCAAAGATGAAAAATGTGAGAAGCTGCTAAATTGATCTTCTCATGAGGTCACTAGAAAACATGCAAATAAGTAGGTTCTTAAAAATATTTTAAGTTTTTGGCATAAAATTATTCCTGGAGTGAGATGTGAAGTTGCAGGGAAGAGGGTCAGGTTCCACACGAGAGCGGGAGCTTGAGGCCACGTGGCCACGGGTATGGGAGGCCACGCGCCCAACACAGACCCCATGTGGAGGATTTCCATTGCACTAAATAAGTACAGGGCCCTGCAGGGCTTTGAGAGAAAGCCTAAAAGGGACATCTCCCCACACTCAGCCCCTGGGAAGGCCTCTCTTGGGAGGTGACATTTAAGCTGAGAGTTGAGAGAGAGGCAAGGGGGCTGTGGGAGGAGGGCAGGGCTGGGAGGGAGCTGCCAACATCTGGGAGCCCAGACGCTTTATTTCTTTTTTTTGAGATGGAGTCTCACTCTGTCGCCCAGGCCAGGGTGCAGCAGCACGATCTTGGCTCACTGCAGCCTCTGTCTCCCAAGTTCAAGCAATTCTTCTGCCTCAGCCTCCTGAGTAGCTGGTATTACAGGTGCCCACCACCATTCCCGGCTAATTTTTTTATTTTTAGTAGAGACAGGGTTTCACCATGTTGGCCAGGCTGGTCTCGAACTCCTGACCTCAGGTTGATCCTCCCGTCTTGGCCTCCCAAAGTTCTGGGATTACAGGCTTGAGCCACCACAACCGACCCGCTTGCTTTCATCCACTCGTTTTCCAGGATGAGATGATGACAGCCAGGTTTCACAAGAAGTTCCCCGGACTCATTTAAAATCTACAGTGCACTCAGCAACTATTGTTCAGCTTCGTAATTAACATCTTGACGAGGCACTGAAATATCCTCGGATGGCTCTGGAGTCACTGGAGAAAGAATGTATTGTGTTCAATATAATTTTCTTGTTAAGTGAATTTTAATTTTTGAGAGCTGTTATTCTAGTAATTATGTATATGATAACTTGATTAAGAAGAATGGGTGGTTCACCAAGACTTTGGAACTCTAGTAGAAATCGGACTGCACTCAGATTTGCAAAAATACTGTTTTGAACTTATTTTAAAAGGTTAGGGGATGCTTTCCTTGGATCAAAAGATTAAGAAGAATTTTTGTACATATAAAACACTTTTATTTTTATTTTGTTTTTTCTGAGGCTAGGTCTTGCCCTGTGGCCCAGGCTGGAGTGCAGTAGCATGATTATAGTTCACTGTGGCCTTGAACTCCTGGGCTCAAGTGATCCTCCCACCTCAGCCTCTGGAGCAGCTAGGACTACAGGCACACAACCACACCTGGCTCATATTTATAGTTTTTTGTAGAGATGGAGTCTTGCTATGTTGCCCAGGCATGTAGTTAGGTTTTGGGCAGCCCCTTCAGGTGGAAAATTATGAGGCAGAATAAAATTATGACCTTAGGATAAACATGACAACAATTTGAAAACACAGCCAAGAAAATAACATTCTGGGCAAGCTCTGTCTGAGGCCAACAGGGAACCAGGGCTGTTGGCGGTCAGTCCAGTCCCACTTGGCTGAGGGCACCTGAGGGGCTCTAGAGCGAGTGGGTGCTGAGATAAGCAAATGTAATTAAAGGTATAAAAATATGATCAATAAGATCAATTTGTCCATCTCTTGGAGCACCCGCATGGCATGTATATTTGACCTATACTTTAAGTCATTTTTCAAGATTTTATTTTCTCTTCTTAGTGTGATGTCATCGTATTCTTGGTCCTTAAGAAACTGTGCTGTCTGAAAATACATCAACTATTTGCCAGCTGTGCGGGCCTCCGGGTACTTTCTCTGTCCAGTCCTGGCTTCTCGAGGGAAGATGGACCCTCCTGGAGTTGTATGAAGTTGTCACTGTCTCATGTGGTTGTGATCTTGTGTGGAGACACTTGGTGCTCTGTGTTGGTACACTGCATTTGGTCCTTGTTATGTTTTGAGGATCAGAAAGAGGCAGCTTATTCCCTGAGCCTGGGCTTAGGCAGGAAATTGACATGTGTCCAAACTTCTCATCCATGGTACTTTGTGACCTTGTGAGTTGCTAAGAATGGATTCCAAGGAGATCCCATGAAGTTTTCCATATATAGGCTTTTATCCGGACCTAGACTCGGGTTAACCCCGGTAACAGGCCTGCGTGGGGTGGACAAGAAGACAGCCTCGACCCACAAAGGCAACTTACAAAGCCTGATCATAGGAGGTGATGCCATTGATTACCGGTGATTCTCAGCTATTTAAGATACTTTTTTTTTAGCCTCAAGTGCATAGGATTGAGTTAGTCACAATCTCAGTTCAAGGCACATCTCGTCTTTAATGCATCTCTCTATGTATCTGTTTGCCTCCTTTTTGCCCTCACTTTCCCGTCACAAAGAGGCAAATATCCTCGTGGGCTCAGATCTTTCCATGTTACTTTGCACTCCCGAGTCTGTTGCTTATAGCCAGGGGCTGTGACACATTCCAGAGCATTCCACGCACCCACACATCATCTGATATGGTCTGGTTGTGTCCCCACCCAAAATCTCATCTTGAATTGTAATCCCCATAATCCCCACATGTTGAGGGCGGGACTAGGTGGAGGTGATTGGATCACAGGAGTGCTTTCCCTCATGCTGTGACAGTGAGTGAGTTATCACGAGATCCGATGGTTTTCAGAAGCATCTGGCATCTCCCCTGCGTGCACTCGCTCCATCCTGCCACCTTGTCTTCAGGTGCCTGCTTCTCCTTTGTCTTCTGCCATGATTGTAAGTTTCCTGAGTCCTCTCCAGTTATGCGTAACTGTGAGTCACTTAAGCTTCTTTCCTTTATAAATTACCCAGTCTCAGGTATTTCTTCATAGCAGTGTGAGAACAGACTAATACATCATGCCTGTTCATTCCCCCAGCATCACATGGCCACGAGTAAGGCTGCATGAGCGTCCTCACATGCATCCATGGGCCTGCGTTGAACACGTTCTCAGGAATGAAGTTCTGAGTCATTGGCTGCCTGTTCTTAATCTGAATAAACATCGCCAGGATGCCTTCCACCATGGCTGTGCCACCTGCACCCACCTGCAGCTCATGGAATCCTGTGCTCCTGTGCCTGCCTTAGTCCCTGGTACCACCCAGCATCCTAATTTGTCAGTCTGACACTTGTGTGAAGTGGTGTCTCACTGATGTTCTAATTTGCATTTATCTGACATGACTTTAACCATCTCTTTACATACATGTTAGCCATTGGGTTTTCTCTTCTGAGACTCACCTGTCCACACCCTATGCAACTTTTCTGTTTGATTTCTTTCTGTCTTTTCTTTGGATTCACAGACTTTCCCTGTTTTTCTTAATATCAGTCCCTTGATGGTTTTCAAAATTGTAAATATCACCTCCCAACCTATCTGCCATGTGTTAACTTTGTCCATTTTGTTTTTCAGTGAATAAAACCCCTAGATTTTGATATTGTCAAATCCATTATTTTGTAGGGAGATATTTTCGTTTAAACATCTTTCTCTATTCTCAAGTCACAGAAGTATACTCCTCCATTATCTTCTCTGAGCTTTAGAGTTTAAATTTCTACTTGCAGGCCTTTAGCCTTCCAGGACTCCCCTGCTACACATAGTGCTACAAAGAATGTGCCCTCATCTTCTTCATGTAGTAATCCAGTTTTCCTGAAACCACCGATATAAAATTCATCCTTTCCCCCATTGACTTGTGATGCTGAGCTTCTGTGTATATGTGGTCTCTCTCTGAGCTTTCTACTCTGGCTAATTGATCTATTGTCTGTTTTTGCACCAGTACCATACTTGTAAAGATTACTATTACCATCACTATTAGTGTCTTGCAGTCTATATTTACTAGGTCAAGTCTCGCCTCTGTACCCTGTTTTTTCACAGTTAATTAGGCTACTTCTGGACCTTTATTCATCCAAGCAAATTTTAGCATGAATTTATGAATGTCTCAACATCCAGCTAGAATTTTGATTGGAATTGCATTTAATTTGTAGACAATTTGGGGATACTGACATTTACATTTTATATGACTATACTTGATACTGCTAAAGTGTGCTCCTACCCCAAGAACACAGTCTATGTTTTTATTTACTTAAATACTTTAACTTTCTTTAATGGAAACTGACTTTTTTTTAGTGTAAATATGGTCAATACTGAACACGTGGTTCTTTTGTGCAAGACTAGGTGGCATGCTTTTAAAATGCATCATCTGATTCAATACGTAAGACATTTATTCAGCACAGATTTACTGCATCTCTGCTATGAGCCAGGCCCTGCTCCAGGCACCAGGAAAGCACAGGAAAAAACCAAAGCCCTCTGCCCTGGCGGGTTCATGCTCTAGTGGGGTGAGACAGACCATGAACAAAGCAATAACAGTAATAATAATCAATTGTACAGCTCACACTCACTGAGGAGTAGAAACCAGGTAGAGTTGGACATGCTGGAGATTTCTTGGAGAGGGAGTAAAGAGAGACTTCAGACCACGCTGCAGGTCCAACATCTGTGAGAAGGAGAAAAGGCAAGAAAAGGTAGGGGTAGGAGAGTCTCAGCTTCAAGAAAGGTCTGTCCAGGCCAACAGGGCGTCCTGGGTGAAAAGTTGCTCCCTGAGGAGTGGTGTGTGTCCCTGTGATGGACCTGTCCCAGCCCGGTCCAGGGAGCACCACGGGGAGCTTGGCCTTGTTGTGAACATGGTGTTGCATCCCGAGGTGCATCAGTGGAGCCATGGGTCCATCGTGCTGCCCTGCAGGGGTGGGAGCTCTGCACTCCCAGGGCTGCCTCATGCATCCCGAGGTGCATCAGTGGAGCCATGGGTCCATCGTGCTCCCCTGCAGCGGTGGGAGCTCTGCACTCCCAGGGCTGCCTCATTAGTTAAATTATATGGAACCTTAGAAGGAGATGAGTGCCATGGCAGAAATCAGTGCGGCAGGATAAGGGGGACTGGGAAGCTGGGGGTGGAGCAGCTGTCATTTTAAACAGGTGTTGAGGGAAGGCCTTACGAATGAAGACTGAGGAAGCCCAGGAAGTGAGCCCTGCAGCCACCTGAGCTCAGGACACTCCAGGCAGAGACGGGAGCACACTGGGCTGTGTGCAGACGGTGGGAGACTGTGGGAGGCCAGCGTGACCTGCAGAGCAAGTTGGGGGAGAACAGCAGGGGAGAGGCCGCAGAGGTCACCAGGCCAGGTGGTGTAGCACCTCCTGGCCTCTGTAGGAATGGGGCTGCTACTCAGACTAAGATGGAGAGCCCCTGGGGTCTGAGTGGGAGCCGTCCTCTGCCCTCACTGGATTGCCCTGGCTGTGCGTTAGGAAGAGATGGAGAGGGAGCAGGGCAGAAGCGGGGAGACCTGCAACCCTCCACGCCAGAGGTGGTGGCTGCTTGGACCAGAGGTAGGTCACTAGGGAAGTGGAAAAAAGAACACATGTGTGGGTATATTTGGAAGGCAGAGTCAACAGGATTTTCTGAGGGATTGATACCAAAGGCTAGGTAAGAAGAGGATTCAAAACGGAGGAAATGATCACGAGTGTCAGGAAAGATGAGAACTGAGGATGGATGATTAAATTTAGCCACATGTCTAAATGTCTTTTTTATCCATTCTCCCAATATTTGCCTTTTGATTGGAGAGTTTAATCCATTTACATTTAAAGTGATTATTGGTATGGAGGGACTTACTTCTGTCATTTTGCTATTTGTTTTCTATATTATAGCGTTTTGTCTCTCATTTTCTGCATTGCTGTTTTCTTTTGTGTTTAGTTGATTTTTATAGTAAAACATTTAAATTTATATGTGTATATTATTTAGCAATTTTCTTTGTGGTTAACACAGAGACTAAATTTAACATTATAAAATTGTAACATTGTGATTTGAATTTGTACCATCATGACATTAATAGCATACAACAATTTTGCTTCTTCAGCAGCCCCTTTACCACCTCTTTCAGTTGTTGAACTCACAAAATCACATCTTTATGTATTTTGTGTCCAAAAACATAAACTAATTTTTTTTTTAATGCAGTAATCTCTTGTAGAAAACAAACAGTGGAGTTACATGTCATTGTTGGAATTATGCTAATTTTTATAATTGTCATATAATTACCATCACTGAGATCTTTATTCCTTGATGTTGCTTTTAGTTATTGTCTAGTGTTCTTTCATTTCAATCTTCAGGACTCCCTTTAACATTTCTTGAAGGTCAGGTCTCATGATAACAAACTCCCCCTGCATTTGTTTATCTGGGAATGTCTTAATTTCTTCTTCAGTTTTAAAGTACAGTTTTGCTGAATATAGAATTCTTGGTTGATGGGTTTTTAATTTAATTTTTTAGCACTTTGAATATATTAACTCGCTGCCTTCTGGCCACCAAAGTTTTTGATGAGAAATCTGCTAATATTTTTTGAGGATCCCTCTGTATGTGATGAGTCACTTCTCTTTTGCTGCTTTCAAAATTCTCTTTGCCTTTGTTGTTCAACAGTTTGATTATAATGTGTCTTAGTGTGAGTCTCTGAGTTCATCATACTTGTAGTTTGTTGAATTTCTTGGATGCTAATATTCATGTCTTTTAAGTCAAATTTTGGAAATTTTCAGCCATTATTTCTTTAAATATTCTCTCTCTATCCCTTTCTCTCTTTCCCCATTCTGTGACTCCTATAATGCATATGTTGATTCACTTAAGGGTGTTCCACAGGTACCTTAGACTCTGTTCAATTTTTCTTCAATCCTTTTTCTTTCTGTTCCTCAGAATGACTAATTTCCATTTTCCGATCCTTAAATATGTGGATTCTTTTTTCTGCCTGCTTAAATCTGCCTTTGAACCCCTTTAGTGATTTTTAAAATTTAACGTATTGTACTTTTCAGGTCCAGGTTTTATTTTTGGCTTCTTTTGGATTTTCTATCTCTTTATTAATATTTTCATTTTGTTCACACAGAAGCTCTTCCATGTCTTCCTTTAGTTCTTCAAGCATCTTTAAGACTGTTGTTTTAAAGTCTGTCTAGTAGATCTACCATCAGGTCTTTTTCAGGGACAGTTTTTGGTTTATTTTTTTCCTTTGAATGAGCCTTATTTTCCTGTTTTTTGGTATGTCTTATGATTTTTTGTTGAAACTGGACATTGGAATCTAATAATGTGGTAGCTCTGAAGGTCAGATTCTCCTTCCTCAGGATTTGCTAACATTTAAAAAATTGTTGTAGGCTGTCTCTGTGTCAAGGATCAGACTGAGATGTAGACTTTAGGTATTTGCAGGTGTTTTCTGAGTCTGTGCCTTTCCCTGGGCATGCATGGTTGCTGTGTAATTTTCCCTGCATATGCAGTTGCTTCTTAATATGCTGGTCTTCAACATCTGGCCCCCAAGTTGGGGGAGGGGGTAAGAAAAATAAAGTGGAAAAAATGTGCCGATTCTTTAAATCTCCTGGAAGTCACTTCAGCAGGAAGGACAGGGCCTTGCAACAATGAGGGGAGGTGCGACAACAATGATAGCAAGCCTCTCTGTCTGCAACTCTGTGATCAGAGCACAGATCCCTTGTCATTGGAGGACGGTATTCTCTTTGCCCATTAAGCTACCTGCAGGTTGCGAAAGGAACAACTGCCCAGCTGCCTGATAGAGGGCTGGGGGTGGAGAGCAGGCAACTGTTACTACGCCAAGAGGTAAAATTGACCAAATGTAACCATAATTTATCATTCGAGACATCCCCTGTGAGATGCAAGCCTTCAATAGACCCCAGAGTTCCAAAATAATTACTCTATTGCAATTGTTGTCTAAGTAGAGATGGATTCATATGCATTTGCTCTTTCATTTCCAGAAGCTTTCCTGTATTTCTTTTTAATAATAATGTCTCAAGAGGAAAGAGAGAAAAAGTGTAATCCTGCTGCCTTGACTACTTAATCTGTCAGTATATTTTCTTTTGAGATGCCTCTATTAATTCCTTTTTCTTTAATTCAAATCTAAGTATTTTGGAATGCTTTTAAAAGATTTTGTCAATCCAGATCATATGTCTTGTTAGTCTATTTACACAGATCATTTGTGTTCAAAAAGAGAATAAATTTTAATTTCCCCACAGTGAGATGCCAGAGAATGTGAATGCACTGAGTATTTAATATATTTGATTGTATTAAAAAATTATTAATGGACAAAACAATAAGAGATATAAAACACATAAATATATGATACCTAACGTATATAGATAAATATATAATACTCTATGTAATGCCTAGACCTCTCATTGAACTTTATTTTTATGGGTTTGTGGGCTGTTATTTATCTATAACAGAAAGCTTTAATTTGGAATGCTTTTTAAAAATTTTGTCAATCCAGATCATATGTCTTGTTAGTCTAGTTGCACAGATCGTTTGTTCAAAAAGAGAATAAATTTTAATTTCCCCGCAGTGAGATACCAGAGAATGTGAATCCACTGAGTATTTAATATCTTTGATTGTATTAAAAAATTAATGGACAAAACAATAGGAGATATAAAACACATAAATATATGATACCTAACATATACAGATAAATATATAATGCTCTATATAATGCCTACACCTCTCATTGAACTTTATTTTTATGGGCCTGTGGGCTGTTATTTATCTGTGACAGAAAGCTTTAATGTTAACTCTGGCTTTACTAGTTAAGTATTTTTTTTTTACTAATTTACATATATTATTCCAGTTATAATTATTATCTCACACTGTATTGCTTGACTTTTAAAATTATAGAATTATGAATTAAGGAAATTAGCAAATACAATCAAATCAATAACCAGAATCATCAGACTTCAGAAACCTCACAGAAATTTCAGGTGAAGAATGTTTTACAGGCTCGTATTTTTGCAATATTATTAGGGTTACACTAGAACAGACTGAAAAAGACATTAGCACATTTCAGTTGCATTTCATAACAACATTACATTTTCTAACATTTTAAAAGCAATTTTCAGCCAGTTTTGCTTATCCCCAAGGGGATTTCCATTTTAGAATGAAAAAAATGGCTTAGAAACATAGCTATGGAATATCTAAGAGGCAATTTTCTAAATTGTATGTAAATTAAAACATCTCGTGCTTCCCAGTCTTTCGCTCCATGGCGACTGTGTGAATAACACAGGCACAAAATCAGTCTCTGTGGGGTTTCCTGCTTGACAGATCCACTGAGAGTCTCACGTGTGGAATATGGTTTTGCTGAAATCCGAATTAGTCAGCTAAGCATTTGGCATCCTGGCCAGTCCTGGCAGAGGCCAGTAGTTTAACTCTCGCTGCCTGCCGTTTAGACTCCTGACACGGGATTTCCGGGGCTCTAAAGCTTTTAGATTAACTCTTGGTTTGGGCCTCATAACATGTGGGTTGCTGACTTTACCTTGTGAGCCGGGCATGAGGGCCAACAACTGTATTCCAGCCTGTGCTGGGCTTTTGTTTACCAAAACAAAACTACTTCTGAAATAGTTATTAGCGTATCAGCTCAGCAACCTGTTTTGGTGAAAGGTTTAGGAACTATGGGTAACAATGAAACTTACAGTCGTCAATTTTTGCATACATTTGATGCAATTACAAACCTGTTCAGGTAACAAAGAGCAAACTTCTAAAAAGATCGCTTCTTGCACACTTTACCAGTGGAAGTTTTAATTGTCAAATACTTTTGATTTTCTATTTGAAGGGTATTTGGTCAAAGTGCAGAATAATTTCTAAGTCTCTGTTTTGGAATGTCCTTTTTTCTTAGATTCCAATTAGTTTGCACAAAGTTTCAGGGCCAACTTGCTTCAAAATAAATAGATTTAGTACCCAACATTTAAGGATTATTGGTTAAAAGAATACAATGTAAACTTTAAAAATTAGTCTAATTGGTCTCATTTAATCATTTTATATATATATATATATATACACACACACACATATACATACATTATATATAATCTATGGTTTATCACTTGTTCATGAAGATTATCATTTAAACATTTAATTTAACATTATGGTTACATTCAAGTAAATTCTTTTGTCTTTATTAGTAAGATGGCTTGTCTAATTTTCTCTATTTCTTAATGAGTGACAAGCGTTCAACCACTGGCTAAACTTTATTCTGATGTAGTTTCGTCCGAGGAATTGGCTGAGTCATGGCCACCTGAGTGCACCTGGACAGATCAACTGGTTTTCATGTCTCAGTTTCTCCAGCTGCAAACTGGGGGAGCCCATCACAGTCCCCTCAGAGGGATGCTCTTCAGAGAGTCTTCCCCTCTAAAGACCAAATGAGTCAGCCCAGAAAACATTCCCGTTAGTGTCTGGCAGACGGTCGTGCAGCAAAGGCAGCCTCACTGTTATGTGAGAGCTTCTATCTCTTTTTGTCTGAATTTTAACTCATTCTGAGCACATAAGACCTTCCAAAATCCGAGATCTGGTCTTATTTTTAAATCTTATGTTTTGTGTAGTCTATTTTTCTAGAGTTTTTTTCCTTGAATGAATAAGTAAAAATAAAGGGCCACTACGATGAACTAAAAGTAATTTCCTTCTTTACTCTTTCCTAATGTCTAGGGAGGGATTGATTTTTTTTTTTTTTATTTTGAGACGGAGTCTCACTCTGTTGCCCAGGCTGGAGTGCAGTGGCGTGATGTCAGCTCACTGCAATCTCCACCTCCCAGGTTCATGCCATTCTCCTGCCTCAGCCTCCTGAGTAGCTGGGACTACAGGCGCCCACCACCACGCCTGGCTAATTTGTTTGTGTGTGTGTGTGTATTTTTAGTAGAGATGGGGTTTCACCGTGTTAGCCAGGATGGTCTCGATCTCCTGACCTCATGATCCGCCTGCCTCAGCCTCCCAAAGTGCTGGGATTACAGGTGTGAGCCACCACGCCCGGCCTAGGGAGGGATTTAAAAATTTTTTTTTTTTAATTTTCCTCTCAGATTTTTGAATTTACATTATCTTAAACACTGTTAAAGACTTTCCTTCTCAATTGTTTTTCTCTAGTCAATTATAAACCATTCACACAACTAAAAGGCAAAGAACTTACAAATTTAACTCATTTGATTTCTCAAAATATGAAGTTTTGCAGTCAAATATACTCATTGTTTGAAAATTATGTGCATGAATATATTTATGCAGAACATTTTAAATAAAGGTAAAATATTTTTAACTTTTAAAACTTGAATATAGCAAAATGAATAAAATTAGACTCATTAAACATCAAGCCAGGTGTGTGGTGGCTTATGCCTGTAATCCCTGCACTTTGGGAGGCTGAGGCAGGAGGAACATTTGGGGCCAGGAGTTGGAGACCAGCCTGGGCAACACAGCAAGGCTTTATCTTCACGAAACATTATTTTTTTAATTAGCTGGGCATGGTGGCATGCACCTGTAGTCCCAGCTATTTGGGAAGCTGAAGCAGGATGATCACTTTAGCCTATGAGTTGGAGGCTGCAGTGAGCTATGATTGCACTGCTCCATTCCAGCCTGGGTACCAGATCGAGTCCTCATCTCAAAATAAATAAAATAAAATAAAATAAAATAAACCTCCCTTTCCTTTAGATTCTTTTCCTCTCCCCACCTCCTCCGCTTTTACTTAGCTGTGTTTCTTTTCTCCCTGGATACTATCTTTATGTTTTATGTTTTGATTGCAAGCTTTATCAATTAAACTTTTCACGAGTTTAGCATATCAGATTCTTTTGAATGCTTTAAATTTTTATAAAAGTAGACACAATTAAATCACCACAAAACTCCTCACTGCACTTGCAGCAAAACCATTTACAAAAGTGCACATACCATGGTTTAAATTTTTTTCTTTGTCTTCTTATTTCCATGACCGCCTAGAGAATTTCTCAGTATCACTCTCATTTCTGTTACATCCAAAACTTTGGCATTTATACAATTCTTATTGTAGAGTAGAAGTTTTATTAACTTTAAAGATTTTTGCTTTAAATGCTGAAATGAGGAGTCCTGTTTCAGTTATTTTACATATAAATTTTCTTTGCAATTACAGGGAAAACCAAAGGCATATATTTCCAGTGCCTGCCATGAAATCAGGTATCTTCCTTGAGTTAAGGAAACGATTGAGTTGAGGATAATGGTGTTTAAAATGATCTCAGGTAAAGGAAGGCCAACTGTCTTTGTTCAGGTTGCTGTAACAAAATACCCTAGACCAGGTGACTTACAAATAACAGAAATTTCTTTCTCACAGTTCTGGAGGCCGGAAGTCCAAGATCGAGGCACTGTAGGTTCGGTGTCTGGTGAGGACCCATTTCTGCTTCCAAGACAGAACCCTGTTGCTGCGTCCTCCAGAGGGGCTAAGTGCTGTGTCCTCACATGACAGGAGGTGGAAGGGCCTTTTGTAAGGTCCACTAGTCCCATTCATAAGGATGGGGCCCTCATGACTTAGTCACTTCTTAATGCTGTCATGCTGACGTTTGTGTTCCAGTGTATGCGCTGTGGAAGGACACACACCATGGCATTCAGCGCCCTGGATGTGGCAGGAGGCCAGAATGCAGAGCCCTAGACTGTGCCGCAGAACTGTCCGGGAGCTGGGCTGCTCCCCCATGTCCTCCCCGTGCTCTAGGGGCTGAGGGCAGACACAGTGGCAACGTGTCAGAGCCACTGGAAGCCTCTTTGCCGGCCTCCTGGTACGTTGGCCTAATTGCCCCAGAGGGTACTGTCATCTGGGACTTCAATGAGTCACTGGCTTAAAATATTTTTCTAGAACTCCTGAGGAGTTGGCCTAATTGAAACAGAGTGATCTATTTTCCAGGATTCAAATGAGTGTATTAGGCTGGAGACTGCCAGAAACAAAAAAAATACCTGGTGTTTAAAAGGAACCCACGGTCTCCACGAAAAGCTTCTGAGCAAATCCCCACCAGGCAGGCCTGGGGCCTGTGCTTAGCGCATCTCCTGAGAGATCGCAGCCATGACCTGTTACTGGGGACTTGGCAGAAGGGTGGGAGAGGGTGAGGGATGAAGGACTACACATCAGCTGCTGTGTACACTACTCCGGAGACAGGGGCACCCAGATCGCAGAAATCACCACTGAAGAACTTATCCATGGAACCAAACACCGCCTGTTCCCCCAAAACTATTAAAATAAAAAAAAATACTCAGCTAAAAGTAAGGTTTATTAGTTGAAAAAGGTATATCTTCTGGCCTTTCAAAACATTGATATTCCAAAATAAAACTCTCGCACAACTCTTAAGTGTTTCCGCTGGAATCCAATTACCGTAGTGATTTCACACCACTCTCATCCTTTTAAAAAAAAAAAAAACATGAAAATGCTTTCCTTCTGAGCATGCAATTTTTTTTGTGACTCCTTTTTCTCTATAAGCTCAAATTTCCATTCTAACTACTCCTTTAGGATATTATGCCAGTGTGATAGGTATACTTTTTGGCTTAAAAGTCTTTATTCATCACCTTTACATTCTTACAGTAAAAAATCTGTATATAAATTGAATGTATTTTTTAAATGTAATTTTCTGTAACCACAGACTCTAAATGTTGTTTCTTTGAATTATCCTTATAATTATTAGTAGTATACAATTGATTAAAATTTAAATAGTTTTTAAAAAATTGACTCTTATAAAATTAAAATCTCAGAAATTCAATATCAGCGATGCTGGGGATGGGCCCCTGCCCGGGTTCACAGACCCTTGGGGTGCTCCTAAAACAGGCTCGGCACTGAGATTTTCTCTAGTTTCATTTTTATGAGCTAAAGCAAACTTGTTCACATAAATGGGAATGAAAGATGGAAATGGAAAAAGATTTGCTATGTCACTGGTTTTTGAGCTCCTTTCAAGTTGTATGCCAAAAAGCACGTTGTGCTTGTTATACAAGATTGTTTTTAAAGCTCTCTCAGCTGACAACTTGAATAGGGGCTCTCTTTCAATTTTGTGGAAAGCAAAGAATAGGAAACTGCCGCATTTGCTGAAGGCTGGTTTCCTTAGTCACTGGGTACAATTGGCTGCTGATATTCACAGGGGCGCTCTCTCTGGTGCTGTGCTCTAGGGAGGGCGCCACCACCAGGAACACACCCTGGAGAGGGGTTTGGGATGGGTGCGAGGTCCAAGATGCACCTGTCTGTGGAGAAGGGGGCAGGAGATTGTAAAGGGGTCTGGGAAAGGGATTGGCCAGAGAAGTTCCTAGACAGATCACTTTTGGGAAAGAGCTGACGAGCTGGAAATGATAAGTAATTACTTTAAAAATACTTATGCCATGTGCCCCATAGATGGTCTTTGCATGTACACTGACCCCAGTCTGAAGACCACTGTGGTGGAGAGGGCCGCTCCCCAGCTGCAGGGCCAGCACCCAGCAGGCTGAACACAGCCTCCTGCAGCCGGAACAGGGAGCGCTCAGATCTGCAGAGACGCTGTTTGGGGCTCCCTGGGGAAGCTCCCTAATGCCCTCTTTCAGCACCAGGATGCTCCTTTTGGGTGCTAAATATTAATATCAATAGCAGAGTTGTCCACCTTTGGTAGTTAAGGGCTCATCAAACATTCCTCAGTGTCTGTCCCAGATGCTTAGGCCGTGGCATTGGCACTTTTGAGGCCAGCTGTAACTCATCCCTGAGCTGGGCTGCACCTTCTGCATTCAGTGAGAACAGAATGGACACAGCAAGGACTTGCAGGGGCCACCCCAAGGCTGATGACATTGGGCTCTGAAGAGCTTGACCAGCAAATTCCATTGTTCAATAGCTACAGTTGGTTTTAATTACCATGGGATAAACACTGAGGGCGAATGGTGGAATGGAAATGAACAAATTATCGCATATTCGATTTTGCTCTGTTTGATCTCTGGTTGGTTCTCATGGCCTACCTGACCAACCAACGGTAGTGACATCGATGATTCGGGTGCCATTTTTCTTCTGCTGCTTTTCACCGTGTAACAAATCAAGGTTTTTTTCACTCTTGCCTTTTACTCCAGTGTCTTCTGGTCATCAAGGTTTGATTCTTTTACCTCCCTTGACCAGCACAACTTGAGTTCAAGTTCTGGCCTGTCTGGACCCGGCGGTTACACCTATCAATCACCTCTGTGCTTAAATTCCTTCAAGGGCTTCTCCACATTGATATATTTTTTCTAATAAAAACTAATTGCCATTGAACCTTGAACAACACAGGTTTGAACTGCACGTGTCCGATTATATGCAGATTTTCTCCCACCTCTGCCACCCCGAGACAGCAACACAAAGCCTTCCTCCTCCCTCTCGTCAGCACCCCCTGCCTGGACAACAAGGATGAAGACCTGTATGAGGATCCATTTCCACTTAATGGATGGTACATACATCTTCTCTTCCTTATAACTTTCTTAATATCATTTTCTTTTCTCTAGTTACCCTATTGTGAGAATACAGTATATGATACATATGACATATGTGTGAATAGGCTGTTTATGTTATCAGTAAGGCTTCCAGTCCACAGTAGGCTGTTAGTAGTTAAGCTTTGGGGGTCCAGAGATAGACATGGATTTTTGACTCTGCAGGGAGCTGGGTGTCCCTAACTCTTGCACTGTTCAAGGATCAACTATATGTCATGCCACTGATTCTAAAAAAAAAAAACATTTCTGGAAATAATTTCATCTCCTTCAGTGGCATCCATCTCTTTTGTGAGGTGTGCCTTGCCCCTGCCATCCTGCACAATGTCCCCAGCACGGATGTGGGGTGCCTCCCTCCCTGGGACGCAGAGTGCCTGATGAAGGAGACACAGAGATGCGGCAGCAGAGCCTGGGATTGGAGAAACGGAGTTTTTCCAACCCAGGGATTGTCTCCACATCATCCTCAGCTGTGCTCAGACCGACAAGCCAGTGCTGTGACTGCTTTGCTCGGGCGTGAGAGCCACTCTTCATGAACTGCTCTCAAATGCCCTGGAGAATGAAACGCAGTGTAGAGAGGAAAAGCTTTGCCTTCTCAGGTTCGGTACCTGGGAGCCTCCAAGTTAAATGGACAAAAGCCAGATTAGCGGGAGAAAAGAGTTGTGTAAGTGTGCCACATGGGTGCACTCAGGACTGTGCAGTTGCGAGTGACTCGTGTGACTGTGCCACGTGCGTGCACTCAGGACTGTGCAGTTGTGAGTGACTCGTGTGAGTGTGCCACGTGCGTGCACTCAGGACTGTGCAGTCGCACTCAGGACTGCGTAGTTTTGAGCAACTGAAAGGAGTGGTTTGAATATGGGTCTGTAGAACCAACTTAGCAGGGAAAGGGAGAGGAGAGAGGCTCCAATGGGAAGAGCAATAGATTTCTTCAGGAAAGACAAATGAGTTTGTTGTTGTTGTTGTTTTTCTTTTTAAGACAGAGTCTCTGTTGCCAGACTGGAGTGCAGTGGCACCATCGCTGCTCACTGCAACCTCCACCTCCCAGGTTCAAGCCATTCTCCTGCCTCAGCCTCCCAAATAGCTGGGATTACAGGTGCGTGCCACCACACCCAGCTAATTTTTGTGTTTTTAATAGAGACAGGGTTTTATCATGTTGGCCAGGATGGTCTCTATCTCTTGACCTCGTGATCCGCCCGCCTCGGCCTCCCAAAGTGCTGGGATTACAGGTGTGAGCCATCGCACCCAGCCGACAAGCCAGATTTTTAGGGGGCCATATGAGAGATAAGAAAGTTTGTGATAATGTTTGTCCATATGGACATGAGTGGTCTTTTTGTCTTTTTCAGGGCTCTACAACTCCCTCAGAGTGGGGATTTATCGTAGGCTTACTTTTAGTCTCCCCGCTAGGAATAGAAGTCTCCCCGAGGAGGGAATTAATAGCAGTCCTCATTTCTTGAAAGTTGCTGTTTTCCATCAGATAAGAAAAGCTCTGAGAAGTTGCTGGTCAGATAAGAAAAGCTCTGAGAAGGCTTCTTTCTGTATCTGTTGAGTCTCAAATGTCTTCAGATTAAAATAATCTTTATAGTGCCTGGGGTTCCAAGTGGGTCCCCACAGCATCTAGAAGCCATTCCCTTATCCTTGACTATTGGTCCAGAGGACACAACTCAGCCCACTGCCTGGATGCTTCCTGTTCTCCTTTCTCTGCCAGGGACACCTTTCTGCTCCCATCTGCAGTCCAGGCTCAAGTCCCACCTTTTATGGAAAATTATTCCTGATTCCTGTGGTCCGAGCATCCCACCACGGTGCCCACACACTGCACCTGAGCCTGCTGGGGCAGCAGCCCACAGCCTGGAGCCCAGCTGTGATCACTGGGACCCTTCAGGGAGAGTCCGTCTTTCTCACCCCGCAGTCCTCATTACTTAGCTTGGTGCAGGGGACCCCTGACAACCTCCAACCACGATGATTACCTGCCCTTTACAAGGAAAGTGAAATCCTGAAAAATTCAGAAGAGCTTAGAGAATGAAGGATCTGGTTTTGTCTGATGCAGAGCTGCGATCGGCTGTCAGGTTCAAGAAGAAAGTCACTCTTGCTGGGCACTGGCTCTTTAATGCCACATGGTCAATGTTCACCTGACCACTGGGACCAGTTTCAGTGTCTTGTCAGTTTTTTGAGTGAAAGCAGTTGTGTTTGTATGTGTTCTGTTCCTTTAATTTAAAGACTGTGTTTTTCTTTTTTCTATTATAATGATAAGATAGCTTTAATAGAACAGCAAAATGAAATACAGTTGAGATTTGTACATTCTTTTCAACTATCAGCCTCCATATATCACAAATGGGTCTGGCTTTATGATTTTAAGACACTGAAAGACCAAAGAGGGTCCAGGTTTTGCTTTATTAATACCACATAATGTGTATTTCTTTTTTCCCTGAATTTAAAAGGAATACAGTATATTACAATGTAGAAAATGAGAAAAATATACAAAAGTATAAACATTTCTTTTAGAATGGATGAATTTTTATTTTATTTTTATTTTTTATTTATTTATTTTTATTTTATTGTTATTATACTTTAAGTTTTAGGGTACATGTGCACAATGTGCAGGTTTGTTACATATGTATACATGTGCCATGTTGGTGTTGCTGCACCCATTAACTCATCATTTAGCATTAGGTATATCTCCTAATGCTATCCCTCCCCCCACCCCACAACAGTCCCCGGAGTGTGATGTTCCCCTTCCTGTGTCCATGTGTTCTCATTGTTCAATTCCTACCTATGAGTGACAACATGTGGTGTTTGGTTTTTTGCTCTTGCAATAGTTTGCTGAGAATGATGGTTTCCAGCTTCATCCATGTCCCTACAAAGGACATGAACTCATCATTTTTTATGGCTACATAGTATTCCATGGTGTATATGTGCCACATTTTCTTAATCCAGTCTATCGTTGTTGGACATTTGGGTTGGTTCCAAGTCTTTGCTATTGTGAATAGTGCCACAATAAACATACATGTGCATGTGTCTTTATAGCAGCATGATTTATAATCCTTTGGGTATATACCCAGTAATGGGATGGCTAGGTCAAACGGTATTCCTAGTTCTAGATCCCTGAGGAATCGCCACACTGACTTCCACAATGGTTGAACTAGTTTACAGTCTCACCAACAGTGCAAAAGTGTTCCTATTTCTCCACATCCTCTCCAGCACCTGTTGTTTCCTCACTTTTTAATGATCGCCATTCTAACTGGTATGAGATGGTATCTCATTGTGGTTTTGATTTGCATTTCTCTGATGGCCAGTGATGATGAGCATTTTTTCATGTGTTTTTTGGCTGCATAAATGTCTTCTTTTGAGAAGTGTCTGTTCATATCCTTCACCCACTTTTTGATGGGGTTGTTTGTTTTTTTCTTGTAAATTTGTTTGAGTTCATTGTAGATTCTGGATATTAGCCCTTTGTCAGATGAGTAGGTTGCAAAAATTTTCTCCCATTTTGTAGGTTGCTTGTTCACTCTGATGGTAGTTTCTTTTGCTGTGCAGAAGCTCTTTAGTTTAATTAGATCCCATTTGTCAATTTTGTCTTTTGTTGCCATTGCTTTTGGTGTTTTGGACATGAAGTCCTTGCCCATGCCTATGTCCTGAATGGTATTGCCTAGGTTTTCTTCTAGGGTTTTTATGGTTTTAGGTGTAGCATTTAAGTCTTTAATCCGTCTTGAATTAATTTTTGTGTAAGGTGTAAGGAAGGGATCCAGTTTCAGCTTTCTACATATGGCTAGCCAGTTTTCCCAGCAGCATTTATTAAATAGGGAATCCTTTCCCCATTTCTTGTTTTTGTCAGGTTTGTTAAAGATCAGATGGTTGTAGATATGTGGCACTATTTCTGAGGGCTCTGTTCTGTTCCATTGTTCTGTATCTCTGTTTTGGTACCAGTACCATGCTGTTTTGGTTACTGTAGCCTTGTAGTATAGTTTGAAGTCAGGTAACGTGATGCCTCCAGCTTTGTTCTTTTGGCTTAGGATTGACTTGGCGATGCGGGCTCTTTTTTGGTTCCATATGAACTTTAAAGTAGTTTTTTCCAATTCTGTGAAGAAAGTCATTGGTAGCTTGATGGGGATGGCATTGAATCTATAAATCACCTTGGGCAGTATGGCCATTTTCACGATATTGATTCTTCCTACCCATGAGCATGGAATGTTCTTCCATTTGTTTGTATCCTCTTTTATTTCCTTGAGCAGTGGTTTGTAGTTCTCCTTGAAGAGGTCCTTCACATCCCTTGTAAGTTGGATTCCTAGGTATTTTATTCTCTTTGAAGCAATTGTGAATGGGAGTTCACTCATGATTTGGCTCTCTGTTTGTCTGTTATTGGTGTATAAGACTGCTTGTGATTTTTGTACATTGATTTTGTATCCTGAGACTGCTGAAGTTGGTTATCAGCTTAAGGAGATTTTGGGCTGAGACAGTGGGGTTTTCTAGATATACAATCATGTCATCTGCAAACAGGGACAATTTGACTTCCTCTTTTCCTAATTGAATACCCTTTATTTCCTTCTCCTGCCTAATTGCCCTGGCCAGAACTTCCAACACTATGTTGACTAGGAGTGGTGAGAGAGGTCATCCCTGTCTTGTGCCAGTTTTCAAAGGGAATGCTTCCAGTTTTTGCCCATTCAGTATGATATTGGCTGTGGGTGTGTCACAAATAGCTTTTATTATTTTGAGATACAGCCCATCAATACCTAGTTTATTGAGAGTTTTTAGCATGAAGGGCTGTTTAATTTTGTCAAAGGCCTTTTCTGCATCTATTGAGATAATCATGTGGTTTTTGTCATTGGTTCTGTTTATATGATGGATTATGTTTATTGATTTGCATATATTGAACCAGCCTTGCATCCTAGGGATGAAGCCAACTTGATCATGATGGATAAGAGTTTTGATGTGCTGCTGGATTTGGTTTGCCAGTATTTTATTGAGGATTTTTGCATCGATGTTCATCAGGGATATTGGTCTAAAATTCTCTTTTTTTGTTGTGTCTCTGCCAGGCTTTGGTATCACTATGATGCTGGCCTCATAAAATGAGTTAGGGAGGATTCCCTCTTTTTCTATTCATTGGAATAGTTTCAGAAGGAATGATACGAGCTCCTCTTTGTACCTCTGGTAGAATTCGGCTGTGAATCCATCTGGTCCTGGACTTTTTTTGGTTGGTAGGCTATTAATTATTGCCTCAATTTCAGAGCCTGTTATTGGTCTATTCAGGGACTCAACTTCTTCCTGGTTTAGTCTTGGGTCGGTGTATGTGTCCAGGAATTTATCCATTTCTTCTAGATTTTCTAGTTTATTTGCGTAGAGGTGTTTATAATATTCTCTGATGGTAGTTTGTATTTCTGTGGGATTGGTGATGATATCGCCTTTATCACTTTTTATTGCATCTCTTTTCTTCTTTATTAGTCTTGCTAGTGGTCAATGAATTTTGTTGATCTTTTCAAGAAACCAGCTCCCAGATTCATTGATTTTTTGAAGAGTTTTTTTTTTGTGTCTCGATCTCCTTCAGTTCTGTTCTGATCTTAGTTATTTCTTGCCTTCTGCTAGCTTTTGAATGTGTTTGCTCTTGCTTCTCTAGTTCTTTAATTGTGATGTTAGGGTGTCAATTTTAGATCTTTCTTGCTTTCTCTTGTGGGCATTTAGTACTATAAATTTCCCTCTACACACTGCTTTGAATGTGTCCCAGAGATTCTGGTATGTTGTGTCTTTGTTCTCGTTGGTTTCAGAGAACATCTTTATTTCTGCCTTCATTTCGTTATGTACCCAGTGGTCATTCAAGAGCACGTTGTTCAATTTCCATGTAGTTGAGTGGTTTTGAGTGAGTTTTTTAATCCTGAGTTCTAGTTTGATTGCACTGTGGTCTGAGAGACAGTTTGTTGTAATTTCTGTTCTTTTACATTTGCTGAGGAGTGCTTTACTTCCAACTATGTGGTCAATTTTGGAATAAGTGTGATGTGGTGCTGAGAAGAATGTACATTCTGTTGATTTGGGGTGGAGAGTTCTGTAGATGTCTATTAGGTCCGCTTGGTGCAGAGCTGAGTTCAATTCCTGGATATCCTTGTTAAATTTCTGTCTCGTTGACTTGTCTAATGTTAACAGTGGGGTGTTAAAGTCTCCCATTATTATTGTGTGGGAGTCTAAGTCTCTTTGTAGGTCACTCAGGACTTGCTTTATGAATCTGGGTGCTCCTGTATTGGGTGCATATATATTTAGGATAGTTAGCTCTTCTTGTTGAATTGATCCCTTTACCATTATGTAATGGCCTTCATTGTCTCTTTTGATCTTTGCTGGTTTAAAGTCTGTTTTATCAGAGACTAGGATTGCGACCCTTGCTTTTTTTTTGTTTTCCATTTGCTTGGTAGATCTTCCTCCATCCCTTTATTTTGAGCCTATGTGTGTCTCTGCACATGAGATGGTTCTCCTGAATACAGCACACTGATGGGTCTTGACTCTTTATCGAATTTGCCAGTCTGTGTCTTTTAATTGGAGCATTTAGCCCATTTACATTTAAAGTTAATATTGTTATGTGTGAATTTGGTCCTGTCATTATGATGTTAGCTGGTTATTTTGCTCGTTAGTTGATGTAGTTTCTTCCTAGCCTTGATGGTCTTTACATTTTGGCATGTTTTTGCAGTGGCTGGTACCGGTTGTTCCTTTCCATGTTTAGTGCTTCCTTCAGGAGCTCTTTTAGGGCAGGCCTGGTGGTGACAAAATCTCTCAGCATTTGTTTGTCTGTAAAGGATTTTATTTCTCTTTCACTTATGAAGCTTAGTTTGGCTGGACATGAAATTCTGCATTGAAAATTCTTTTCTTTAAGAATGTTGAATATTGGCCCCCACTCTCCTCTGGCTTGTAGAGTTTCTGCCGAGAGATCCGCTGTTAGTATGATGGGCTTCCCTTTGTGGGTAACCCGAGCTTTCTCTCTGGCTGCCCTTAACATTTTTTCCTTCATTTCAACTTTGGTGAATCTGACAATTATGTGTCTTGGAGTTGCTCTTCTCGAGGAGTATCTTTGTGGCATTCTCTGTATTTCCTGAATCTGAATGTTGGCCTGCCTTGCTAGATTGGGGAAGTTCTCCTGGATAATATCCTGCAGAGTGTTTTCCAACTTGGTTCCATTCTCCCCATCACTTTCAGGTACACCTATCTGATGTAGATTTGGTCTTTTCACGTAGTCCCATATTTCTTGGAAGCTTTGTTCATTTCTTTTTATACTTTTTTCTCTAAACTTCCTTTCTCACTTCATTTCATTCATTTCGTCTTCCATCACAGATACCCTTTCTTCCAGTTGATCGCATCGGCTCCTGAGGCTTCTGCATTCTTCACGTAATTCTCGACCCTTGACTTTCAGCTCCATCAGCTCCTTTAAGGACTTCTCTGCATTGGTTATTCTAGTTATCCATTCGTCTAATTTTTTTTTCAAAGTTTTTAACTTCTTTGCCATTGGTGTGAATTTCCTTCTGTAGCTCAGAGTAGTTTGATCGTCCAAAGCCTTCTTCTCTCAACTCGTCAAAGTCATTCTCCGTCCAGCTTTGTTCCATTGCTGGTGAGGAGCTGCATTCCTTTGGAGGAGGAGAGGCGCTCTGCTTTTTAGAGTTTCCAGTTTTCTGCTCTGTTTTTTCCCCATCTTTGTGGTTTTATCTACTTTTGGTCTTTGATGATGGTGATGTACAGATGGGTTTTTGGTGTGGATGTCCTTTCTGTTTGTTAGTTTTCCTTCTAACAGACAGGACCCTCAGTTGAAGGTCTGTTGGACTTTGCTAGAGGTCCACTCCAGACCCTGTTTGCCTGGGTATCAGGAGTGGTGGCTGCAGAACAGCGGATATTGGTGACCCACAAATGCTGCTGCCTGATCGTTCCTCTGGAAGTTTTGTCTCAGAGGAGTACCCGGCCGTGTGAGGTGTCAGTCTGCCCCTACTGGGGGGTGTCTCCCAGTTAAGCTGCTCGGGGGTCAGGGACCCACTTGAGGAGGCAGTCTGCCTGTTCTCAGATCTCCAGCTGCATGCTGGGAGAACCACTACTCTCTTCAAAGCTGTCAGACAGGGACATTTAAGTCTGCAGAGGTTACTGCTGTCTTTTTGTTTGTCTGTGCCCTGCCCCCAGAGGCGGAGCCTACAGAGGCAGGCAGGCCGGCCTCCTTGAGCTGTGGTGGACTCCACCCAGTTCGAGCTTCCCAGCTGCTTTGTTTACCTAATCAAACCTGGGCAATGGCGGGCGCCCCTCCCCCAGCCTCGATGCAGCCTTGCAGTTTGATCTTAGACTGCTGTGCTAGCAATCAGCGAGACTCCGTGGGCGTAGGACCCTCCGAGCCAGGTGTGGGATATAATCTCCTGGTGCGCTGTTTTTTAAGGCCGTGGGAAAAGTGCAGTATTAGGGTGGGAGTGACCCGATTTTCCAGGTGCCGTGTGTCACCCCTTTCTTTGACTAGGAAAGGGAACTCCCTGACCCCTTGCACTTCCCGAGTGAGGTAATGCCTCGCCCTGCTTCAGCTCGCGCACGGTATGCTGCACCCGCTGTCCTGTGCCCGCTGTCTGGCACTCCCTAGTGAGATGAACCTGGTACCTCAGATGGAAATGCAGAAATCACCTGTCTTCTGCGTCACTCACCCTGGGAGCTGTAGACTGGAGCTGTTCCTATTCAGCCATCTTGGCTCCACCCACCTATTTTATTTTTATTTTTTATTTTACTTTAAGTTCCAGGATACATGTGCAGAATGTGCAGGTTTGGTACATATACATACATGTGTCATGATGATTTGCTGTACCTATCAACCTGTCATCTAGGTTTTAAGCCCCACATGCATTAGGTATTTGTCCTGATGCTCTCCCTCCCCTTGCCCCTCACCCCGGACAGGCCCCGGTGTGTGATGTTCCCCTCCCTGAGTCCAAGTGGTCTCATTGTTCAGCTCCCACTTATGAATGAGAACATGCAGTATTTGGTTTTCTGTTTCTGTGTTAGTTTGTTGAGGATGATGGCTTCCAGCTTCATCCATGTCCCTGCAAAGAACATGATCTCATTCTTTTTTATAGCTGCATAGTATTCCATGGTGTATATGTACCACATTTTCTTTATCCAGTCTATCATTGATGGGCATTTGGGTTGGTTCCATGTCTTTGCTATTGTAAATAGTGCTGCAATAAACATAGGTGTGCATGTGTCTTTATAGTAAAATGATTTATAATCCTTTGGGTCTATACCCAGTAATGGGATTGCTGGGTCAAATGATATTTCTTGTTCTAGATCCTTGAGGAATCGCCACACTGTCCTCCACAATGGTTGAACCGAGTTACACTCCCACCAACAGCATAAAAGCATTCCCATTTCTCCACAGCCTCACCAGCATCTATTTTTTCCTGACTTTTTAATGATTGCCATTCTGACTAGTGTGAGATGGTATCTCATTGTGGTTTTGATTTGCCTAATCATAATACCTAATGATCAGTGATGATGAGCTTTTTTTCATATGTCTGTTGGCTGCATAAATGTCTTTTTTTGAGAAGTGTCGGTTCATATCCTTTGCCGACTTTTTGATGGGTTGGTTTTTTTTTTTTTTTTTTGTAAATTTGTTTAACTTCTTTGTAGATTCTGGATATTAGCCCTTTGTCAGATGAGTAGATTGCAAATATGTTCTCCCATTCCTTAGGTTGCCTGTTCAGTCTGATGCTAGTTTCTTTTGCTGCGCAGAAGCTCTTTAGTTTGATTAGATCCCATTTGTCAATTTTGGCTTTTGTTGCCATTGCTTTTGGTGTTTTAGTCATGAAGTTTTTGCGCATGCCCATGTCCTGAATGGTGTTGCCTAGGTTTTCTTCTAGAGTTTTTATGGCTTTGGGTTTTACATCTAAGTCTTTACTCCATCTTGAGTTAATTTTCATATAAGGTGTAAGGAAGGGGTCCAGTTTCAGTTTTCTGCTTATGGCTAGTCAGTTTTCCCAGTGAAGGGTATAAATGCTTAAAATAAATTTAAATGTAATAAAGAAGAGACAGTAACTTTTAACAGGGGGTATATTTTTTTCAACTGTGACCTTTTTTTTTGGAACATTTCTACTTCTATATCTGTACTCCCACAGCCAGACTTATATTTTTATCATCAGTATCTAGATATGTTTCTATATTTAAATCAACACAGTTTATATAATTCATAAATATCAAATCATACTTTTTATAATATTCTCTTAACATTTCATAACTTTTCCCCAAAACACTTAAATATTTTTAAAAGCAGCTAGAGTTTTCCATCATATAGCTGTACCATAATTTATTAGTACAATCCCCTATTGTTGATTACTTAGGTAAATTTTCAATTATACATCATGATAAAAAAAACACTATGATAAACATCCACATACATCAGTCTTTATCTTTGGATAAACTCCTAGAAGTTATTGGGTCAAATAATTTGAATATTTTTATATAAACATGCTTATTTTACATCTTATTTTATGCAAAATAATATTTTAAGGCCTAATTTAGGAAAAATATTTAAATTCTGGATTGAGTTTTCTATACACATATTGGCACACCGACATAGCTGTGTCTACCACGAATCAGAATTCCTGGTTGGGAAGGCCATTTAAAACCCACATTGCAAAATGGCATCAGGCTCATTTGACCTATCTCGGGCCTCTTGTACTTTTCTCTTCTGCCCTCTAGTGGTCATGAGGATCAAAAATGTGGAACTGGAATTATATATATTACTCTACTGATGAAAGTAACCAAAATTAAGCATAAAACACCTGAACTAAACTATTTTTGAGCACTAAATTACACAATTACTAAAAATTTATCATGACATAATTCAGTTTTCTTCACTTTTGCTATGATGATTTTTTTAAGCATTTTTTTCCTCCTGTGATGTGGAAGGTATGCATCTTTTAAAAGTATAATTGTAGCATTTTTGTTTATACTACTATAAAATGGCAATATCTATTAACCTAGCAATGTTTGAAGTAAATTACAAAAAAGAATACTTTTACATTCTTCCTTCCATACTACTCCCAACCGTCTACAAATCTTTGTTGATGCAATCAGAATTTTTTTTTTTGCATCCGTGATATCATTCATGAATTATTTTGTTACCTTTTCTACTTTGATAATCAGTTTTGTCACCATTTTCTCCCATTTTCATGGCCATATTAACAATCATTATTCTCTATTAACTCCTTTTAACTGGTTTGCTTTTCTTACTGCTAATACCATGATTTGTAAATTCTCCTTCCTTATGTTCTGTATTTGGAATTAAGGTTTATTAGACAAGTTCATTTTTAAAGACATTTTTCTGGGCTGGCTGAGCCAGGCTGCCACTCCTGTGTTCATATTTAGTTCTGCTCCATGATGATTAGCAAAATAAAAGGAGACTGTTCACCACAGAAGGACTTAAAATGTACTGTGATATCAGCTTTCCATACTGTAAGTGGATTGGAGGAGTCACTGTTCCTAACTCAATTTTCTCAAATAACAAGAAACACCCATAAATGATTGTTGAAAAAGGATATCTGAATTGTATGGTTTTCTGGTCACATTTGTCAGAACCCCTTTTTTCTTAGATTTTTAAAAAGAAAATAAAACCAAATGTTATTTAATTGATTATTATCTGCTATTTTTATTATTATTTTGTTAGATTTCATTATTGACCTTCTAGAACAAAAAGGAAGAAAGGTAAAAAATCTTTTTGGCAATACCTTGTCTTTATACTAACATGTCCTAAAAACATATTTGAATGACTTAAGTCTCATATAAATAAGATCGTTGTAGTAAAATCATTGAGTGCTTTATAGAAACAAGATGCCTGGAAGCAAATTGTGGTGCTTAAGAATACGGGCTTGGACTCAGCTAAGTCTGACTTCAAATGCTGGCTCTGCAACTACTAGCTTGTGACTTTGGATAAATTATTTAACCTTGTTCAGTCTTAGGTTCAACAGCTGAAAAACGGTGTTCATGTTGCTCAGATTCTCGTAAGGACCACGTGAGTGGAGCTCTCGAACCAGGAGCACCATGCCTGGCGTGGAGCAACCTTGAACTTAGTCGCTATCTTTCAGGTGTTTTCTGGTCCATTGTCTATGGAAAGTAATTACTTAAAAAATAATAAACCCTCAAGTAAGTAGAAGAAAGGAGCAACAGCTCCCATAAACTGAAAGAGCCAATAATCCCTGCCCTATACACATCTTTTCAAACCTGGAGCCAGCGACCTAGGGAGGAGACTGAGGCCGGCAGAACTGGGTGACCTGCCTTGGCAGCCTAGTGGGGGGTGGCACATGAGGGGTGAAGAGAAGAAGCGCCAAGTCCCTCCCCTGCTTTCCGGGGAATGTCCCAGACAGGCAGAGGCTTACATCAAGAATTCGGAAGATTGTCTTATTTCAGAATGAGACTGCCTTTACAAGCAAATGGGATTGTACTAGTCAGTGCTCTCCAAAGAAACAGATCTAAAAAGATGCAGACAGATAGGTAGACGCAAACACAGAAAGATTTACACATATACAGACACGTGTATACAGAGAGTGACCAATAGCTACAACCTGCTCTAAGAAGGACCTGACAGCCAGGGCAAGCTGGGGATTTTCCTGACATCAGAACCATCCTCCCAGCCCCAGCTCAGCCCGTGTACAACAGAAGCCAGGAAGCACATGCAAAGTGAGGCAAACAGGGATTATTCATCACAAATGCACTCATCAAGCCAAACTTATTCATAAATTTACTCGGTAGAATGCTTCCTCTGTCCTGGATGAGACATGGAGACCACTGCGGGACTTCTCTGGTCTCATGTATAGACATGCATACATAGGTATATATGTGGTTATAGATAGGTGTGCACGTGTGCATATGTGGTTATGCATAGGTGTGCACGTGTATATATGTGGTATAGATAGGTGTGCACATGTGTATATGTGGTTCTGCATAGGTGTGCACGTGTGTATATGTGGTTCTGCATAGGTGTGCACGTGTGCATATGTGGTTCTGCATAGGTGTGCACGTGTGCATATGTGGTTCTGCATAGGTGTGCACGTGTGCATATGTGGTTCTGCATAGGTGTGCACGTGTGCATATGTGGTTCTGCATAGGTGTGCACGTGTGCATATGTGGTTCTGCATAGGTGTGCACGTGTGCATATGTGGTTCTGCATAGGTGTGCACGTGTGCATATGTGGTTATGCATAGGTGTGCACGTGTGCATATGTGGTATAGATAGGTGTGCACGTGTGCATATGTGGTTATGCGTAGGTGTGCACGTGTGCATATGTGGTTATGCGTAGGTGTGCACGTGTGCATATGTGGTTATGCGTAGGTGTGCACGTGTGCATATGTGGTTATGCGTAGGTGTGCACGTGTGCATATGTGGTTATGCGTAGGTGTGCACGTGTGCATATGTGGTGATGCGTAGGTGTGCACGTGTGCATATGTGGTGATGCGTAGGTGTGCACGTGTGCATATGTGGTGATGCGTAGGTGTGCACGTGTGCATATGTGGTGATGCGTAGGTGTGCACGTGTGCATATGTGGTGATGCGTAGGTGTGCACGTGTGCATATGTGGTGATGCGTAGGTGTGCACGTGTGCATATGTGGTGATGCGTAGGTGTGCACGTGTGCATATGTGGTGATGCGTAGGTGTGCACGTGTGCATATGTGGTGATGCGTAGGTGTGCACGTGTGCATATGTGGTGATGCGTAGGTGTGCACGTGTGCATATGTGGTATAGATAGGTGTGCACGTGTGCATATGTGGTTACAGGTAACTGTGCACGTGTATATATGTAGTTATAGATAGATGTGCACATGTGTATATGTGGTTTTAGATAGGTGTCCACGCGTGTATGTGATTACAAATAAGTGTTCACATATATATGTAGTTACAGATAGGTGTGCACATGTGTATACATAGCTATGCATAGGTGTGCACATGTATATATGCAGTTATAGATATGTGTACATATATATGTAGTTTTAGATATGTGTGCATGTGTATATATGAAATTTTAGATATGTATGTATGCATATATCTATGTCATTTGTATCTATATCTGTCTATCTAGAGAGAGACAGCAATTTGCTTTTGTTAAGGAATTGGCTCACACAATTGTGGGGCTGGCAGGCAAGTCACAAGTTCACAGGGCAGACCAGCAGGCTGGGAATTCTAGTGGGAGTAGATGTTCTAGTCTCAAGGCTGTCTGAAGACAGAGTTCCTTCCTCTTCAGGGTAGCTCAGTCTTTTCCCTTAAGGCCTTCAACTGATTCGACGAGGCCCACTCACATTACGAAGGTAATCTACTTTACTCAAATCTGCTGATTTCAATGTTAATCACGTGGCTCCTGCTTGTAGTTCCAGCTCCTGGAAGGCTGAGGCGGGAGGATTGCTTGATTCCAGGAGGTCGAGGCTGCAGTGAGCTGTGAAGCCTCCACTGCACTCCAGCCTGGGTGACACAGAGAGGCCCTGTCTCAAAAACAATAATAATAATAATAATAATAATAATAATAATAATAATAATAATAATAATACCTAAAAGATACCCTGCAGCAAGTTTAGACTGGTGTTTGACCAAACAACTGGGCACCACAGCACAGCCAAGTGGACACAAATTAGCTATCCTGGGGCCAGAGGCCTGTGATTGGCTGAGAGAGATTAGACAAGCCTGGGGTGGCCTCCATGATCACCCAGAGCAGAGGAAGAAGCACTCTGCTGAGTCAGCTTAAGAATAAGTTAGAACTGACGAGTGCATTTGTGCTGAACAATCCCTGCTTGCCTGCACCTTGGGTGCACTTCTGGCTTCTGTTGCATCCGGGCTGAGCTGGGGCTGGGAGGACAGTTCTGACGTCAGGTAGGGCCCCGGCTCTCTCCTGGCCATCCGCTCCCTCCCAGAGCAGGCTGTAGCCATCTGCCTCTAAGATGCAGACACAGGCTTTTGAGTAATTCTGCTGGTGCCAAGGGAGGACTTGAGGAGGCCCAACTCAGCAATCCGGGCCTCGGGATCGAGTCACGCTTCCTTCTGGTGGCTCTAACCTCGTGCTGCTGCTTCAGTGCTGGCTTCTGATCGGTCCTGAGAGCACAGCTAGGACTTTGTTTAAGAGTCTGGTGCATGGGTGTGTCTCCTCCTATACCCGAGTCTCCATCTTCAAAACCTGCCGGGACCCCAGATAGGCTGGACTTGTGCTTCTAAAGACTCAATTGCTTCTGAACCAGGGGTAATTTTGCATCACCCAACTCAGGGACATCATTTGGCAACGTCTAGAGACATTTTGTTGTGGTTGTTGTTTTTTGAGACAGTCTTGCTCTGTTGCTCAGGCTGGAGTGTAGTGGAGCAATCTCAGCTCACTGCAACCTCCTCCTCCCAGGCTCAAGCAATTCTCGTGCCTCAGTCTCCTGAGTAGCGGGGGTTACAGGCGCTCACCACTACACCTGGCTAATTTTTTGTATTTTTAGTAGAAACAGGGTTTCACCATGTTAGCCAGGCTGGTCTCAAACTCCTGACCTCAAGATGATCCGCCAACCTTGGCCTCCCAAAGTGCTGGGATTACAGGTGTGAGTCACCATGCCCGGCCTCTAGAGACATTTTTGGTTGTCATAACTTGGGCTGTCCAGGGGGGACATGCTACTGGCCACTAGTGGGTCAAGGCCAGATATACTGCTGAACATCCTAGCATGCACAGGACAGGCCCCACGACAGAGTCATCCACTCAGAATGTCGACACTGGTGGTTGGGACACTCTGCCCATAGTCGGCTCTGAGGGAGAAGCTTTGCCTTCTGGACTCTAAACCATGCCTGCTTCTCCATCTGCCTGGCTCCTGGCTCCTGGTGCAAGTCTCTGCTGCATCTCAGAGATGCCGTCTCCTAGCTCCATCATCTGTCCTCAGGAAGGTTCCCAGTTTGCTTGGCCTCCTCTGTCATTTGCAGCTGGGCCTGTTTACCAAGCACCTGCCTGACCGGGGTGAGTGCATACGGGACATGAGCAGCCCCTCCAGGTACATCTGCCCAACTTAGGTGCATGCATGCAGTCCTGGGTCAGCCCCACCAGGTGAACCTGCCTGACTTGGGTGGGTGCATGTAGTTCTGTGGCAGCCCCTCCAGGTGCCTCTCACCCAAAGAGAGCGAAGTCCTGCCTCTGCTGGGAGCTGTGACCCCAATTGTGTTGCTTCAGCAGGGGGTCAAGTTGGCTAGTCTTCCCTGGGAGCACGCCAGGGGGTGTGAGGACAGCGTCCAAGTGACAGGGAGAAGCCACTGACGTTAAGAAGTCATCTTGAACAATCCCCAAAATGCACAGTCAACTTATGTATAATTAAGAGTGAAATGCGGTTCCTAGTTCCTTTGTGAAAATAGTTGATAATGACCTACCTTCGTCTTAAATACACTTAATAAGAACCTGATGTGTTGATTGGTCTTTCTAAAGCTATGACCTTCATAAATTTAAGCAGAGAAAAAAGGTCCATCATGTTTTGTATTTCTGTTAGAGGAGTGATGTCTTATTTACAACCCAGCAATACTGTTTCTTTAGAGAGATTTCTAGTCCTTAAAGGCTGGGAGAGGAACTGGAGCTTCTAGTAGGAGTCAGTAAAATAGTCTCTTTCTGCTAGCGAAGTGTCCGAATATCGGAGTAGTCATGATTGTGATGAACTTGATTGCAGCGTGGCTCTGCATTAGTCCACTGGGGAGTGTTGGTTGCTCAGCCTGGGGTGTTACAAGATATTTTTTAAAAGGTCTTGTCCACATCTGTGTAATCCAACCAGGCTGACTTGCAATGTTGCAGACACACTTTTTTGCCCTGAGTCTTAGTTTGAGACAATTATGTATTTTCTACAGGTGCAGATGAAAACTATAAATAGCATATTAAATGCCCATAAAAGACCACCAGGAGACCTTCGACATCTGGGATTGGCTCATATTTCAAGTCTGACCCCTCCCCTTGGTTAAACACTGAATGATGTTTTCTCCTGGTTCTCCAGCTCCTCTGGGTGGGCCCATGAAGGGAACCTCTGGCTTCTGTGGTATACGCATTTGCCAGAGCTGCCGTAACAAGGCACCGAGACTGGGCGACTTAAACAATAGAGGTTGGTCGTCTCACAGTCCCGAGGCCAGAAGCCCCAGGTCCAGGTGCCGCAGGCCTGGCTCCCGCTGGGGCTGTGAGGGAGGCTGTGCTCGGGCCTCTCTCTGGCTTCATGGTTGCTGGTGGTCCTTCCCCCATCTCTCTCCCCATGGCCAGGTGGCCATTGTCCCCCATGCACCTGTTTCTGTGCCTCTGAGGACACCATCATATTGGACTAGGCCCACATACTCCGAGGTGACTGCCTCTCAGCTAAGCCCAGCTGCAATGGCCCTTTCCCAAATCAGGACACATTCCCAGGCACTGGGGCTGGACTTCAAGGCATGGATTTTGGGGTACGCGATGCAGCCCAGAACTATGCTGCTATTGGTCACAGTGACGCTACTCATTGCTTGCCAAGGAACACTTCTCCTGCTTTGAGCCATCCCCTTGCCTGAGAAATTAGCAAGGCCTCCCACCATGAAGAAAAGCAGAGGAGGCCTTTCCCTATCTCCCATAGAAAAGGGGGAGCACTGTCATCTTGGCACTTTTTAAAATATGGTGGTATCCTTGGGATGAGTTCAAAAAAACTATCTCCTTCCCAGTCTGCCACCCCAGTGTTTGCCACTGAGAGCATTGGTTGTCTCTAGCGAGCTGAGGGACTTGGTGAGTCCTTTTCCAGCAGCCGTCGGCAACGCTAGCCCCAGCCTTGCCGTTATTTCTCTTGGCCGCCCTCACTTCATGGGTCCCTTCTGCAGTCAGCCATCCAGTTCCTCTTCTGCCTGGTGAGAGTCTGGGGTGAGAGGAGGATGAGTTGAGCCGAATCTGCTCATGGAAAGGAAACACCCTGGCCGCTCACCTAAGGACACAGAGCAAGTGCTCTGTGGACGGGATGTGGGCGATCACGGCTGTGTGATCTGGATCCTGACTAGACTGAGGCCCCGGAGCGGCTCCGGCACATGGGTTACTGGTTCTTTCTCTCCCTTAGCCCTGGGCTCTCCCCTATTCCACCAGCCAAGGGTTGGGGTCACAAGCACAGGCTCCCAGGCCCCTCCTCCAATGTCTCAGTCATCTTGTGAAGCCCGGGGGTCCCTGAGCATTTCCAGACTCACACCCTCCACATGTGCGGGCCGGGCTTCAACACAGGAATTTTGAGGATACAATTCAGTCCATGAGACTCAGCATCTATAAATTACAGGTGTGCTTTAAATCTTTACTGGACGGAAGGCAGTCTCTTTGCTTTTGAAGCTTACTTTAAAAACAACTCCTTAGGATATTTTGGGATTGACCCCTGCTGATGACAGAGCTCTGTTGCACCATCCTGAGGGCCGTAGAGAACATCACGGTAGGAAAAATGCCATAGTTTACTTTTCCACTCTCCCACCAAGGAACCGTTAGATTACGTTCAATGTTTTGATCTTTGAAGCAGTGCCAGTGAGAAAGCTCGCACCTGTCTCCCCATCAGTGTGCGCCAGAGTTACACTCCCTGTCTAGACACGTCAATGTGAAATCGGCAGGCCACAAGATTTGCGCATTTTCAAGTTAATCTGCTATCGACAAACTGCTCTCCAAAGCAGCTGAATGCTGGGTGTATCAGAGCATCAGTGTAGTCAATAGCAACGGGCCAGAGTTTTTGCTTCTCCAACTCTCACCAGACGCAGCGTGGCGCTTACGGTGCTGTTTGTAGGAGCCAGGAGCTCACTCTCTGACAGGAGTGGACGCATCTTATTAACACATGAGTTAATGGGTTAATCTTGTTGTTTTTTTGATAGAGTTTCACTCTTGTCACCCGGGCTGGAGTGCAATGGCATGATCTTGGCTCACTGCAACCTCTGCCTCCTGGGTTCAAGAGATTCTCCTGCCTCAGCCTCCCGAGTAGCTGGGACTATAGGCGCGTGCCACCACAACCGTCTAATTTTTATATTTTTAGTAGAGACGGGGTTTCGCCGTGTTGGCCAGGCTGGTCTTGAACTCCTGACCTCAGGTGATCCACCCATCTCGGCCTCCGAAAGTGCTGAGATTACAGGTGTGAGCCACCATGCCCAGCCTAAAAAACAATTTGTAAAACAATGTATGGCGTTCTGAGTTGTTTAAAGAATTCTTTAGTAGCTCAAGTTAAAACAACCATATCATCTCCTGGATATCCTTTTGAACATTGTGGTTTGGTTTTTTCACATTCTGGCCTTTAACGCATCTTGAATGTATTGATATATATGGTATGAGGTTGATCAGTCAGTTGGCCGGCGCCAGTCGTTGCAGAGGCCATCTCACCCTGCTGTTCTCTAACAGCTTTGCCCTTTCGTGAGCCCCACACAGAGGCAGGCAGGTCTCCAGGCTCTGCTGCGCCCGTGGCACCCTCTGAGTTCTTCTAAGGCTAACGTAAGCACCGATATCTCCCTGCCAGGGCTTGTCTTTGCTTCTGTGTCTTTAAAATGGTGTTGGCTGTCCTTCAGCCTTCAAAATCACTTTGTTTTAAATTCAGAAAAAATCGTCCTTTTTGGATTATGATTTTATTAAATTAAATTTACAGATTGACTTTGGAAAAATTGCTATATTTACTGTATTAAGATTTACTTTAGTCTTCTTTTATATCTTTCAATAAAGTTACTCATCTTTTCTGTAAAGACATTACACATTTTTTTAGATGTCTCTTTTATAGCTTATAAGGTTTTTTCTTCTCTTTTCTCTCTCTCTCACAATTGCAAATGCTATCATTTAAAATTATTTTCTGCTGTATTGCCAAAACTGCTTTTGAATATTACTTTTCCATCCATAACCTTTCCATACCCTCTTATTCAAATTAATAAATTCTCTGTAGATTCTCTTGGATTCTGTAGAGATTTATACTATCTGTGAACCGTAGCAGTTTTAATTTATTCTTTCCAACTTGTTTACATTTATTTCTTTTACTATGTTCTTTATGATTTTATAACTTTTAACAATACTTCTTTAATACTCCTGAATATTGTTCATCTGTTCTCTGGAATTCTTGGCTCCATTTTTGCCTTTTTGTGTGTCCTCTGCCCATCGTGCAGAGTGGCGCTGCCTGGGTTCTGGGGCTCCTGGCTGTGCGTGCACTCGGAGGCCACTTCCTCTCTCTGTGCTTTCCCCGTGGCTCAGTTTCAGGTGGTCCCTTCAGCGGAGTTCTGGGTTTGTGACTTAGGCATGTTCCTGGCACCAGACCAGCTGTCACATTAAACTTCACCCTGAGCCACCCTTGTCATTATGAATTCACACCCAAACTCATGGAAGGCACAGGCCTGGCATTTTTAATTATCAGAGAAGACGTAAAATCCATGTATTGTTAACCTGAGCCCAGGACAAGTTCGATGTCTCCCGTCCTCTTCTCAGCTGGTCGGGGCTTTCGTCCAGGCTTTGCGCTCCCTGCTCAGGCCTCCCGCAGCAACCTCAGGTCCAGCTCTTCACCTCACAGCCGCCCCATCCTCCTTCCCTGTATCTCCAGCATATTAAAACCCAAGCTTGAACAACAAAAAGACCACCAGCCCAATGAAAAAATGGGTGATGGGCTTAAGTAGACATTTCTCCAAAAGAGAACTACAAATGGCGGAGAAGCACATGAAAGGCTGCGGCTGACCCCCTCCTAGGTATGTACCCAAGATTGTTGAAAACAGGTACTGAAACAAAAATACGCACACACTTGTTTATAGCAGCACAACTCACAGTCGCCAAAAGATAAGAGACAGCCCACATGTCCATCAATGGATGAATGGACGCACAAACTGTGGTGTAAACAAACAATGGCATGTTATGTAGCCACTAAAGGGAAGGAAGCGTTGACACACCCTGCAACATGGACGAACCTCGAGCACATCATGCAGAGCAAAAGAAGCCAGACCCAGAAGACCCCACGCTGTGCGGTTCTGTCTATACCAAATGCCCAGAGCAGGTGAACCCACAGAGACGGCACGGATTGCTGGTTGCCAGGGACTGGGAGGGCAGAGTGGGGAGCAACTGCTTCATGGGCGTGGAAGAGGCAGATGTTGGGAATTACCTGGTGACACGTCAGTGTGAATGCACTAAACGCCACCTCATCATTCATGTTAAAACGATCAATTTTGTTGTGTGAAATTCACCTCGATATAAAAAAAATTAAAACACAAAAACAAGAAATCTAACCTGGAAGATTACAGAAACGGAAAATGCCCCCAGGACGGTCTCAAAGTCAGTGCGGGGACTCCATTCTCTCTCTTCCAGTCCTCCTCATTTCTGGAGCCTGTGGGTTAATCCTTCCTTCTTACAACTCAGCTTTTCGTTGAACCTCCTTTTTTGTTGTGTTTTATCCACCACTTCTAGTGGGTGTAGCGAGATCATTCTCTGTCATTTCTGCCTGGCGTCTTGCTGGAAGTAGAAGTCCTCTAAGCTGTACTTTCTCCACGTATTTTTGCATGGACCTGGCCCCCAGAGCCGGATGGTAGAGGAAAGAGTGGTGAGCGCCCCAGCCTCCTCTCCAGCACCGCTGTGGCTGGGGAGAGGCACACACCCTCAGTGGCTTTCACAACCACCCTTCCCAGTGATCAGATAAAGCCAGCAATGCCCGCCCTCACTTCCAGTTCTGGCCCTCCACGCGTGTCTGTCTTCCTGACTGTCCACAGTGGTTCCTCCATCGCGAGGACATTATCCTTTGTGTTGTGTAGTCCTCTCTGTGCGCCTTTGCCTGCGCTCAGTCTCTGCCCCTTCGCAGTTCCGAGCTCCAGCCGTGGAATCCCAGAGCTCAGGCATGTGGGTCGACAGCATCGTCATGTGTCTGTGTGTGTTTCCACCGCGCTTTATCTAGAGAAGATCCCCGGGCTGCAGCCCTGAAGCCAGCAAGCGTCTGAAAGAGACGGTTTCTTGGCTGATGCTGCAGCCTCAGGTAGCTGATACTTCAGAACTGACAGAAATCCAAATAAAGCTGGCAGGTGTGGGGAGAGCTGAGCACCAGCGGAGGGAGAGTCGGGGGTCATGGAAACCAAATTCAGCCTTCCTACAACGTGGACCCTGTGTAAATTAGCATTTTTCTTCTTCCAGGAGCACATCAGTAAGATTAAAGAAAACCAAGGCCTATATTTTGTTTGTTATAACAAAATGTAACAAGTTTCCAGGATTTCATTGGCTGCACGCGCCTCGGAGTGTTCTCACTTGCTGTGTCCTCTGCTGCCATCTAGTGGTAGACGTGCAAATTTGCGAGGGAAACTTTTGGGCACTTAGAGACTCCCCCAAAACCAAAGGTGGAGCTCCTGAGGGCTGTGCATAGTGCGAAGGGGCCGGGGGTGGGGGGGGCTTTCAATGAGTGTGTATTTTTTGGAGGAAGGGCCCAGGGTGTTTATCAAAGCCATCAAAGCCATTTAAGAATCAAGACTGCCCCCCAAAGTCTGGGTAAAACCGTTTTAAATTAACCATTTTGGTAACTCCCACGTGATTTCAAAATGGTAAAATCGTAAAATTGGTTGTGTAGCCTAATTAAGTATAAGAAACGGAACTCTGATGATGCTGAGCGCAGGTGCAGGCTGGGCAGGTCACATTATCCTGTGTAAAAATATCCGCAGTGCCACCTGCCGTTTCTCCTCTGCCCTCCCAACCCTAAAAGCTGGAAGACGGGGCTCATCCAAAATAAAGGACAGCTCAGAGCTATTGAAGCACCTGGGGATCCGACTCCTCAGAGGTCACAGACAAGAAGCACACATGCCAGCGTTCTCAAAGAAGGGCGAGATGTTTTGGGGTCCTTTATGCTGCTGTAATCTGGGAACGCCTTAATTTTCCCCACATCGTCATCATGCTGATGTTCACTGATGGCTGCTGTCTGCTGGGAGCCCAATATGGGCCAGCTCATTTCTTTCTCCCACCACCCCTGTGTAAGGGACTGTCTTCCTCAATTGTACAAACAGGGAAATTGGGGCTGAGGAGTCCAATGACTTGCCTAAGTTCTGGTGCCAGGAAATAAACCCTGGCTGGCTGCTTGGGAGGCTGAGCTCCCTACCATGGTCCGTAGCATCTTGGGAGAGCTTAGCCACGTGGTGCTGGGATGGGTGCAGCAGCAGCAGGGACAGTCACAGCATTCTCAAAGACCCAGAATAACCAACGCCGGGACGCTCGCTGGGTAAAGACGGCTGCACCACTCCAGCCACAGCACCACTTGAAAGTGTCCAATTTTCTAGAATCCCATGCACTAATTTCACTGAGAAATTCATAGCTGATATCGAGTCTATCAACTGCCTGACCATGACTGTCTAAATGTGTCTTTTGAGGAACGTGCACAATCTTCAAGACATTCTGTCATCTGGTAAGCAGGGGTGCTGTGAGCACACGGAACACCTTTTGTGTTATAAAATTTGGCTGGCAGCTTTACTTGCAGTCCAATCATAAAAGACCCCTGAGGATCAAATGAATCTTGGTCATCCAGACTATGACCCCAAGTGCCGTGAAAGCGATGGTGCCTGCCTTTCACATTTCTCCCACAACACTGGGTCACTTTCTAGACTTAAAAAAAAAGATTCAATCCATATTTTTTTCCAAAAGGTTGGCGAGTATTTGTTTAGAAATTTCTGATAGTTTATTTCAAATCAATGAAACACACAAAAATATTTGTCTGACCACGTCCATTTATTTTCTGCAAGCATGCTTGGCTATATGACAAGTGTCCTCTTCACGGAATACCCCTGGAGGACGATCATTTGCACAAAGCGTTTTATGTCATCTCAACGGTAGTTTTTTTTTCTTCCTGGTGGAGCTAGCCATGATGATAATAAATTCATGTTAAACGTATTTTGACGATAATGTGGTCACAGGTATGTAACAGGATGGACAGACGAGGAAGGGGACAGTAGCAGATTGCAGCCAGGTGCAGTGGCTCACGCCTGTAATCCCAGTGTTTCGGGAGGCCAAAGCAGGCAGATCACCTGAGGTCAGGAGTTCCAGACCAGCCTGGCCAATGGTGAAACCCTGTCTCCGCTAAAAACACAAAAATTAGCTGGGTGTGGTGGTGGGCGCCTGTAATCCCAGCTACTCACGAGGCTGAGGCAGGAGAATCACTGGAACCTGGGGGGCAGAGGTTGCAGTGAGCCAAGACTGCACTACTGTACTCCACCCTGGGTGACACAGCGAGACTCCACCTCAAAAACAACAAAACAAAACAAAACAAAAAAAAACGAAAAGAAAGAAAAGAAAAGTGGATTGCTTCAGGAGTCAGGATTTCCTGTGGGGGCTCTGACTCCCCTGTGATGGAAAGCCCCTCATTAGGGCACACTGGGCTTTCCTGTGACCCCTCTTCCCCCTCTCCTCACCCCCTTCCCTGCCTCCTTCTCCAACCTGCACAGTCACAGATGCTTCAGGGGAGGAGATGGGATCCGTAAGGGGAGTCCTCTCCTCTCGTGTCCTGGATCGGAAAGGAGTAGTAGAGGAGCTGGGATTTCCTTCTGGAGCTGGAAGCTGCCCCTGTTCTCTGCCCACACAGGGTTGACCCAGACGTGGAGCCCGCACAGCAGGCTGACCATGGTGTAGAGAGGATGGGTGTGGGGGCCAGTTTGGAGGAAGAGAAGGGGTGGAGGTGGGAGGGATAGCGTGGCTGCAGAGTGGCTGGAGAATCCTCATTTAATGTCCAAGTCATTCCAGATTCCCCTGTTTAATTCAGGGGAGTTAACAACATTCTTAATGTTGTTTGCAAAGAAGAGAGTCCAGGAAGTGAGAAGGGAAAGACAGTCAGTGATTCTAAACAAGACAATATGAAAAATTTAGTAATGTGTCTTTTTATGAGGGACCCCAAGCACCGCATACCCTGGATGCACAGTCTCAGGTGTGTCCCGACAGCCGGGCTTAGTAGCGCCATCTGTGGGGCACTTCCTTTGAAAAGCTGGTTGCCCTGAGAGTAGGTCATGGAGTGGAATGAGGTGATAGGCGAAGGCACAACATTGCGGCACATTTGGGATTTTCATGCTATTAGGTATTTTTCTGTAAAAGCGTCATTTATGTTCCACCGGGTCTCACCATCTTTTTCAAGTTATAGAAACAGAATCAAACCTTCTTAAAATTGGCAATTTGTTGGCTCACACCATTGAAAGAGATGGTTTCTGGTGGGTCTGAATCCCAGCGTCCGAAGCTGTCGGCAGGACACTGAATTTCTCTTCCTCCTTGCTCGACTCCATTCTCAGGCAGGCACATTTCCAAGGCAGAGCAAGCACAAACCCCAGACTTAGGTCATCTGCCAGGCTGGCCATCCCAGGACAAGGGGGCTGACAGCTCTGAGGGAGCCCTGCTAGGGCCTTTCTCCCAGTGGTGGGGGGGCTGGGGGGTGGGGTCATTCCCACCTGGACTCCATGGAACTAGTGTCCCATAGAAAGAAAGGGAGTGCTTGCCAGGAGGGGAGAAGGGCTGCTGGGTAGAAACCCCACATAGGCTCACCATACATGCCCAGTACAATACAAACAGGTACATAAATGGCAAAAACAAGTGGTAAAGTCAGCATTAGCAACTGTATTCTTGCCAGTTATTAATTACCGTCCAGTTGGGAACATAAAACAAACAGAGCTATGATTCTCACCTCGATAAACCGGCCGCTCATCAGCTGTGTTGGAGGACAGAGGAGGTGTAGGCTGAGGCGAGAATGGGCACCCGCAGTGCAGGGGTTTCTCTCAGGGAAGAATCGCTGGACCCCTTTCCTCATGGCACACTCGGGAGAAGCCAGCCCCAAAGCTGTGCTCACTCGTGACAACCGAGGGCCATGTGAGGCAGCAGAGGCCGCTGGCATCTCCTGTTAGCCTCATTTCATTTAGATGGTGATTCCAACGCTCTGTCTTCTGACACTTGAACCGCAGTCATCAGTAGGGGCAAAGGAGATTTCATTTGAATTCTGGCTTCTTCCTTCATCTCTTATATTTCAGTGGGTATGAGCCAAGGAACAGAGAACAGAAGAGAAATGTGGCAGGAAAAGGCTAAAGGAGAAAGTAGGAAATGGAAATGTGGCCCCTGCATCACTGAACGTGCCGCAGTAAGGGTAGCCGTTGTCTCTGCTCTCAGCAGTCCTAAAACCACGTTGCTGAGTAAAATCTTCAGGTCACCTCCAAACCATGCTGGCCAAAAAGAGGCTTGGGAAGAAGAAAGGCCTCCTAGACACACGCGCTTCCGGGTTTAAGCCCTGGACCAAGCACGATTGGAATTTTAACTAGGTGTATGCGAGCGTATTACAGATGAAGATGAAATCTACAGATTAAAATAGCTGGAATGAGCCTCTTCCATAGACTAGAGTTTAGAGTCACCTGAAAGCATTTGCCTGCTCGTCACTGATGCGTGGCTTGGAAGATAAATGCTGTGCATATGGAGCTTGAAAGAGACTTTCTTTCCGTTGAGCTTTGAGGTTGGTGATGGGACACCATCACTTCCTTTGGCTAAATTTTAAAAGTTGCACAAAAGTCGCAAGTTCCTTTCTTCTGTAGGCTTTCACTAAAGGGCTTCCTGAACGCGAAAGAAACTCCTCCAATTACTTAAAATTATGTGGAGATTAATGTTTAGAAACAAAAAGCTCACAGGCCTGGTGAGTATGGTAGTAATGCCCTTGCTAATGAAGTTGCTGACTGTAAATACGTCCTGTGACTTAAAGGAATTCTTTCTTCGTTTCCATTTTCACAGGGCAAAAGTGACTCAGCTGCCTGCAAGACAAAGGTAGCTGGATCCGTAGAGGTAAGAAGCGTTCCTGTGGGTTTGTTTTTTTCCATGCTTATGTGAGTTACATTTTTTTTTTAAGTTAAACATGAAGTCTTTTTCAATTTATTGAGTTGTTTCACGGTGCCCGGAGTCCAGCAAGGCAAGGTGCGAAGAGCTTTTAGAAGGCTGGACCACTCCACAGGAAAATGTGAATTTTTTGGCATCCTGTGGGGAATCCGAGTGCTTTGTGCAGTAATGTCCTTGTACAGCAGGGGCTGCCTTGCGTGCTAAACTGAGGATGTCATCTTGCCATGCATTATGATTTGAGTTTGATTCTGAATCTCTGCATCACTTTATGTCCAATATTCCTTTTAAAACTACGACGTGCCTTCAAAATAAGCTGAAATTACCAGCGGCAGAAGGGAGCCATGGCAGCGAGGCAAACGTGGGGGTGCTGAAGCTGCCTGGGGCTGTGTCTGCCCTCGAGGTTTGCAGGCTGGTGGCCGACCAGCCTCCAGACTCTAGTGCGTGTGGCTCAGCAACAGCTTTTCTAGGAATTAGGACTAAAATAGATAATTTTAGATGGAGGTAGATTTCTCCTATTTCAAGCATCTATCTGGTTTTAATACCTTTATTAATAAGACATTTTTAAAGATAGTTTAATAGCTGTTTTCAATGCTTTGGGCTGCAACACTCAGGTGAAATGTAGTAAGTCGGTAGTCACGCCACATGTGGTTGTGACACCATGGGATTGATCATCCTTGGGGCCGCGCCTCTGCAGCGGTCACAGCAGGCTAGATGGGCCTGCTCCTTGTAGGTGCCAAACGGGTCATTGGAAGTTGGTTTCTGGTTGAGCTTATGTTCATCTACATTGATACGTTAAACTGCGCTGTAGTTCATTTGAAACAAAAATACTCCTGATTTTCTGGCAGCTTTCCTGAAGCTAAAAAGCAAAAATATAATAAGGTTAAAAAGGTCTTATGAGAACAGCATGAGCTCTGCCACAGGGGTCTTGCTGGGCAGTGGGTGGCCCTCGGAGCTGCCCAGGGAGGGCACTGCACAAGGATGCGGCCGCCTTTTCTCAGCCCCGTCGCTGGGGCCTGCAAGTCCCTGATGGGAGAGGCTGAGTCCCACCTGGTTTTAGGTGGTCCCAAATCCTGGAAGAGAGGTCCCTACTGCATTCCATTGCCCACAATGCTTGACATTTGAATTCCACTGTTTTACTTTTTCCATACTTGTGGTACTACTATCTGGGTCTGAACGCATTTTGCATGAATTAAGTTTCCTTATTGGACGTGGAACTTGTGTTTTGAACTGTATGGTTGATGGAGGCCATGCAAAGGTGAGGGGTGGGCACACAGAATCTCAAGCTGGTTCTGACTATTTCAGTTAAGGGGTTAAGCAAATGCCTGAATCCCAGTTTGGATTACATCCTAACTTAAATCAACTCAGCAAACAAGGTCTGCTGGAGTTGGAGGAACACCGTCTTCTATTCCTTTCTCATAATCTCTTGTCAGTCTGTTCCATAATCTGTCCAAGAAAAAAAGAGTCAAGCTGTAATTGGTGATTCTTAGCGAAACTTGACGTGGCTTTATCCAAATGTGTGATGAACTGTGTTTCTTGGCAAATGAAAAAGTTTTATTATTATCTGTATCATCCCAATCCACACCTAGCCTGGGCACTCCAAATAAAGATGATGCGTTCCAATACTGGGTGTTTCTCCTCTCTTGGTCATAGCAGTGAACATTGGGCCAATGGCACAGCCATTGGTCTGGTGGGTGCTGCACAGAGTTCAGGGCCAGGGTAGGGTGTGGGTGCCCTTGGAGAGTCGTTCCTTCCTAAATCAACAGCCAGGCCGGCACAGGCATTAACCGTAAGTTGCCATAGTTGGAACTGGAAAGTGTTCCCAGGAAAGCGGCTGTTTCTGCCAGGACCCTGTGTCCAGTCACATCCTAGGGTCAAAGCATGGGAGAACCCCCGGAGCCATGTGGCCACAGGGTCTCTGTGGGCTGAGGGCCAGCAAAATCCCCTCCACTGCCTTTAGGCCCGGAGTAGGTTAAACTCCTGGCAGTGTTTCCAGATTCACCTTGAATTTGATAGGCGGGAACCCCGTAGGTTCAGGATGAAAAAAGCAAATCAGATCTCACACAGCGTCACCCGGGAGCAGCCCAGAAGTCTGAAAAGGTAGGAAGGCAGCAGTGATTGCCAAGTGAAGGCTTTAACTCTCCCTCTGCTGATCATTCTGGTTTTGTTTTGTTTTGTTTTCCTCTCTCTCTCCCTCCCTACTCACCTCTCTCTGTACATATTTTTTAAAAGACTCTACAAAAGTTGATGTTCAACAGATTGTTATACCAGTCTCCTGCTGAAACTCCTAACACAGACTCAGCCTCTGAAGCAGAGGCAGCTGCCCCTGCCGCTTGGCTAAGGAACATTGGGCCGCTCACCAGGATGGTCCCAGAAGCGTGGGTGGCACTAACACAGCGGTCAGCGTCTTTCATGGATTTTGCCTAATAAGTCCTGCAAGGTGCCTCTAGTTTCACAGCTAATTGTATGTCCTCTTTCTCCATCATGATTTCACTCTTTATTTATTTGCCTTTATAAAAAAATCACTTTTAGAAAAGACACAAAGGAGGTTCCAGTTCCAAGGGGAGGATGTTTTCTTTTGTCCATACCCAACCTCAACCAGAACGGGGGGAGCTTGTCCAGGGCCACTGCTGCCCGCTGAGGCCCTCTCTGGGTTTCCTCCTCTTTCTTCCCTTTTCTTATGGCTTTGAAGTGAACACACATGCCCTGTTTTATAGAGCTGCATTGATCCATCATCTGTCGATTGGGTGGGACTTGAACAAAGAAAAAGTAATTGTTTCTCAGATTTCCTGGTATTGGAAGGACAGAAATGTGAGCACTCTTGTTATGGTGCAGTGGTGGCCAAGGTAGCGATTTTACATGTGGGGACACAGAGGCAGACTCCACAGTCGTGGAAAAATAAAACCCCCAAGGTTTGCACCCAAACAGTGAGAGCAGGCTCTGCCATGGTTAGCAATCCCCGCACACACTCTGTGGTGGCCGGCTGCCTGACACCAGGGTGTGTGTGTGTGTGTGTGTGTGTGTGTGTGTGTGTGTGTGTTTGAGGAGGTATTGTCTTTAGTTCTTAATAATTTGGGAAACAATATGTTCTTTTGTCAGGTAACCTGATATGCAAATAAAATAATGAGGTGACCCAAACTCAGTCCTTTGCAAAGCAACTTAGGGAGCTGCAGTGCGGGGGCTAAGCCTGGAACATTGTGGACGCTCAACACATTCTGGCCGAATGTTCACCCTTCCTGGGTCCCTTTGAGGCTTGCTGGCAAGTGGAGCGCAGTCTGAAGGGCTCCTGGGTGACAGCAGCAGCCCTCAGCTGAGTCACAAAATTAATTTTCCAAGTAGGATCCTGAAGGGAGCGCGAGCTGGCTTCTCTGTCCTTTTTGTCTTCCTCTAACCACGCTTTCACCTCTGGACCGCATTGATCTGGAGCACATTGATCCGCGCGGCCTTTGTGGTCTTGGTTAGAGGAGTGATTTTTCTGTTTTCCTCTGTCTTTTTCATCAAATCGTTCCGTGCCTCTGCCTTGCAAGCTGAAGCGTGTGAGACGGTAGTCGCAGTTGTATTTTGCTTTTTGATGGCGTTGCTCATGGGGAGGTGATAGGCGACATTAAAAACTGGGCAGAGTCTAGGGGATAAAATACAAAAGTCTGGTTCTTCAGTCTGTTTTCAGAGACAAAAATTCCATGGTGGAGCTGGCTTTTCCCACAGGTAGCTGAGCCCTTCCTCTTTGCTAGGGCAGCCCCCAGGTAAGGAAGGGACCTTCATTCACTCTCGTGGCGGTGAGTTGGTGCAGACTTCTGGGTGCAGCAGGGTTCGGGGGTGGGGAGGCACATTCTTTGGACTTGTAAACAAAGGCGAGGGAGGAGAGGCACGTTAGGCCCACAGGGCCACGCAGCTGGGTCCAGACACTGTGGGGCGAGTAGGGTGCCAAGGGAAGCTTCCAGAACAGGGGTGGCAGCAAAAGGAAATACCAGCAGCTAAAAAGGAGCACCTCGCAACCTCTGTGCTTCTGCGTTCCAGCCCCAAACAACCGCTGAAGAGACAAATTCTGTTTCATTCCTGTAGTTACTTGAGTCACTGGGTGGGCTTTCAAAATCTGTGCATTGCACTTCAGCAGAAAATAGTGCTGTAGTCAGAATTAGAATTTGAGCTAGAAAAATCCTTTGATTGAGGCCATACTTATAAATGTCTTTTTGGGATAGCTGGAGAAAAATCATTAATTTTAGGGGAAAAAACAGTACATCAAAGTTTTATCATATTCAGCTATAGCCCACCTCCTAACTCCCACAGAAACAGGCAAGATTTTTAGAAAAAGCTTGAAAGGAAAACACACATACACACAAATCCAAAAATTACCAAGGCTTTTCATTAAGTTGTACAATTATATGTATTTTTTCTTTTCTTCATTTTTAAAATAATTTCCAAAGAAATCTATATTACTGGTACAATAATTATATTTGAAAATTAAATATAATTGAAGTTATAGGCCTAAAGTTAAGGCTCAGCTTATCCTAAAAAATTTTTAAATAGCACTATACTCACTGGGTGATGATATGATACAGATTTAAGTTATTCAATATATCTTGGGTTTAGTAACATGGATAAGTGTTGTCTCTCAGGCAATTTCACCAATTGAAGGTATCCTCTATTCAGTGACATGAAAAGAAATATTCAATCCATTAATCAAACAAGTCACTGCCACTTACCAATGCAACCCCAAAGACGTCATCATGATAATTACACACCTCAGGCTACCCAAAGGGAATGTTTTGTTTGGAATTTGTAATTCACCCTGAGAATTTCTCATATCGTAATCACAGCCATTATGATATTGACCTTCAGTGAACTAGAAAGCGGGAAGTGTTTTGTTCCTAACAGGCTGGAGGACTGTGTCAGCGTGAAGGGAGTGTATACTCAACCTCCCTTCCCCTGTTCAGAAAAGCTGGTAGTCGCTGAGTGCCTGCCATTGCCCCAGCCAATTCTTCATAATCACTGTTTCTTTATATTACTGTGAGTATTGCCATCTTACAGATGAGGAGATGAAGCCTAAAACACCTTAAGTCGATTGCTCAGCTGTGCATGTAAAATGTGATGCTTAGCCCCACGCCTTTCAAAAAAGTAAGATGCTCTTTGAATTCTCTTCTTTAAATGCCAGCTCCACATCTTACACCTTCTACACCACTTTAAGCCAGCACTTTCTACATCGAGGTCTCAGAAAATAAGAGCTATAGGGAATGATGGTTATCCTTTATAATCTACGAAAAGTTAAACAAAGTCGTTTTCTTGTTATTACTGCAGGATTTATTGAGCCTCTATGTCTTGGAGCACACTGCGCCCGTCCCTGAGCTGCGGATGCAATAAGGAACCTATGTCACCCCACACTAAGCGGGCAGCAGGGATCTTGGAGGTGGGAGCAGGTGCGGGGGCCATGGCTAAGGAGGGCTGGCTGTGCTCGTGGCCGTGGGTCGTCACCACGCGTCCCGGAGCATCCTCTACTTGAGGGCCGGTGTGCTGGACGCACCTGCTGACCTGCAGCCCTGGAAACATCTGGGAGCTTCTCATGGCACTTGGCTTTGTGGAGTCCAGCGTCAGGAGCACTGTTTATGAGTCCAGAGATGCTGCACACACTACCCATGCTGGCTGGCCACGTGGAGGCTCACTCCAGGACTGTGGCTCTCTTCATGTGGCCTAACTTCTGGGTCCTTTCCTTGTTCAGCGTGGTGGCTGTTCCTCCTGCCACCTGCCCTGGAGCTGGCAGGGAGGAGAAAGCCCCAGGCTGGAGCTGAGAGACCCAGGCGGGGTCACCCCATTGGCCGTTTGGTGTTGGGAAGGTCATGCCACCTCCGTGGACATATGATGAGAGGACAGAACTCGGTAGAGATAACGTCAAGGCTGCCAAAGTGCTTTGTCGTTCCTGCATATGTGTGTTGATACACATGTGTGTGAACACACACACGTTGTGTAGTGTGTAAATGTGTGAAATACGTAACATGTGACTGTAGCACGTGTTTACGCAGGTGCTTGCGTGGCTGTAGGTGTCACCGCGGTGGCCGCTGTCCCAGTCCCTGTGGCGCGTCTTCCTCCCGTTGTCAGGGGTTGCGGGCTCATGGCTGCAGGCTCCTTGTGGTTTGTTTTTCACAGAGTGAGGGCACCCGGCTGTGCCTGGGGAAGTGCAGCCACACTCAATGTGGTCAGTGACAGGGACCCTGACCCCTTCCCAACCCCCTGCTCCTTGCCCCACTCTGCTTCCCCATCTAGGCCTGCGGCATGGCCTCCTCCAGCAACCACCCCTGCCCGCCTTCTCACTGTGGCTGGATTTCACTCCTTCAGCTTCATTGAGCTGCCTTGTGAGGAGGGAAGCGCGGGCCCCGTGTTGTTAGACCTGATCCCCGCGTTCCAGCACCTCCTCAGAGCTTGCCGTTCTCGACACCTTCCTTTAGGAAGCACCCTGCTCCTCGGCCACCCTGGGCAGAGCCTCCCACTCTTCCTCCCGCCTCACAGTCTTCCTTTTCACGCGCCCCCTGGTGTCCTTCCCTCTGCCCATCACTAAAATGTCGCTGGCCTTAAATGACCCTGACCACACTGTGCCGGGCGATCCCAGGGGTCTTCCCAGCTCTGAGCTGGGGCTCAGCCTCATTTCTCTCACCCTCTCACTCACGCCCTCCCCAGTGGGAGTGGAGTCCCAGCACCGCGTGGTCCTCAGAGCCGGCAGCGATGCAAGGCACAGGGCACTCAGAAGCCCCGCACATGGCAATTCCTCACGCTCACAACTCCCCAAACACTTCGCATTCTTTCTAGCCGAACAACAAGAACCCTAACAGAAGCTGCTTTACAGCAGGTCATGGACAGTGTTGTGTCTGCCACACAATTCAGCATTTGGTGACGGACATAGACAAGGCCGGCCGTGCCGTCATGGATCTGAAAACAATCTTTAAAGGACTGCTGGGTGCACCCCTCTTTCTCGAGGTACACGGACAGGCACAGCTCTGGTTTTGCTGGGATCGTTTGCAGTTGGTTATTATCATGGGGCCCTTGGGACTTGATCTGTAACAGCGAACTAACAAGGTCGTCGCCGTTCATCCGTGTGGTGCCTCACTACTTACGAAACGCCTTTTCTCAATGCTCTTATCTGTACAGGGAGGAGGTAAAGAAATTGACAGCTCTTTCTTAATTAACTTTTGGTTTCCAAGGTTGTTCCCCCAAGGAAATCCAAGGTTCCCTTCCTTGCTCCTGTTTTTGCTTTGCTTTTCTTTGGTAAATCGTTATAGAATACTCAGTATGTTCTAAGCACCTTGCAATGTGAACTCATTTGACCCTCAACAACCAGATGAAGTAGTCACTCTCATTGCCGCTCTCTCCCATTTTACAGATAAGAGCATGGAGGCAATTAAGTTGTACCAGGTGACACAGCCAAGTAGGGGAGTCATGGATTTGAACCGAGCCATGTGGCTTTAGGGTCTTAACTGTGATTCTATGATGCAGACATTTGCTGAAATCAAAGATAATTTACTCTTGCAGTTTATTTTGTGGAAATAATATTTTTCCATTTTCTTAATGTAACCCTTTAATGACTCCAAAAGAATTTAAAATTATTCTTGGCTTTGCTTTTTCCATGCTAAGCGAATGCCATCTAACAGGCTTCAGCTAAGTCTGGAAACCAAACCTGTAAGGCAGGAAATGTGGTTCCTTCTGTGATCCTGATACTACTGCTAGGACTTCTCAGTTACTGGGTCCCAAATATTTTTAGCTTAAGACTCTGTTGGAAATGTAATAACAATAAATCACAGACCCCACCTTGTAGTAGCTATATTTTTGCTATCCACGCATTGAGGAGAGCTGCTGAAACCATCAATGCCTTCCAAAGGAAACTGAACTTTATTCATGCTTGCAGCTGTTATCACAGAAGCATGTGAAACCGTTTCTTTGACCTACGGAGAGTCACCTATGTACCTGTGTTTCCACCTGTGCTCTGCAGTAGCCTCGGTGCCCACAGGCCTCAAATCTCGTGGTGCAAGGCTCAGGGTCATGGCTTGCTCCGCTTTCCTTGTTGGCTCCCAGAAGTCGGGGCAGAAGTGAAGGTCGTTTCCTGGGAGTGGACAGGATGGGAAGGTGCTATTCTTTCTCCGTGGAGCTGTTGATTTATTTACCTGTGAACTGGGAGCAAACAGGACTTTCATGTGAGGCTGAGTCTCTCAGGGACCGTGGTGCACAGCAGGTTGTAACCCTGGTGCCGGCTTACAGCCCAGTGCGAGATCCTGTGTGATTCGAGATCAGCTGCGTAAGGGAAAATGAGGCCAGTTTCCCAAGATACTTTCACTTAAGAACATGACTTTACACACTCCATGTGCCAGGGACTACGCCAGGTGCCGTGGGGGAATTTGAACTTCATATTCCGTCCTCCGTTTAACATGCACACACACACACATATGCGCATAGACATACAAACACACACACGCACACTGCATGAACACACACATGCATACCAATTGCTTTGAACGGTGCTAAGGTTGAGCTGACATGGCTGAGCGGTAAAGAGAGGCCATGATTCGGTTTTGCGTCTGAGGGAGAATGTGGTAAAATGTGGGGAGACTGAGGGAGGGGAGGACGCAGGGACACCACTGTCCTAGTGCCTGGGATGTGTGGCCTCTTTGGGCCTCAGTTTCCTTTTGGTGAAACCAGTACCTAAGGTTTCTGCCACTTGTCTTGGTCCAGGTGGGACAGACCATGTACCTCTGTGGTGACACCAGGGCCTCCACGTGATAGAGCCTGCTTCTCACTCCTGTCTGCAAGGCTTCTTTTCCATGAGGTCACAGGCAGGGTTATCCTCGGCCACTTTCTGGGAGGTCCAGGGGGCTGGGAGACGAGGCTGCCCCATCTGGAGCTTTACCCTCCCTGGGCTCTTTGTTCTCGCCATGAGACTGGGGTGCAGGGGATAACTTGCGCCTTCAACGCTGCCTCAAATGCGAGGAGACACTTCCCTTCCACTCCATTCCCAATGGGGAGGACACAGCCGTGCGGTCCCACCTTCCTATCTCCCCGGGGCCTAGGAAGGGGAAAGGTACAACTCACTCCCAGTGATGTCTTCAACACAGGCTAAAATCATCCGTCTGATTCTCTATGGGTCCAAAGATATGGAAGTGAACTACTAGGTTTTTCAGAGGAAGACACAAAATATTGCTTCCAGGCTGAGACGCTGATGGTCTAATGGAAACACGAAACAGATGCTTTCCGCTGTGTCGTGGTTGTTTATTCTTTGGGCTGAATTGTGTGAGCGTTTTGGTTCTGCTGCTGGAAGGTGGATGCTCACCTGTCAACAATAGCAATGCTTTTAAAGCCATAGCCAATACACAGTAATAGCTGCTTTTCACCAATTAGCCAGAGATGTTTTCAAAATAATGTCTTTAAAAATGTATTTGGTAGATGAGTAAGCCAAGATTGTTATGATGATTTCCCCATGGCATAAAATAAAAGGCAGCCAGGTGTGGTGGCTCATGCCTGTAATCCCAGCACTTTGGGAGGCTGAGGCGGGCAGATCACTTGAGGTCAGGAGTTCGAGACCAGCCCGGGCAACATGGTGAAATCCTGTCTCTACAAAAAATACAAAATTTAGCCGGGTGCGGTGGCTACTTAAGAGGCTAAAATACAACAATTGCTTGAACCCGGGAGGCGGAGGTTGCAGTGAGCCGAGATCGCACCACTGCACTCCAGCCTGGGCAACAGAGCAAGACTCGGTCTCAGAAATGAATAAAAGGCAATTTCTTGCCATCATCACCACGACAACATTCAGTTCGCAAACTCACATCCACCTGCAATTAAATGCCATTAAGAATGAAGGGTTTCCATTGCAAACCCACTAGCTCTCACATGACCACCATTTAGCCAGAGACCAAAGGCCTGATTTATTTTGCTAATGCACTTTCAAAAGTACCAAGTCCTGGAAAATTTCCTTTTAATTCTTATGGAAGTTTGGATTGAATTGTATTTAGGATAACTGTAAATACAGATACCAAAACCCAAATGACTGTAGGTGAGGATTATTCGGACCCTTTGTGCCTCCATTTCCCCCATCCGATTCTTCTTTCCCCAACTCAGTATCCATGCACGTTGCCATCAGGTTGGAAATGGGAAGAGGGATTGCCAGTGAGCAGGCTATTTCAAGCGATTCCAGCAAAATATGTGGTGCAGGAAAGATGAGCATTTTTGGCCGAGCCATTTTCAAGCTTTCCGTGGCTTGCACTGATCTAACCTATGCTAGTTTCCTGTTGCCAGGAGCGATAGAATCAACCTGGAGTCCTCACAGTCTCAAACCAGACCGCGATGGGGGTGGGGGCGGTGCCCACATACTCTGTGCGATGATCTTATCACTTTGACATTCAGTAGATCGCTTTGGTGAGTTCATCTTCGATGTAGTTCAATTGCTTTGCTTGACTTGGGTATTTTTCCTTTGGAGATTAGACCAGCTCAATATATCCTCGAAAGAAGATGTTTATACAATTGTAAACACAATTTCTTAAGAAGCCTTTCACTTTTACTCTGTGTGCAAAATTACCTAAGGAAATATTTGTTCACCAGAATGAGCCCACCTTCCTCTCTCCAAATCGCCATTCCCCAGGTGCCCCTGATTTGCCTAAGCTGGGAACATTGCCCTACATGAGCTACGCATCTTTGCCAACCGAATGAATAGGTTACAGATAGCCAAAAGAAACCTTCCGTTTTTATTCCTGTGTATTTGAAACAATACCAGGGCCCCAACACCACACCCTCAAACAAAAATTTAGTAAAAATTTCTAAATCTCAATCAAGCCTGAATACTACATATTTTAAAATTAAAACAAAGTATTTGTGAAGGACCACAGAGTTAAGTTTTCAGGAAAATATTTTATATTGTCCTCCTTCGACACTCAGAAATCCCCTGCAGTAGGGCTTCACCAAGCACAAACCTCTCTGTACAATGGTGGGAACGGCGCTGCGTTGACCGCTGGGCGAGGATACGGACTCGGCTGCGGCTGTGTCTTCCGCAGGAGCTGAGGCTGCAGCCAGCGGTAGACGGTATGAGAAGACGCCAGCAGTGTGTTTCCAGGAAGCAGGAGTGCCTATTTCTGTGAAAGGCTGCACATATATTTTAAGATCCAGCATTTTCAAAGAGGTGAAATGTGGATGTGGATTCATTTTGGAGAAAAGAAATAGAACTGGGATTGTTTTAAAGCTCCTGATGATTTCACAGAGAGAAGTCAAGGCTGAAACACACCAGCAGTGCTGAGACTCACATAAAATCACAGAGACGAAATTTCGTGAGACTAGAAAGAGCCTTATTTTCTATTAATCTCCCCGTGTTATTATTTTGGGCCAGCAAAAGTAGCAAAAGGTAATTGAGAAATTTTGGAAGACAGAGGCATTTTCTTCTGTTGCCATAACTTGGCCTGTGAACAAACCGTGCTCTATTCTCAAAGTAACAGCTCAGAAGTGTGACCGTTCTGCTTAGAAGTAATATTTGCCAACGGCTCCAGAATAGAAAAAAATGTGTATATAATGGCAGATGTATGGCATGTGTTTCTAAAAATGTTACATTATAGGTTCTTAATAAAGTTCCCATAGTGGAAAGTAGGGTTAATAAAAATGATCCCTTAGAAAGTCCCTCTGAAGGACTGACCAAAGCTCCTTTCAGTTGTTATTTACCTGAAGTATGTATGTATCTGTGTAGACGCAGACCTGCACACACAGGCACACACATGTGCACACACACACACACACGAATGCAACATTGACCTGGATAAATGAGTTTTAATCAGCTCTGCATTCAAGGGAAAGAACATACGCCATGTGTGCTCTGGAAGCCACGAAATGGGTGAAAAGTTGTTTTGGTAGAACCCATTTCCTGAAATAGCAACCACTGGAGAAAGGACGATTGCACTTCAACTATTTCTGTCTGATTGGGAAGGAAATATTCTTTATCTCAATGTCTTGGAGTAAGGAAGGGATGGACAGGGCCCCGTCTTTTAGCAATGCACTACCCTAAATCAAGGTCATTTCTGTCCATTTCAGTCTTAAATTTCCTCTTTGCCTTTGCTTCCTTCTTTTCAAGTCCTGTGTTTTTATATCTGTTTATTTCCACACCTGCATCCTTAGCCGTGGCCTCTATTGTCTGTCACCTCGAAGGCGATTGTCAGTTGGTAGGTCTCTTCTGTTGCATCTGTAGGTTTTCAGAGGAGAAAGCTATTTATGTATTAACAAGAAGCTATACCAGTAAACAAAGGAAACTCCGCCAGTGTCCTGGGTCTGACTCTGAACCTGCCGCCTGTACTCAGCAGCTGCCAATCACACGGAGCCCTGGACGCTTCTGGCAGAACCAAGGCAGGGCTCCATGGCAAGTGAAAGCAAGAAAGGGGCTGATGTTCTGGAAACATGGGAATTCAGTTTTGATCAGGAAAACAAAGCAAATGTTTATGTTAGCCAGAGAGGACATATTCCGAGTTAGCCCGGGAAAAGCTTGTAGAGAGAACGTGCATGCATGTGCACGTGCCTGTGTCTCTGGGGCGGAGGCATCATCTGGAGGGGTAATACAGGGTGATGACATCCTCGCACCCTTGGTGTGCATTCACTGACCCAGCGCCACCTAAAGAAATAAGCAACCATTTTCATTCACCTTCCTCCTACGCCTGCCTCCTCCTTTCAGTTTAAATGACACAGAGAAGGACCGAAGTGTCTTTTCATGCACTGCTAAGGCACGTTGCCAGCCTGGCTGTGGGCAAGTGGGGGCAGGTGTGCGTTGAGGAGGACCTCAGGCCTGCCCCTCAGAGTGTCTTTGATGGTTTCTGACATTTGATTGCCTCTAAGTGACGCTTCTGCTTTGCCGGCTTCTGCCAGATGTTGTGTTCCAGCCTGCTGGGATTCGGAGCAGCATGAGTAACTTCGCATTCTCATCAGAGGAGAAGGCCAGCCTCGGGGCTGAGGTTTTCTCAGCTTCTCTCCTTTGCTTCTGAGTTTGCAAAGCGGGGGTTTTGTCTGCAGCCAGAGTTTTTTCAACTCACAGCTGGTGCCTGTGAGGGGCAGGACTCCCGGCTTGGGAATCTGTGGCTGCCTGGAGAGGGGTGAGGGGAGGGAAGAGGAGGTGTGCGGGGTGGCTGCCTGGTGACGAGGACGGGCGCAGCAGCCCACAAGGTGATAAAAGGAGTGGCGGCTGCCCTGGCAGAATGGCTGGACGGCAAGGGGAGCCCGGCCCCCGGGACCTGGGGAGTGCATCATGATGATCAGGCTGCCACACAAGAAGCTGCAGAGACTGTTCCTCAGAAAGGTAAGGGAGGGCTCGCAGGAAATGGGGGTCCCAGGGAGCTTGGCAGTTTTTATTTACTGCTGGGAAATCACGGGTGTGACAGAGCTTGGGCGGCCAGGGGCAAGCTGTTTTCTGGGCGGAGTGGAATCTCACAGATCATGAACACAGGTCTCGGAGCGGTGCCAAGAGCAGGTCCTCATGTCTGGCTGAAGTTTGCCTTGTTTTTAATTTATCTTGTGTTTGAGGGTGTGTTTGAGCCCAAGAAAACTTAATGTTTCTGTTCCCAAGTGTATTTTCACAACTGAGGGGAAGGGTGTCCGTAATTTTTCTGCAAGTGCAGAAGCAAAGGGGAGAAAATATGACAAAGCTGACGTTTATTTTTACTGTTACTAAAAGGTAAAGTTTTGGGTGAAGAGAACCAACTCTTCAAGAGCTAGCAGTTTGCCCTTTAAAAAATTGTTTCTGCTTTTTTTTATGTGATGGTGAAATGTGCGTAAGATTTTTCAGTTTTAACCATTTTTAAGTGCACAGTTCAGCGGCATTAAGTATATTCACATTGGGCAGCCACCACCACCGCCATCTCCGCGACGTTTTCATCATCCCAAACTGAAGCTCTGTTCCCATTAAACACTCCTCATTCCTCCCACCCTTGAGGTTGCCCATTTTATTTTACTATTTATTTTTATTTTATTTTATTTTTTGAGACGGAGTTTCGCTGTTGTTGCCTAGGCTGGAGTGCAATGGCGCCATCTCGGCTCACCACAACCTCCGCCTCCCGGGTTCAAGCAGTTCTCCTGCCTCAGCCCCCTAAGTAGCTGGGATTACAGGCATGCGCCACCATGCCTGGCTAATTTTGTATTTTAGTAGAGATGGGGTTTCTCCATGTTGGTCAGGTTGGTCTCGAACTCCTGACCTCAGGTGATCCACCCACCTTGGCCTCCCAAAGAGGTGGGATTACAGGTGTGAGCCGCCACACCCAGCCGAGATTGCCCATTTTTAAGTGAGTTAACCCAAACGTGTTTATAATCATATGTAATCAGAGTGCATCAGATTAGGATCCAAACCAGGTCATGCTAATTGCTCCTACAATCTGTTGAGAAATTGCTGTTAAGTGTAACTCATGTAATTCTTTTTAAAAAGAAAAAATATGAAATACAGTGTTCTAGAAATCACTGACAGACCCATGGGTATGACATTATTTTGAAAGAAAATCTGTGACTTTCCAACTGTGTGCACATTTTGTTTTTGGTTTTTTTTTGAGACGGAGTCTCGCTCTGTTGCCCAGGCTGGAGTGCAGTGGTGCGATCTCGGCTCACTGCAAGCTCTGCCTCCTGGGTTCACGCCATTCTCCTGCCTCACCCTCCCGAGTAGCTGGGACTACAGGCTCCTGCCACCACGCCTGGCTAATTTTTTGTATTTTTAGTAGAGACAGGGTTTCACCGTGTTAGCCAGGATGGTCTCCATCTCCTGACCTCATGATCCACCCGCCTCGGCCACAGAATATAATTTTAAGGAATATTTATATTTTATTTTGAAATTACTCCTGAAATAATATTATTTTAAATAATTATATAATGTGAATGAAAGTTGTTTACTTCAACTTTTGGAATTAAGAAAACTGAGCATAAAGAAAACAAGTGGCTTATCCACACGTGACAAGCACAGACAGGTCTCTAAGTGTGAATTCCAGCTCCTTACCCAGCTCAGCCCTGAGTCCGTTACATCTTGACATCAGCTTCTCATGCAGTTGTTTGCTCTGATTTAAATAAAGTCACATCAGTGGGGGTATTTCCTTACCGACACCCCGTCTTACGTCCGAAAGATGTCAGTAAACTTACCTATATTCCATACAAGGCTAAGCTAATCCATAAGTGCGTTTGTTTAGGTGAAGGAAAGGAGGAGGTAGGAAGCTGGGCCGGAGCGCAGCAGCCATGGTGCGTGTCGAAAGGACCCCCAGCCCTGCGGAAGGTGGGCCTGGGTGTGATTCTGAGATTGCTGGATTCTCAAGGAGTGGAGCGCAGCAGGGCAGACTGGAAACATAAAAACAAAACAAGCAAAATAAATAAATAAATAAATAAACCCCAGTTGTGTAGGTAAACACATCTCTTTCTGTTCCGAGCCCTGTAAGAAACATCTCCTGCTGGTTCTCCTGGAGAGTTCACCGTATAAAGGAGTGAACACCCTGAACAGAATGCATCTAGGAGGCCCAATGCATCTCTTCATAAGGTTTTTGCCATGCCCGGGGTTGTAGGCTGGGGCGGTAAGGCTAAAACGGAAAGCAGAGAAAGCACTCCTACTGGGAATCCACACTGCAGAGACCAGCAAGCTGCCCTTGGAAGATCTGCCTTTACCCCAGGGGCCATCTGAGGCCACCTAGAAGTATGCGTGGATGCAAACCTCCAAGCCACCCTTCACGGCTTTGGCTGAGGAATCATACATTTGTTGGAATTCAGTGGCCCTGGGTCTGGGCTCCTTGACAAGCACAGGATTATAGATTTTCTGTGTTCCAGGTTACGAGGAGGGGCTCGTGGAATCTGGAAGCTGGAAGGGGTCATTGAAATCACAGAGCCCAACCCCTTCATTGCACACATGAGGAGGCTGAGGCCGAGAGTTGAGATTCCTGACCCAAGTTCACCCTGTGACGAGTGAGCGACAGGGCAGGGCCTGAACCCGCCGCCCTGGGCACCCATCTCAGAGCCCTTCCCTGAGACCACAATGGTCAAACATGGCATTGGGAGGGTGCAGCACACCAGCCTGAGGACTGGGAAAGGGACCTCTACCTGTCTACACTAACCAGGCCTTGTCATTTTCCGCATCTGATGCTTTGACATTGGTGGGGAGCAGGGGGAGGCTTGCTGGCCCTGGAGAGGCTGCTCCCCCAGGGTTTCTAATTCCCAGACACAGCAGGCAACTCACCCAGGAGTGCACTTTTCAAATGCAAACCAGAGCCCACCCCCACCACCTCCTTTATGGACTCTCACGCTCTGGGCCACATCCTCCTGCCCTAATCCTCCCAGGGCCCAGTACCAGCCAGCGAGGGCAACCCCCTGTGCAGCAGGGCCCACGGGAACTGCCCTTACCAACCAGTCCCATGCAGGCTCACCCTGGCTCACCTGTTCCTTCCCTGGAAGCCACGTGAAAGGCCCCTGCCCACACGTTCCTGCACCCCTCTGCCTCCAGACAGGCTCAGTGCATCCCTGAGTGGTCCCCAGGGCTTGGCCCCCTCTCTTGGGATCTGTGAGTAACAAACTCTCTTTTCGCTGACAGTTGTCTCCTGACCTGTTGCCCTGCCACACCTGAATAATAATAGAGCCTAAGTTTTAAAACACTGTCAGTTGTTTTTAAAACTGGTAGCTTTTGTGTATTCAAGATTCTTCCAACATACATGATGTGGGAAATGCAAAAATAGGTGAGAATTGTGCCTGAGAAACCGTTCCAGGCACTGAGGCGGTCCTAGGCAGTCATCACTGCATGCACCTCGGGCCTCAGGGAGACTGAGGTCTTGTGTGGCTGGGGCTCGGGGCTGGATTCTCACGGGAAGACGGACGGCACAGGAGAGCATTACAGATCAAGTTCAAGCATGGCCAAAGGCACTTTCCAGAATTTGGGTTCCTCATCATGCTTGTGTTGGGTTAGTACGTTTCTGACAGTCGTCTCTCTTGAAATTTCGGGAAAGTGGGCATCTTCTTGTAGAGGATCCCAGAGCTCTTGATCTGTTTTCTTCATTATTAACCGTGATAGCTCATGGGCAACGCAGCTCAGTGTATTTTCCCAGTTTCATGGTTGCTAATGACTGTTTAACAACCACAATAAGTGTGGTAATAAGGGCTTTATTATAATAACACCACACATTAACACAATCTAAATAACAGTCAAGATGTGTTTGTAGGGAGGTGACAAACTTTCATAATAACAACAGTTAACTTTATGTCCCTGTGGATGAATTTTTAAACTGCTGTGTGATTTTATTATCAAACACATCCGAGTTGCTGTGTGTGTTTGTTTTTGCAATATGATGTCATAGTATTAATAGATAGCTGTGGAAGAACATGTAGAAAGGTCAACACAGTGATTTTTATATAAATATAGGACATTTTGTGTTCATAAGACAAGAAAAAAATTCCAACAGCATTACACATGTTTTAAAGTATATTATTGATTCTTTACAGAGGTTAATTTTCTGAAGTTATAACTAAAATTTTATTTTTAAGGAGTTTAGTGAAGAATGGACAGAGAAAGTCAGTTGAGTGCTGCTGTATAAGCAGAGGTGGCGTCTCCTTGTTCAGCCTGAGGGGGACTGTTCTTCCCTTGCGTAGATTCTTCTTTACTGGGTGCTCCGGTTATACCAGCTGGGGACTGGGGTGAAACCATGAACAAGATAGATGGAGCCCTACATCTGGCTTAAGTCTGGCAGGACAGCCAGCCCCTTTGCTCTAGGTAAACCACACACTTCCTACAGAAACAGGGTCACCAGCAAAGAGGAGTTTGTTTTTAATGCCCCATAAAGGGAGTGGTATCTTGTTTCTGCCCTCTGCAGTGACTAAACCCACAGAATAAATTGCTTATAGTCGGTAGGAATGGGCCCTGCGTTTCACAGCAAATAAATCCAGGTGCAGAGTTAGGGGACAAAAATATTTACCTACTCAGCAGAGTATACAAGGCTTAACACAGTGGTTAGGGAGTGGGCCACCATTACCCCAAGAGTATCCATCTACTTGATGCAGATTTTACCAAGAAACCAGCAACAACAAGCACAAAACTATGGGGAGAGTCAGGGGGAGAGGCTAACAACCACATAAAATGGTGTGGGGACCGCAGGTGGGAGAACCAGGTTGTGATCCGTGCTTTTCCTTGGGAGAAATCAATTAACTCTGTTAGTCTCAGTCTTTCTTTCTTTTAAAATACAAGGGTTTGAGTAAATGATCTCTAACACCAAGAATCATCCTTTTCTATAATAACCTTAATCATCATTATGGGTCTATCATCTCTGAATTAAATTAAATATTTAATAACCCATTAATGTTCTTAGCTAATGTCAGCTTTTGAAGTGACTGTATTCCTATATTTTTACTAATTATAAAATAAGATTTTGAAAAATCTCTCTCTGCCTTTCTGTCTCTTAAGGTTTCTCTTTCCATTCATTCTAAATTGCCTCTCTAGACTTCAGTGTGTCCGCTCGCTGTTGAATGTGAAGCTGAGGTTGGTAAAGGATGTGTACTCTGGTCTTGCTCTGCGGTGACTGTGGACGCGCTTCACAGCCCTACGTTTCAGAGGCTGTTCACTCTGTGTGATGTCTTCATCATACTCACAGAGGACCTGGGTTGTGGCTATACCGCCCATTGGCTAGGCCGGCCCATCTGGAAGATCACAGGTTATTAATGACTAAAATAGTTAGAAACGATGTCTTTATTTAAAATAATAAGCATTGATTTTATCTAATTTCTAACAAATGCACATGAGACATTGAATACCCAGGTACAAATGGACCTGGTGTCGCCTTTGAGGTCTCAGGTACTCCTTGGCTGGCCTGTGCTGGCCCCTTTGTCTTCTGGGGCCCCTTTCTCCAAGGAGTCTGGCTTCTGTGCTCCACGGAGTCTGGCCTCTGTGCTCCATGGAGTCTGGCCTCTGTGTTCCACAGCGTCTGGCTTCTGTGCTCCACGGAGTCTGGCCTCTGTGCTCCATGCTGTCCTTGGTCCACAGGGCCTGACCTTGAATCGTCATGAAGACATGTTCTGCTCATTCTGTAGATTTCCTAGAGTCTGTGCCACTGTTTGGCTTTGCATAGAATCCCCAAATCGGCTGACTATTGGACTTCACTAGGATGCGAATGGTGCAAAGTTTGATCCAACTGGCTGTGGTGGAAAATGGAAACTTGTGGGGCTTCGAGCAGAAAATTTGGGAATACCTTGATTCCAAGCTCAGACACTTAGACCCCTCTTTCCACGGCTCCAGTGGCGGCCCAGCCGTTCCAGACACCTAGGCCAGCAGAGAAGCCAAGCCTCAAGCCCCTGTCGCCATCTGTTATCTGCCTTGGGCTGGCCGGCCTGCACCTCCTCCACGCCCTGCGGTGCAGCTTTGCCTCCCCTGAGGGGTTACAGGCTCTGCTCAGCTGCCTCCTGCTGCAGAGCAGACCACAGCCCAGCTGGCTGACTCAGGGCCAACTCAGGGGAAGCCCTCCTGTGACTGTGCGTTTGACGGGACCCTGGCAGCTGCCGTCCCTGGAACTCATCTGAATTCCTGTGTAATCTCTGCCCCTTCCTGAACGCACCTGGCCAGAGGGCGCTGGTCTTGCCTCCACCTTGGGAAGAACAAGCAGGCGGCTTGGAAGCAGGCTTTTTGAGGTTTCAGGGAGGAGCACGGGGCTGGCAAAACTTCCGGCTGACTTGGGGAAGTAATGCTGTAAGATCTTACTGCTCCGCTATTTCACCGCTGAACCTGGAGGCCTGCCGTCACCTGCAGCTCGGGGGCACTGCGTGAGGGTTATAAACTTTGTGAGGTGCTGAGTTAGGGGATGCAGAGGCCAGCTTCGGTCACAAAAGCACACTTCACACTTTCTAGAGTGTCAGCAGCCTCACCTCTGTTTAGGCAAATAGAATTTGTCCCCTCAGAGAGTTGTGCTTTTCCTCCTGAATATGATCACAGTCTACGCAGCAAGAGGGATGTCTTAGCCCTTGGCCAGTTTCTAAATGATTCCAAGGAGCAGAGCTTGGATTTACAGAATTTCCCATTTCCATTGCTTTAGACCAATTCTCAGCTAGAGTTCCTGACCTCCTCAGTATGATCCTTGTCACTCTTCTCTTTCTGGTGCATGAGGGCTGGAGACTTCCGTGGCAATGTCCCAGACCAATGACACCCATCTGTGCTGCGTGCCTGGCATGTTCTAGGCACAAGGGATGCTCAAGGAGCTCGGGCTCGGGTGGCACCTGCGGTCCTCAGCCACAGTAGAAGGGAAGACAGCACAGATGCAGAAACCCCCGTTGTGACAGAGTCAGAAGAGGCACGGAGGGCAGTTCCTGGGCCAGCAAGCGCAGAGCCTGGGCATGTAGGAAGCAGCCAGGGATGTCTGGGGATTGACAAGTACAGGCCCCGGAAAGGCGTGTGTCTGAGGAGGAGGAGGGTCAAGAGGGGCTGAGGGAGACTGTGTGGGAGGAGTGTGTCACAGATGTGCGTGCACTGCGTGGGGTGACTCGGGGCCTCCAAGGCTGGTGAGAACTCAGGGAATCCCAGGGACCTCTAGGGTTGGGGTGGGGCCCTGGGCTGGTGAGCACCCCCCCAGGGGAGAAGCTGAGGACACAGGAGGGGAGCACGCCCGATGTCTCTGCAGCACTGCAGGGCACGCTAATCCTGTATGGCTCACAGAACTAACAAAACCTAGGCGGATGGAACCGCCCTTCACAGTAGCACAGAGTGGGGCTCCAGGAAGCCAACTTCTCTCCGGCATGGGCACCTCAGGGGCACTTGGTGCGGCCCCTGCCTTCTCCCAGGAAGGCCCCCTCCTCCCTGCCCCTCCCCGCTGACTCAAGCCGGGCTGGACTCAGAAGGGACATGCCAGCTCTGCTTCCGATGCTGACTGTGTGGCCACCTCCACCGCCCTCTCTGTTTTCCTCACTCAGTATCCCCCTTCCCCTTGCCCAGCCTCCTGCCTTAGTCTGTGTGGTGGAAAGGGGGAAGGAAGCTTTGGGAGGAGGAGGAGGAGGAGAGGCCAGGCTCCCGCTGCAGCTCCCAGCCAGGCAGTGCAGACATTAAGGAGGATGGAGATGGGGACCTGAGGAAATGGGGGCCTGAGGAGATGGGGGCCTGAGGAAGAGGGGCCCAAGGGGATGGGGGGCCTGAGGAGGTGGGGGCCTGAGGAAATGGGGGACCGAGGAGATGGGGGCCTGAGGAGGTGGGGGCTCAAGGGGATGGGGGCCTGAGGAGGTGGGGGTCTGAGGAAATGGGGGCCCGAGGAGATGGGGGCCTGAGGAGGTGGGGGCCTGAGGAAATGGGGGCCCGAGGAGATGGGGGCCTGAGGAAATGGGGGCCCGAGAAGATGGGGGCCTGAGGAAATGGGGGCCCGAGAAGATGGGGGCCCGAGAAGATGGGGGCCTGAGGAGGTGGGGGCCTGAGGAGATGGGGGCCTGAGGAGGTGGGGGCCTGAGGAGGTGGGGGCCTGAGGAAATGGGGGCCCGAGAAGATGGGGGCCTGAGGAAATGGGGGCCCGAGAAGATGGGGGCCCGAGAAGATGGGGGCCTGAGGAGATGGGGGCCTGAGGAGATGGGGGCCTGAGGAGGTGGGGGCCTGAGGAGATGGGGGCCTGAGGAAATGGGGGCCTGAGGAGGTGGGGGCCTGAGGAGGTGGGGGCCTGAGGAAATGGGGGACCGAGGAGATGGGGGCCTGAGGAAATGGGGGCCCGAGAAGATGGGGGCCCGAGAAGATGGGGGCCTGAGGAGGTGGGGGCCTGAGGAGATGGGGGCCTGAGGAGGTGGGGGCCTGAGGAGGTGGGGGCCTGAGGAAATGGGGGACCGAGGAGATGGGGGCCTGAGGAGGTGGGGGCCTGAGGAAATGGGGGCCCAAGGGGATGGGGGCCCGAGGAGATGGGGGCCTGAGGAGGTGGGGGCCTGAGGAAATGGGGGACCGAGGAGATGGGGGCCTGAGGAGATGGGGGCCTGAGGAAATGGGGGCCCAAGGGGATGGGGGCCCGAGGAGATGGGGGCCTGAGGAGGTGGGGGCCTGAGGAAATGGGGGACCGAGGAGATGGGGGCCTGAGAGATGGGGGCCTGAGGAAATGGGGGCCCAAGGGGATGGGGGCCCGAGGAGATGGGGGCCTGAGGAGATGGGGGCCTGAGGAGATGGGGGCCTGAGGAGGTGGGGGCCTGAGGAAATGGGGGACCGAGGAGATGGGGGCCTGAGGAGGTGGGGGCCCAAGGGGATGGGGGCCTGAGGAGGTGGGGGCCCAGGGAAATGGGGGCCTGAGGAAATGGGGGCCCGAGGAGGTGGGGGCCTGAGGAGGTGGGGGCCCAAGGGGATGGGGGGCCCGAGGAGGTGGGGCCCCCATGGAGGCTGATCTGCCCCCTCTGCCCAGCATCCTCCAGCCCCGCACCGGCATCTTTCCCGGCGCAGTTCCCCCTCACTAGCCTGTGGCCAGGATCAGATGGAGTCATTTCGCTGAGGCACTCGGTGGAGTTTCTGCCGGTGGAAGACACCGCAGAAACACCCATTACTTGTTAGTTTTCAGGATTTAGCTGTTTCTCCTGCCTGGGGAGGTGGTGGCGCTGGCAGTGGGAGCATGGAGCCGGAAGCCTGGCCCGCACTCCCTCCCGGGCTGCCCTCATCCCGCCCTCCTGAAGACAGCACGTGCCACACTCCTCTGACCAGCTTCCTCTACGGTTGCTGCTAATTTCCATTTTTCAGAAGTAATCTCTTCGCATGGTTCTAAAGTTACAGAGTCTATACAAAAGTGACAGGATAAGTCTCGTTCACCCTGGTCACCACCCCCTGTCCAGCATTTGCCCTCGGGACAAATGAGACATTTCCAGGCTCCTGCAGATCTACAGGGACCGTTGGCACATTCACTGGCATGGGCAACTCAGGGCAGAATGTCAAGCACACACCCCTCTGCACAGTGCCTGTGTCTGCTCTGTGTCCGTACACAGCCGCTGCCTTCTCACAGCTGCAGAGGTCGAGAATCTGCTGTAAGAGCTTCAGGAGGAGGCCCCTGTGCCATCCTGTCTCCTGCAGAGGTCGTTTGCATTGGAAAGGAAGCACCCCAGCTAGGCGTACCCATGGGAGTACAGTCAGGCAGCTTGGACCTGAGTTCATCCTCAGCATCCACGCACACACCAGCGCTGCTCTGAAGCCTTGCTGTAAAGAGCACACCAGCTATGCTGTGTGGCCACCTCCACCGCCCTCTCTGTTTTCCTCACTCAGTATCCCCCTTCCCCCTGCCCAGCCTCATGCCTTAGTCTGTGTGGTGGAAAGGGGGAAGGAAGCTTTGGGAGGAGGAGGAGGAGCGGCCACACATAGCTGCACAAAGCTGGAAATCTGTGAGTCGGGCTTGTGTCACTAAGACATGCGATGTGCATTTGTGAAGGATGTTGTAGAACATTGTCGGTGTGCAAAAGTTTGAAATAGCCTCTAAGGTGTCTTCCAACTGGGCCATTCTTCCATTATGGTTGAGTGCTCCTGACAATCCTTGAGGCAGGCAGTATCTGCGATACCAAAATACATATATGTGCTCTTTCTTCCCATTTCCTGAACCCCTTGGAATCGGTGAAGTGATGAGTGTCCTTTGTACACGAATGGGAGGACTGGTGGCTGAGGGCCCCTGAGTAGCTTCAGGATGGGGGCTGGTCACCCCAGAGACCACAGGCAGGATTAGAGGGTTGAGACTTTCATCCCCACCCCCAACCCCCAGGAAGAGGAGAGGGGCTGACGGTCAAGCTTATCACCAATGGCCAATGATTTGATAAAGCCCGTCTATGTAATGGAGCCTCCATAACAATTCAAAAGGACTGGGGCTGGGGAGCTTCGGATTACTGAACAGCCGGAGGATTCCGCAGGGTCGTGCTGCCCAGAGGGCACGGAAGCTCCACACCCTTCCCCATGCTTCACCCCATGTCCATCTCCATTTGGCTGCCCATCTGTGTCCTGTAATATCCTTTACAGCAAACCAGCAAACCTTAATAATGTGGTTCTCTGGGTTCTATGAGCTGCTCTAGCAAATTAGTTGAAGACAAGGAGGGAACTTGAGGCAAATTAGTTGAAGACAATAGGAACCCCTATTTAGTTGAAGGAACCCCTTCAATAGGAACCCCTATTTAGTTGAAATTAGTGGAAGACAAGGAGGGAACTTGAAGCAAATTAGTTGAAGACAATAGGAACCCCTATTTATAGCCAGTTGGTTAAAAGCACAGGCTACAGCCTGGGGCTTACGACTGGCATCTGAAGTGAGGGGTAGCCTTCTGGGACTGAGCCCTCAACTTGTGGAATCTGAGGCTATCTCCAGGTCGGTAGTGTCAGAATTCGAATTGAATTAAAGGACATCTTGCTGGTGTCTGTGCAGAACTGATCGGTTGCTGCTGGGAAGAAATCCCCAGGCACTGTGGAGACTGCAGGTGAAATGTGGTATTGCCTGAGAGTACAGAGTAGGATAAACACTTTGATAGGTCTCCAACATATGGTGTCAGAGTGTTGGGTTGACTGTGTGAGAACAGGAAAACACACGCTGAGTTTTCCTGTGTCCTTATCCCAGATACTGAAATGGGAAATTAGCCTCAACAGGTGAGTTTGGATCCAGTCACATGACTGGTAGGTGCAGGGGTGCAGGAGCTCAGAGGAAAGCTCGGTGTTGTTCTTATCACATGGCCTTGCCTGCTCTGGGGAGAGCCTGCATACTCCAGCTGGGTGTGTGCGTCCCAAGGCACTGGCCACTCAGCTGTCCACTGGCTTCTTTGCTGAAAGGACCATCTAAAGAAATCTGTAGAGGCGGAAGGTGACCCGGGCAGGAAAAAGCGTGTCTCAGTAGCTGCAACACGGATACTTCTTAGAGACTCACAGCAGCACCGCTGGCTCAGATGTGAGCGAGTGATGTTCTGTGTTTCGTTCCTCATGTCCTCACTGGGCAACCACAGCAGCAACATTAATATTCTGTTGGGCCTGACAGCTCTTTTCCAAATTAGTCTCTATTTTTTGAGTCACCAGTTGTAGAGACGATGGATTCTAACCTCCACATTTCGGTAGATAATTTTTAAACCATGACACACTAGGGAGTTGTGGCAGGCCTGAGAGTCTCCTCAGCCTCACACACCCGAGGTAGATAGAACAGTGCTGCACGTGGAGCTGCCAGCTCTCAGCATTTTTGCCGCAGCGCCCAGGCACTGTTGTCACCCCCTCTCGTTCTCTGAGTGAATATTGGGTGGAAACCCAGGCTTTGGGGTTCTGTTGTTATTATAGGCTGAACTGTGCCCTCGCAAATGTATGTTGGAACTCTAAGCCCAGGACCCCAGAATGGGACTGTATTGGGAGGGAGGGTCCTTAGAGAGGTGATGAAGGTAAAATGGTCTTGAAGGTGGGCCCTTGTCCAATCTGACTGGTGTCTTTATGATAAGAGGAGATTAGGGCCGGGTGCAGTGGCTCACACCTGGAATCCCAACACTTTGGGAGGCCAAGGCAGGTGGATCACCTGAGGTCAGGAGTTCGAGACCAGCTTGACCAACATGGTAAAACCCCATTTCTACTAAAAATACAAAAATTAGCCAGGCATGGTGGCACACACCTGAAATCCCAGCTACTCAGGAGGCTGAGGCAGGGGAATCGCTTGAACCCAGGAGGCAGAGGTTGCAGTGAGCCGAGATGGCGCCACTGCACTCCAGCCTGGGCAACAAGGGCAAAACTCTCTCTCAAAAAAAAAAAAAAAAAAAAGGCCGATTAGGACACAGACACACACAGAGAAAGGGCCACATGAGGACAGGGGGAAGGACACTGTCTCCAAAGCCAAAGAGCAAGGTCCCCCTAGAAGCCAACCCTGCCAACATCCTCATCTCTACTTCCAGCCTCCAGAACCGTGAGAAGTGAATGTCTGCTGTTCCAACCACGAGCCTCTGTTATTTGTTACGCAGCCTGAGCTGACTCATACAGCCCAGTGCACCCATGAGGAAAGGCAGGCAGAGGTAGACTCCATTCCCAGAGCCGGGGAAGGCCCAGGCCCCCTAAGCTTTAGGAAGGGAGGGCCCAGTACTGAGGGTGCTCCCTCTAGTGTCTTCAACTGGAGTCAGGTGCAGGCTCGCGACCCCACCGCCGCCAGGGACGTGGAGTGCCGCTTTAAATCCAGAGCCAAGCCCAGGCCTGCATGCCCCCAGGTGTCATCTCCTCCTCTCCTGGGGCCTGCCCTCAAGCAGATGTTGCAGAGGTCTGAAGGGGCAGCGCGGGAGGACCCTCGGGGGTGTCTGGGCCTGGCCCACAGGGTGGGCCCTGCTGCACGGGTGCGCGGCTCTCCAGCCTGGGCCCTGCTGCAGCGCAGTCTCCTCTGAGGCAGTCCCTGGGGGCTGAGGCCCAGCACCGTTTTTTCTTAAGTCTGTCGCCATAGAGCCTGTGTTTTGAAAGGAGTGCAGGCCCCCGGGACCCAGCCTACCCCCAGAGGCCTCAGCGGGCAGCAACGCTCCCATTCCCCTCCGACTCCCCGGGCCCGGGGCCGCGTCTCAGGTCTGCGGCGAGGCCAGCATGGCCCAGAGGCACGGGGAACCCCTGCACACGCTGGCCGAGGCCGGTGCCTTTGCCTCCCAGTTGGAGAGCCAGGGACCCTGCCACCAGCCCCCAGAGGCCACTGCATCCACAGGGCTGGCTGTCCTCAGAGACTTTTTAAAAAGGAAAATCCAGGTCGGTGGATGGAATTTCATGAATGCAGAGTGCTGTGTGGAATGGAAGGGAGTGACCACACTAGCGTGGGTGGGTGTTTACCCCTGTCTATGGGAGACAGAACTTCCTAGGGGATACTCAGGTGCTCAGGGTATGAATTTGAGACACGGGTGGGATGGCTCAGGGCCCCAGCACTGCACTCGGTGGTTGACAGGAAAGACAGATCTTCGGAAAGTGCCAGAAGCTGGATTAAAAGGGAAAATATTCAGACCTCTCATTGTCTCACTCTGTGTTTCTGCTGCTAAGGGAGATGGTGCCGTGCACTGACCACCGCCAAAGCCCTGTCTGCCGTGCACTGACCACCAGCCAAAGCCCTGTCTGCCGTGCACTGACCACCAGCCAAAGCCCTGTCTGCTGTGCACTGACCACCAGCCAAAGCCCTGTCTGCCGTGGGCCTGGTTTGTTAACGTTCTACGGGTGAAAAGTTAAAGAGAAGGCAGAGAATCCCTCTCGCAGGATGCATGGCGCCGCCAGGGGCATAAAAATGTCCTAAAATGCCCGTGTCAGTGTGTGCATGTCTCAATATACCAAAGGGTTACAAGAGACGGCGGTAGCTCCCCGGGGTGTGGAGAGGCCTCCAAGCTCTTTGTAGATTAGGTGGCACTGTTGTTATAGCAACCAAGGACCAGCACTTTCTGCTGATGTGTAAGTGTGTGTGGCCTCAAGCACCTGCCCAACTGTGTCTTTCATGTTCCACACTCATTAAAAGCCGTGATGTGGCTAAAGTCGCTGAAATTGGAAGTGTGCTTGGGTTTGGGATTGTTCTTCGGCCTGGTTGCTGGGCGTTCTGTGGGCATGTTCACGAGGGCAGTGTTCTCCAGCCCTTCCTGGGGGAATGGCACCAGGGTCCTGGCCTGTGCTGGGCACCATGAGTTTGAAGTCCCGCAGTGTGAGTTTTCATAGCCCATCCTCAAAAGGAGAGTGAGCTGTGAAGTTTCCTTTGTGAACCGTGTTTTGGTGACAGTTTGCAAGTTTAATGCTGGCTGGTGGGGGCCACGGAGCTGGCCTCGGCTCCAGGGTCTTGGGCCAGTTGCTAGAGAGATATGCAGAAATCAAGTACATAAGTGCTAGTTTGTGTATGTGTTGCAGCAGGCCATTCTTGTCCTCTTTTGTTACCAGAGTGTCTTTGGGGAAGTGCGCTAGCTGCTTTCATACCAGTATTCTAGCTCTGTGACAAATGTCTTGGGAAGAATTCTGCTCTCTGGTAGGTGGATGATTTTGCGTTATTTCAGCGCCATTAGTCAGAGCAACTTGTGCCTCCATAATGGGAACGCTCCCGTTCTATGGGGTCTGTTTGTGTGTCTGGCTTCTCAGTGTTTTGCAGGCACGGACGGGACACAGAGTGCTCCATTCACCTGTTAACAAAATAATGAAAAATCCCTGCTAGCTTGGAACTAAGAGTTAATGAAATGATGCATTGAGCAGACATTATGAGTAATAAAAAGTATGCAGTGTGGCATGTTGGTGGGTGCAGTGGAGAGAAGCACAGAAGAGGAAGGTGTTGCTGGGAAGGATGCTGCAGGAATGAGAGGCGGATGAAGGACCTAGGATGCAGTACAGCTTAGAGCCGTCCTCCCCTCCCGTGGCCACCGCAGGGAGAGCTGCCACAGCTCCTCGTGTTTGTGTCAGGAGGAGGCAGAAGGGAAATCCTCATGGATTTGGTTGCAGGTTAGCATTACTTTTTGCATTTTGCCACGCAAATGCATTTTCTCCTTTAACTAGAATCATAGGTCTGTGTCTCTCTTATGACACAACTCTGAGACCCACACCGGAGAGGATACCACACCAAGGGTTCCCTCAGCAATAAATGTTTTCGTGAGAAATCAGAGAATTCAACATTTCTTCTTGAAGAGATTTCTTCTTGAGCTGCCTTTGTTCACTCCTGTGCGTGGACAGACATTTGAAAAGCCCTGTGCACACAATCTGTGCAGAGCATTAGTGATGGGGCCCTATTTATTTCAGTGTTAATGGTACTCAGCCCAGGGCTGTTGGCCTGTCTTTTTTTGTTTTGTTTTTTGTTTTTGAGATGGAGTCTCGCTCTGTTACCCAGGCTGGAGTGCAGTGGTGTGATCTCAGCTTGGCTCACTGCAACAGCCGCCTCTCAAATTCAAGCGATTCTCCTGCCTCAGCCTTCTGAGTAGCTGGGATTACAGGCGCCCGCCACCATGCCATGCTAATTTTTGTATTTTTAGTAGAGACGGGGGTTTCACTATGTTGGCCGGGGTGGTCTTGAACTCCCGACCTCAGGTGATCCGCCTTCCTCGGCCTCTTAAAGTGCTGGGATTACAGGTGCGAGCCACTGCGCCCGGCCTGGCCTTTCTTGAGGCAGCTGTCAGGGCTGGTACGGTGAGAGCAGAAGAATGCTGGAAACGGGGCTACCCAGATGGAACTCCCAGGAGAGCAATTTTCTGGGGTTTCTGTCCCTTCCGTTAACCTCACTCTTGGCCCTTGAAGGCGGGGCCCTGGAGGGCTGGTGAAGAGCCACCCATTGGGTATGACTGCTCGTGGCTTGCATACTTAGGGTACACATAAGCAGTGGGTGATCCCTCAGCACAGTACTAAAGGACACCGGGGCTCTAATGATCCTAATTCAATCCGTTGGTCTGTAATTAGAGGCTGTTAAATTATCCACTTGAGTGCCGGTTTAATATTTATTTAATTTTTGTGCTTTCCGTTTTTCGATGTGGCAGGAAATTAAATATAGGAAAGTGCAGAGAATGATTTGACATTCAACACTCAAAACTTAGATATAACATTTGAGTCCCTGGCGAGCCAGAATCACATTTAGACCATGTGCCTCAGATCATGTTAAGATAAAGCTGACGTTCCCTTTGTAGAGCTCTCAGTGGCACCCACCACCCCTTCCTTTCCCACCAACGCCATCCACTGGCTTGAATTCCGTGTGCAAACCTTCTTATCCACGTCTTTACATATAAGCAATGTATGCATAAACAATGTGTATAAACGGTGCATAGAATGGCTTTGTGTGTTTAAGTCTCATCAATGGAATTATACTGTACATGTTTTTCTGCAAGCCATCTTTTCTCCTTCAGGTGTCACTGATTTTGCTTATCTGTACCCCTTTGGATGAGCGCCTGCATTACCTCCTCATCTGGGCTGTTGAACGTTGCTGCATGTGTCTGGCAGTTGTGCATGTAGGCATGGAGCCGTGTCGTGACATACGCGCATTTCCAGTTGGTACTGCCAATTACCCTCTGTTGTGAGTTCTGTTAACAGAGGGGGCACTCCTTGATGCTTTCAGACATTTCAAACGTTTTGCCCACGCAATGCATGGAATATTTTCATCTGCATTTTCCTGTTACTGGTGAGGCTGGGTATCTGTTCAAATATTTACTTGGACATTTTGGTTTTCCCATTTGCGAATTGCCAGCTCATACCCTTTGTTTATATTTCCACTGGGTTACTGTCTTTTTGTTGATGGTCTTTATAAATTCTGGAAATCAGTCCTTTGTCACAAATGCTGCAAACATCTTCAAAGAGTTTTCTATCTTTAACTTTGTCTATGTGTGAGTTCTTTTGTAAGAAGAAAGTTTTTAACTTTCAATATTTTTGTGCTTTTATTTTGAATTTTTTAAAGAAGCTATTCCCACTTAAGAACATAAAGACTGGGTTGTTCTTCCTTATTGTTAAATTGTTATACTCAGTTTGATTTTGTATATGGAATAATATAGGAATCTAATTTCATTTTTCTGATAGAAAGGCTCTCCATGGATTAATTGCACAGCTGATCTTTGAGGAGTCTGTTTTCCTCTCTGCTACTTTGATAGATTTTAACTGTGTTTTGGGTACTGAGAGCCCCCCAGTCACCAGTAAAGTAAACAGATAATAGGTTGAACATTATTTTCAAAATAAGCAGTAGGGCAGCTTGTTCATTTTGAATCATAATTTTTAACAGTGCTGGACTTAATCCAGATGGTTTCTCAGGGTGCAGCAGAAGCTACCACAAGGTAGGTGTCTCTGGTGGTCAGACCACACCCTAGTCACTGTGTCCAGTCCACATCCTGTCTTCTAAGGGCAAGAAGCCACGAAGAGCATGTTCATAGAGAATGCTCAGGGACCAGCTCCTCACCCACTGGGACATCAGGGCCCTGGGCACTGGTGTGTGTGCATAGCACAGGCCTAGCCCTGGTAGGTGTCCCATAAATATTTAATGAATACTTAAAGCAGGCCCTGTAGGAAACAATGAAGGTGCTGGTGTCATCCACATGAGAGGAAGAACACAGTAAGAAGGCAGGCTTTCCAACACTTGGCTGTGTTACGGAAAGGGGTTGGGCTTGTCCCGACTGCCCTCCTGATACCACGGGACCACGAGTGGAAGCTGCACGGAGCCAAGCCCCGTGCACACTTAGCTCTTTCAAATCCAGAACTTTGGAAGATCCAGTGGCTCCTACGTGGAGATGTCTCTCCCATCACCGGAGTCTTTTAGGCGGAGGCTGCATTGGCACAGACAGAGGGATTTGCAGAGTGTGATTGGTCTCAATGACCGTGGGGTCCCCTTAACCTGATATTCCTGAATCACACGACACCCTCTTTTCCTGTCTTTTCCGTACCCGCTCTCTCATTCGGTTGCCTGACTTAGACACTGAGCAAAAGCTCCCAGTGAAGCCAACAGACTCCCAGCCTGCTCTGTGAGCTCACAGTAGAAACGCCAGGGCCCGGATTTTAGAGACGAGCTCTAATGGGAATTCCCTTAGTGGGAGGCTTAAGGGTTTCCACAATGTCTAGGGTTGTGCTTTCACTTAACAGCTGTGCTCAAGTAATTTAGTTAGGGATCCTTACCTAGAGGGTTTCCTAGAGTTCATATTTCTAAGTTTATCTGCTTAAAGTGTTTTTGCATTCCAGCGTTAGCACTGTGCAGATTTAAAACTATTTACATATGGAATAGCACCATGAGAAATATCAAAGAAAAGAGGAAATGTTAAAATTGTCAAAGCCATGAGTTTAGACAAGTTAAATCTGAGTGACTCACTGCAGATACTTAGCTTGTCATGAATTTTATAAATATTTGCTAATTCTTGTAAATTTTATTTCTGATGTTAGGGTGTTTTTCTCCACCCTCCCTGTGGCTTTAAGAATTACTCTTGATTTTTCCTACAGTTTCCAGTGAAGCAATATTGCTAGCATTTGTATTCAGTTGTTCACATTTGGAAACCTATAGGTGTTTTCAGGAGCACTCATCTTGCAGACATGCACACCTGGATATCTAGGCTGTAACTACATATTTGCTGTGTAAAGCTTGGGAATGTTTCCCAAGAGCCATTGGCAGGAAATGATGGATGGCCTCTAATGTCTCTGGAAATTTTCTTAGTGGCAGATTCCATTGCTGGACTCAAGCATTTCTCTATTAATACTTTTCTTTTGCAACTCCGTGGATTGATATCTTTCCAGTTCTATGTGAAAGTTTGCTGTCTTCCTGGCAGACGTCATGGTATCCAGTGACGTCGTTTTTATTTAAAGCCATATTCTCTTTCTTCCCATGTAAAATGGGAACAATACTGGTAACATGTCCAGGGCCATGGGGACAGTTAAATGAGTCAACCTAGTAAGACAGTTACACACGCCGGGCTTGAAAGGCAGTGCCTGCCTCCAAGGTACTGTGCAATCTCCTTGTGAGTGTCAGCTGGGGCTGCCTGCCTGATTCTCGGTCCTTGTCCTTGTGATGAATTCCTCTGTTTTGAGGGTCCACCTTGGCCTTCCTGCTGTAGGGTCTCTGCTCTTGGCCTTAGACCCTTTTCTTCTCCCTGGACCATCCCCCCGAGGCCTTCCTTCAAAGCCCCACTTCCCAGCCACCTCCCTGCTGCCTTCCAGACCACTGGGTAACCAACTGGGGAATTCACTGGATGGGTTTCCAAATGTTGGAGGACTTCCTCCAAAACAGTGGCTTTCAGGACTGTTTGAGTTATAATTACTCTTTCTGTCATTTTATTTAAAATAATAATAATGAACTGGAGATAACCTATGTGTACATTCATACAGGATTGGAATATTTAACAATAAAATACTAGCATTCAATATGTTCATTGATAGGGAAGAAATATCCACATGTACTAAATGCAAAAGGCAGGTCATGGGACAGTAATATAGCAAAAATAGTACTTTAATTTAAAAATGAATACAATATGGTATGAATGCATATAAATTCTAGGAGGATGTAAACAATATTAAAAGGATTCTCTCTGAGCGATGGCATGACATTTTTATTTTACTTTGTATACTTTTCTGTATGTTTTATTTCTTTCACAATGAGAAATAGCTTCGTTTCATAATCAAAGTTATTTCTGTTTATGAGAAAATAACTAATACAGATTTAAAAATAACCAAAGGGATTTGAGTTTAATTTAGAGTTCGTCTAAACAGGGAATATACTATTTTGGGTACGGCATTTGTCAAGTTCAGAACCGTCACCAGAGTCCTTTATAGCATCACAGGAGTTAGATCCATGGCCCAGGTACCTGGGGGGATTATCCGGACGTTAGCCTGGAAAGCTGGGAGGGGCCCCTCAGTGAATGTCTTAGAAGCTTAAAAGGAGTCAGTAGTAGTTTCCTGTGAAAAAGCTCATTCTGTTTTTAATTGAACAATTTGCAAAGGAGACGTTTAGAATTCTCTTTAATGCCTCTGGAGTGTGATGCTTATCTCTAATTTATAGATTTTTCACTGTCTGCTTGATGCTGATTATAAATGAGTAAGGCGTGCGTCATTTCTCGAGGTGTCTGGCTATGCATGCCTACAAATCTAAGGGAGACAATTAAGCACTTTTTAGAGTGAAAAGCAAACTGGTTACCTACCAATTATCACACCAGGCTGCCGCTGGGGTGAAGGGTCATGGCAGCCACACGATTTATTAGGGAGAGACGCCAATAGCCTTGCAGATTTATTTGCTTCTAAATAATATTACAAGTGTGATCTGGTTCATTGTAGACTAAACAGAGAATAATCAATATTTGGCAACTGATGAGGAATGTCTTAAAAATTGTGTCTCTTAGCCAGGATTGCAGGAAATTGAAAATCAAGGACCTCGTTTGTGACAGTTGACAAAGAATGTGCATCTATCTTTTTGCGTCTGTAAAAAAGCGTAGGCTCCATGCGCTTTGCCGCTCTCTTTCCCTTCCTGCCCCCTTTTCTCCCCTCCCAGCCCCTCCCTCCCCACCCCCTGCATCGGTTATGGTTCTGGGAGTACATGTCTTCAGGGATTTTCCCATTTTGTCAATTCTGCTAGGAGATATTCTGTTTTCATTTCCTCTTGCCATCATGACTGGCAGCTGGATGGTGATTCATGAACTTTACAACTGGAAGAGAAAGGCTTCTCGGGCTCCCTCTGAAATTCCCATCATTAGTCAGCCTCTCTGGTCTTCCTGCTTCCAGCTGAGAGGAGAGCTCACTTCCTGATACACTGACACAGGCCATAGAGCTTTCAGGGCGGGGTGGGTGGCGACCCTCGGCCAGCCTCATGGATGCAGGCCCGCTGTCTGGACAGGATGAACTGTGGATGGTATCTTAGAGTTTTGCACACTTTGGAGTGGGTTTTTTGTTGCCAGGAAAAAAAATGGAATGATCTTCACTTTCCCTAAGACATGGAATCTTGATATTTTGTGACCTTCCATTGAGTTTGGATATATTTTACTGGAGAAATCAAAAGGAATAGGAAGAAAAGGACATGGGGAGCATTATGGAATCCAATCTGTTAATGACACTAAGTGGCAAATAGCAAGGTGGCAGAAGTAAAGGGTTAATGTGAAAATCACCTGAGAATAGTCTTCAGGCAACACACAGTTACGGTGTGCCCCTGCTGTACAGAATGATGCCACGGGACTCTTGAGAAAATCTCAGTGGAGATCACTGCTTTGAAGTAGCATCCAAGAAAGAGCAGAACAAAATGACCCAGTGGATTGAATATACTTTGAGACAAATAACTTCAACTCTGTCATGTAAGACATAAAGTCCAAATGTCCTCAGCTCTGTAAGCCCCAATAATTTTCTGATGTTGAAACAGATAATATCACACAAGTAGATTTTATGTCCAACTTACTTGTATATGTTCAGCCTTACTTAGGTGATAAATAACTAGAAAATCAGCTGTTCTGCATTGGTCGAGGGGTCTGACTGTTCCAGAAATTTTACCATGGTCTTTATCACTTGGGAACCTACACCTATTTTTAACAATGAGTACATTATTCAGTTGGATCATATTTGTACCTATAAATCACCCAGTGTGCTGCCTCTTTCTTACGAAGCTTTTCAGAGCTGTCTGTTGTAGTGTTTTCCTAAATCAGGAGTCCTCAACCCCTCGGCCACAGACCATGTCCTGTTAGGAACTAGGCCACACAGCAGGAGGTGAGTGGCAGGTGAGTGAGCGAAGCTTCATCTGTATTGACAGCTGCTTCCCATCAGTTGCATTATCGCCTGAGCTCTGCCTCCTATCAGGTCAGCAGCAGCATTAGATTCTCATAGGAACTTGAACCCTATTGTGAACTGTGCACACGAGGGATCTAGGTTGCATGCTCCTGAGAATCTAATGCCCGATGATCTGTCACCATCTCCCATCACCCCCACATGAGACCGTTTAGTTGCGGGAAAACAAGCTTAGGACTCCCACTGATTCTACATGATGGTGAGTTCTATAATTATTTCATGATATATTACAGTGTAATAAGGATAGGAATAAAGTACACAATAAATGTCATGTGCTTGAATCATCCTGAAACTGTCCCCCACCCTCATCCATGGAAAATTATCTGCCACAAAACCAGTCCCTGGTGCCAAAAAGATTGGGGACTGCTGCCCTAAATGGAGACTAGTCCGCCATGAGAGTATTGTCAATTCCTACTATAGATGTTCACGTTGTTTCAGTTTTTTGTTTTGTTTTGTGTCACGTTGTTTGCTTTTGCAAATAATTGCTATAAACATATTTCCTTGTTGATGGGTGCAGAAGTTTCTCTGCAGCACAGCCTGAAGCGGAGTGGCTGGGCAGGAGGATGCCCCTTCCAGCTCTTCTTATCCTGCCAAAGCTTCTCCAGCATGGACACGCTTAGGGCCTTCTCAGAGTTCTCCAAGTTTGATGGAAACTTAATCCAAGATGGTCTTTTTGTGAATGATATAATTCAGAAATTGGATCTAAATTCAGTGGCAGTGCAAGGCTATAGACATAAAGGTTTACAGTTTCTAAACTGAGACTTCTTTCTGACTGAATAATGTTTCACTGATTGCCATAACAAGAGGATAGGAACTTTCAAAATCTGTGATATTTTCTCATTCTGTATGTGAAAACACTGTCATGGTAAAGGTGAGGATGTTTAACATTTTATGAGACAAATTTATAAAATATTTAAGTACCCCCAAAGGAGGAAGTGATTTATAAATAAAGCAGGGCACTGCTTAGCACCAGTTCCATGGTCTTAGGTATGCCAGCCTCAGCCACACACGCTCCCTCTCATGTTGAATAAGGCACATTGTCACAGGGAAAATCAGCACGCCCCCAGTGACTCTTGCAGTGCTTCAGGCCCCACAGACCTGTGCTTAAATTCATTGACTTTCTTAACACCCCTAATGAACAATGGCTGAGTGTCTTAATTGGGACATGAAAGAAATGATTGCCGGGAACCTCCTAATTACTTCACCAATATCAGCCGCTGCTTGTGAGCACAGAGTAATTATATACCATTGGATGGTAAGATGGTGATGGCTTGCTGATAGCTTACGTTTATTTCCTAGCACCTGAATATGGAAAAGAGGACCTATTGCTCTTCCGTTTGGGTAGGTGGCCCTTAGGGAGAAAATCTTGAGTTGAGAATTCATGTCAGTATAAACCCTTACTCCAAAGGGTCGATGTCAACATCTTAGACCCCTGCTAAGGAGAGAAACAGGTATACGAGGCAAGAGTGCTCGGGTTCTGCTAATGGGAGTTATAAACTAGTAAGAAGAGTGAGAATTGCTGCTAGCCATGAATCCTAAGCTCCTGCCAGGAGCCCTCGGCCCCCTTGCCCCTCAGGGGCCATACCTAACTTTCCTCTCTCCCCTCAGGGCCTGTCCCAACCTCTAAACAGGTGATCTCATATCCTATTGTTGGGGAAAATTGAAGCAATCTATCAGCTTACCTCAACTTCCTGCCTCCCTCTTACCAATGTCCCTTCGCTTGCATGCACCTTTGCTTTTGGAGGTCAACACCCCTCAGTCCTCTGTTCCCACACCCTAGCAGTGATCCTACTCCACACCCTACAGTTTCCTTAGAAATCTCAGTTTTTCATTTTACCATTTCTCTTTCTATTGGTTTACTCTGTTCAGCCTGTAAACCTGCTCATATCCGCTTTATAAACAGAAAAACGCAGAAACCTTCCTTTTACTTCTCTCTTCCTCTTCTCTCCCAAACAGTTTAGGGATGGCACCTACCAGGGCAGCCTCCACTTCCCCACTTAGAGTGAGCTCCGGAACCCGCTGAAATGTGACCTGTGCCTGGGACATTCCATGGAAACTGTCCACGAGGGATGCTAGTGACCTCCGTGTTACCAAACCTTTTTCCTAAAGAGACTGGCACTGGCTTCCATACATACATGCTACAAGATAAAATTAAGATTATCAGACGAAGAAAATGAGATGAGAAGAAGGAATATAAGATCCGAATGAGGAAAGATCAGAAAGGTCAGCCATGGGGTTAGTACCCAAAACTCGTACTGTAAGGGTCCCTATGTCTTTTTGGGAGTAGATCCTGCCCTCGTTGGCCTCTAAATTTCCTGGACGACAATGCAAAAGAACATTCCAATTAATTCAAGGATGAGTTCCAAGACATAATAAACTGATCAAGACGGCCAACACCACTGCTGTTACTGACAGTGGCGGCATCAGTCCTGCATGTCCATAAAGGGTCTGTGACTTTGGGAACAGTGCCGTCCACAGGACTCTTGCAGCCTAAGGCTATTAGGCTTTCAAAAGTACTCCCATTCTGGCCGATAATGTGACATCCAAGTATAATTTGATATCATGTTCTGAAGGCTCAAAATGATGTGCAATGGTTTGGCATGGCCCTGAGTACAGGGTAGGCTCGATCCACAGGGGGCAGAGCATCTCACCCTTAGGCTCGTGAAAGCTTCTGCAAAGAGGGTCCCAAACCTCCAGAAATCCGATGCAAAACTGGGCAAATGCATAAGTGTGCACCCCTGCCTCCCACCCTGCACCCCAGCCGCTCCGGTTCCTCATTTCCTCTAAGCCAGCAGGCTTCACTTCAGGTCTTTTGTTTTGTTGTGACTTACTTTTATTTGAACACCAACTTGAACCAGAGCAGCCTTCACTTTGGCTGTTCCCTGCCTCCTTCCACCAGACTCAGCCTCCGGTGGCCTTCACAGCTCCCCCTGTCATCCCCCTGTCATCACCTCTGGTAGGAAGAGGCTCTGACCGGGCCCCTGTGCTGTGCCCTGGGTGCACCCCCATCTCTGCACCTAACATCATCTGTGGGAGCTCCGAGCTTCTTTGCGCTTCCATCCCCTAGACAGCAATCCCTGCAAAGGCGGCTCCTTTCTTTGATGCTGGTTGAAGATTCAACAGTCTGGATGCAGTGGATGGCTGTTGAATGGACTTGGAGTGGGCATCTGTTTTTCAAATCATGTGAACTCCCATAGCAAGCCCATGTGATAAGGTTCAGTGATTCCCGGTTCACTGTCCCAGGATGTTTGTAGCCTGATGGAAGTCACATCCCTCCAGGTGGACAGGCAAATATCAAGGCCTGGGCTGTGCGGCTTGGTGACCCAGCTCTCTCCAACAGCCTCCAATAATCAGACCCCATGTGCCACTGGCTTCATGGTGGACTTTTCTGAGATATTTCTGAGAATGCTTCATCCCAATGGAAAGACATACTTCTAAATTGTATTTTTATCAGTCTATTTTGGGGGAATCATGAAGCTATACAGAAGTGCGGGAAGACTTTAACAGATGCCAGGTTCCCAGCATCCAGGTTGATGTTACTGTTTTTGGCACATTGTATTAAAGTATTTTTCTTGGTTATTTATTTATTTATTGGTAAAACAAAAAGGAAAAGAAAAAGGAATTAAGGTCTCTGGAAAAGGTATTCCAGTTTTGTTATTTCTCCCCAATCCCATCCCTTCCCGTCTCCTCAGTAGCCACCACTAATAAAAAATTTCTATGAGGCCTTTCCATCTACTTTTGTACTTTGAAAGAATATTTATTAAATAATGCTGACTAAAGAACAAATCAGGCTTTTAAATAATTAAAGTTAGTTTTATTCAGGAGCTTTGCTGAGGACTGTAGACTGAGGTGATGGCCCCGGGGGAGTCCTTTAGAGAGGTTCCATGGGACCGCCCCACACAGGGTTTCCACCCACCACTTCTATCTAGGTGGTGGAGCTTCAGTCCGTGCAAATTCACATCCAGGTTTGGGCGTAAGTGTACATCTGGTCGCAGATTACAGAAGCATTGCGGCTAACCTCATCAGAGGTTGTGTGTAGGAAAAGGCAAGGCCAGGGTCATTTACCTCCTGAGGAATGGAGCGACTCAAGCAGGAGATGCCGGGGGCTGTGTGCTCTGTCCTGCTTTGTCTTCAAAGCATCTTTCTGGAGAGCTAGAGGTCATTACAGAATCAGGGGTTTTCTGAAGTGCTGTTGGCAAGCAGAAAGAAACAGACATGGCTTCCGACATTTGTTACTTTGTCTCACAAGTTCCTTGCCCCGCCCCCACCACGCCCCTCCTTCCCCCTTTTAATCATAAATCAGCTACTTGGTTGCATTTACAAGACCAATGCTGATTGTCTCTAATGGCTAGGGGGATCTTTACTAGGGCAGTCGGCAGCTTCTAGCTGTAGTTGCAAGGAATAAATGTAGGGCCCAACGAACATACTTGCCTCTTCATTGGAAAACACACTTTGGATGGCTTTTTTCTTTTTTCTTTTTTTTGAGACGGAGTTTTGCTCTTGTTGCCCAGACTGGAGTGCAATGGCGCAATCTCGGCTCACCGCAACCTCCACCTCCCGGGTTCAAGCAATTGTCCTGCCCCAACCTCCCGAGTAGCTGGGATTACAGGCATGCGCCAGCACGCCCGGCTAATTTTGTATTTTTAGTAGAGATGGGGTTTCACCATGTTGGTCAGGCTGGTCTCAAACGCCCGACCTCAGGTGATCCGCCCGCCTCGGCCTCCCAAAGTGCTGGGATTACAGGCAAGAGCCACTGCACCCGGCGGATGACATCTATTTTTTAATTATCATGATCTGAGATTTTTTTCTAATGTTGCCTTTCCTGCACCTAACAAACCACCTCAACCGGATGACTACCCGGATACTACAGATTCTTCATAGCAGCACATACTTAACAGCATCAAAATGAGTTTCCCAGATTGGGGGAAAATAAACATGATAACCATTTAACAAAACCAGAACATAAATTTGCGTATTCTTTGATTAATTGTACTATTTTTTTCTCTTTTTGTACCTATATTTATTAGAGTCTTTTTCATGAAAAGCACTTTTGGACTAGAGCTGATTTCAAATGTTTATAGAGAAGAATTTAGAATAAAAGCTGTGAATGACAAAAACTTAGACTAGCCATGGTTAAAATTTGATGAAAATTTTCAATTGACAAGAAAATTTAGTTGGTTCTATGACACGCAGCATTCTAAGGTAACAACCAGAATTATGAATGACAGTGTCATGTCAGGATCATTAGACTTTTGCAAATTTCATATAATCATCAGAATATTCACAATAACATCCACATAATTTTATAAAACATTTAACAACATCAAAATTATGACTGATGACATATTTTTATGAATTTATATAACTTTTAGAATATTTATATCAATAACATACTCATAAATGTCCATAACTCATAAACCAAACTAAAGAAGTTCCCATATAATTTATCATTTGACAATGCCTCCCATACAGTTTACCAGATAAAAGTTCTGGAGAAATGTGCCAAAGATATCAAAAGATTCAAAACAGTTGAGCGAGACAGAATCACAAGTCACTGTAAAATAACAGTTATTCAGTTAACCAGAGTGATGATCAAAGACTTCAAAAGCAATATAGAAAGTTACATGCATGTGAGAATCTTAATCCTTCTAAAGCTCAGTTTTTCCAAGCAATCAGAAAATCTAATAAAGGCAACACAGAAAATTATCTTGATGAAACATAAAATCTTTATTTCTTTAGACCAGTTACGAAAAAAGGTGGAGAAAAACCCTCCTGCAGTGGGATTGCTTCTCCTCATGGGAAGCCCATTTAGACAACCTGGCAGTCAAACCTGATGAGAAGGGCCCTTGAATTTCGTCACACACAGGAAGTGGGTGTCCAGGGTTATCACACACTATGTTACAGGGGAATATAAATAAGAAAACTAGTACTTTGATCAGGGAAATATATGGCCCTTACTAACAGCATGGGAAGTTTCTTGGTTGCATTGAACGATCCAGACATTTCAAGAAAAGCCGAGAGAACAGAATCAAGTTACGTTAGAGGAAAACATTGCTTTCTTAGACCTTCAAGATAAATGTTTCAGGGTGAGTGTGGTGGCTTATGTCTGTAATCCCAACAGTTTGGGAGGCCAAGGTGGGCAGACTGCTCGAGCCCAGGAGTTCAAGACCAGCTTGGGCAACATGGCAAAATTCCATCTCTGCAAAAAAATTAGCTGGGTATAGTGGTGCATACCTGTGGTCTCAGCTACTCAGGAGGCTGAGGTGAGAGGATCATCTGAGCCCCAGGAGGTGGAAGCTGCAGTGAGCCGTGATTGCACCACTGCACTCCAGTCTGGGTGACAGAGTGAGACCCCATCACACACAGAAAGAGAAAGAAATAACATCCTGAGCAATGGCAGGTGACTTTGATGTCTCACTCCCTGTGGCTGGCTCTGTTTGCCTGAGGCAGTGTGCGTTCCCTGCACCAGGGCTTGTAGGCAGCCATGAAGGGCCCTCGACTGCTTGCTCTGTGAATGGGCAGCAGAGGTGACAGCTGGAAGGGGTTGTCTGGCCGATGGATGTCAATCTTGTTTCACGCTCTGCCTAGGCTACCCCCTACTCAGCAGCCCTGGCAGGAGGGCTAGAGGGAGCGATGAGAGGGAAGAGCATGCTGGCACACCTGCTGTGGGGTGGCCCTTCCGCAGGGGAGCACTCCATGTGTCAGCCTGTGGTCACTTTTTGCAGCAGTCACTTCCTCCTTTGGTCTGTCTGGCTAGTGAAGGGCAGCACACCAAGTAAATGCTGAAGTAAAGTAAACCAAAGGAGGGATGCAGCTACACCTCACAGGTTGAGAAATGCCAGTTTTAGCACACTAAAATGATTGTTTCCAAGAATGTCGTGGACATCACCCACATGAGACCTGCCTGGCGGGTGCCCGACCCCTCCAGGCAGTCCCCATGCCCAGCTCTCTCCAGCTGTAAAGCAAGAGCTGATCTGTATGCGTCGAGACCATACCGTTTTTTAGAAGTGAGAAAGTAAGCACGTGGTATTGATCCTACATTCCACAGATTCTATTGTAAAATCAAGACAACACTAATAATTTCCAGCTTCCTCTGGTCAAGCAATTTGTCTGGATTGTGTGCTGGAGGGTGTGAGTCTGGCTGACGGGGAGGAGGGCTTCTCTGAGTCAGCTGAAGGAAGCCGTCCACTCTTTCCCTGGGCACTGCAGAAACGTGGCTCAGAGACCAGAGTAAAGGGGCCCAAACTGGAAGAGAGAAGAATAGGCTTGTCATGTACCCATGGGTGACTCTTTTTTATCCACTGCAACGCTCCCTGGGACAGCAGTTTCTTACCCTGGAAGCTCACGAGACCCCGGGGGACCCCTGCGTCCAGGTCATGGGAATTGCCCACACCACGTGGAACCTGGGTCTCTGCCATGAGGGGCAGGGATCTGATGAGTGACTGGGCCTGGGAACGTTGTTCTGAATCACCCTGGCCAGTCCGCCCCATTCGTACAGATGAGCACCCACCCCAGTACAGCCACCCCTCTGCATCTGGTTCCAGGACCTCTGTCGACACCAAAATTTGCACTGCTCAAGTCCCTCCTATAAAATGGCATGGTATTTCCACATGGCCTAAGCACATCCTTCTGTATTCTGTAATTATCTCTAGATTACTTATAATACCCAATGCAAGGTAAGTGCTATGGAAATAGTTGCTATACCATATTGTTTAGGGAATGATGACAAGGGAAAAAGTCTGTTTAGTATGGACATGACCATCTGGTTTTATTCCCAAATATTTTTGGTCCTCAGTTGGTTGAATTCATGGGTGGCAAACCCCTATCAGAGGGTCACTGGTGCTCGGCTCCTGAAGCTGTAGTCTGGCCTTTGATTTTCAGCTTTGCAAGCTGCTGTTTTTTACAAACTGTGGCTTTACCTCTTGACAATTCCTGACCCCTTTATCTAGCAGCACTGCACCAGGCCAGGGGGCCACATTAGGTTGCTGATAGTTTAGGCTGCTGGTGCCTTAAGGTGCTGATATTTTAGGGTGCTGGTGACTTAGGGTGCTGGTGCTTTAGGGCGCTGATACCTGAGGGTGTTCAGGATGCTGGTGCCTTAGGGTGCTGGTACATTAGAGTGCCGGTGCTTAGGGTGCTGTACCTTAGGGGGCTGGTGGCTTTGGGTGCCGTCCCTGAGGATTCTGGTACCTTAGGGTGCTGGCACATTACAGTGCCGGTGCTTAGGGTGCTGATACCTGAGGGTGCTGATGTTCTGGGTGCTGGCCCTGGTGTTGTTTTAGGAGCAGCACTGCCACCAGGCATCACAACCTTCATGACCCATCTTCCAAACCTCAGGAACTGGTAACACATTACAGCATATATTGCATTACAGCTGTGTGTGTGTGTGTGTGTGTGTGTGTGTGTTTGTTTGTTTAAGTATGATCTATAATTATAAGATGCGATATAATAATATGATGTAAACTGCATTACTTTCAATTCTTTCACACATCAGCAGAATGATTCCATGGCCTGTTGAACGACATGTGAGGTGTGTTTTGTTGTTGGACCAGGTCTTTATGAGCTACCTGAAAAAGAGGATGCTAGCTGCTAATTATATAAATGCCCTCAGGAGAAACCACCCCCAGGTTATGGGGAACTGTTGGGATATGTGGTCCTGGTGAACGAACACAGCAGTGTCCATCTCAGAGTGCTTCTGATAAAGTCGTGTAAGTTTCTGATCAGTGGAGGAACACCTAGATACCTGGGAATGGCCATGTCTTCATGAGTGCAAGTGGGAAATTCTTCACGGAAATCAGGTTTGGCTTACGTGGTGGAGGAGACAGCACCCAGGACGGTAGATTCCAGGCCTGGGATTCCTCCCCACCCGCCAGACACACTCCCTGAGACCCGTCACCTCCCTGGTGGAGGGGTTTCATCTGCCAAACACTCCTCACCTAGAGTTGTTGCCGTGTTCAGTTTTAAAGCTTTGACAAGAATTCACAGAAGCTTATGGAAACCGGTATCGCAACTGAAGTTGTAAGAGTCACTTTCCAATGCTGCCAGCAGCATCAGTACACGAGATCCAGTTCTCTGTTTAAGGTGATCATGTTTATGTGATTTAAGGTGATCACGGTTATATATTTTGGATCAGTTGGTGAGTCACTTCAGAAACGTCTTAAGTTCTTCATGCAAGGGACGTGTGTCTGACATGGGCGGCAGGATGCATGTCCTTCTTTCATTTCCCTTCCATGTCTCTGACTTGGGGAATGATCATTGGTGACAGAAGCCTCTGCTACAGGGTCTGGGCTCTCGGGAGGTGACTAAGAGTTTGCTAAGTGTTGTGTCAACTTGCTGCTTGCAGCTCTAGGAATCGGAGGTGGAATGGAACTTTCCCCCAGTGGAGTTTAGCCCTTTCCCCAGGATTGCTACTTCTTTATCTTCCACATCTACTTGCAAGCCGTCAGCCTCTGGTCTGTCCTTGTCCTAGGTACTGTCTGCTTTTCAGTTTATTCTTCTACCACATCAGATGGCCGTGGCTAGGACTTTGCTTATAAATAGTAGATTTATCAAAGTAGTTATGTGAAGTAAGATTTTAAACTAAAAAAAAAAAAAAATCTTCTATATTGTAGCCTAAGGGCATTTCTGTAGGACCTAAAAGCCACGTGTTTTCACAGAATCATAAAGGTTCACAGCACATTCTTACATCTTACTCTTGGCCTGAAAACAATCTTTTCTGATCAGCTTCTGGGGCGTGGCTGTTTCAAATTCAGCATGGTGCTATTTAGTAAATCTGTCGGTTCCCCAAAAGCTGCCTCTGTGAGCTCCTCTCAAAGCTGGGGAATCACAAGTGATGCGCCCTCTGCCTCCTCCCCACCCCTCAGCTGACACTGCTTTCCCTCTGGGCCTGCGCCGCCAGGAGCCTCCCTGCCCGGCATACCTGGAGCCAGTCTCTGTGCTGTGGGGCAGGTCGGGAACGTCCACGCTGGCCCGAGGAAGCTGTGCAAGCAGAAACTCGGAGCTTCACTCTCGTCCCCAGCATCTGAAGAGAAGGCAGGTGGAGTGAGGGTCTCCCCGTGGGCCCACCCCACCCCCCACTGGCTCACCCAGCTCCTTGTCCTTTCACACTCCTTTGGTTCCGTGTGTGCGCCCCACCTCCTCCACCTCCCTTCGAGGCACCCACAGAGGTGGCTCCCAGGGATGCTCCCCCTGACTGCCTGGAGCTGTCCACCTGCTGTGGGCTCTCGGAGGCTGGAGAAAGAGGCTGGGCTGGGCTAGGAGGCTGAAGGGGAGGGTGAGGGGTGGCGACCAGAGGCACCTGGTAGACCAGTTTCCTTCTGTCATGTGCCTACCTAGTCTCTGTCATTATAATATTTACATTTTGTTCCCAAATGGAATTTTTAAAGAGAAAAACACCATGTGACATAATCTGTGAGGATTTAATACAGAGCTAAGGTTGTTTTCAAGGAGAAAGAAAACTGAGACATTTTTAAATATGAGAAAAATCAGATAATGGAGTGACATAAAAACATAAGCCTTTCTTTAAAAAAAATAAAAGACTTTTTTTTACTCAGTCCAGGAAACCAAGGGATAAATGGAAAAACCATGAAAAATAGAAAAAGTCTATTTGAATATAAAACTAAAGCCAAAGAACGTGGGATTATTCTTTGGCATTTTTGCTCTCAGAAGAGAACATAACAAAAGCTAGAACAGTGGAAGATGAGGTGAGAAGAGTCTGTTTTCATTTCCTCAACTCTCTGAGCAGAGAGTTAGTAGAGAGCATTTCAACTTGAGAAGTCGAATACAAAGGTATTGAATGGGTGGAAAAACTAAGTATTATAATCTAATAAACCAAAAATGCAAGTGGAGAGGAGGGGAGGGCGTGAGCTAACTTGTTTATCTTTCAGACTAGGCTATGACAGGAGTCTGTGTAAAGCTGATGAATCAAGAAATAGATGTTTGTCTTGATCATAAAACTCTTAAATTAAAACCAGTTGCAGATGGTCCACGTTAAAAGAATAGGAACCTGCACCCTCAGCATAGGACTAGGAAACCAGGCCAAATGGCCACAGATTAGAAACAGGCGGCAGGAAAACCAGGACCTGTGCGGTGACGTATGGTGACAAAGCTGAGGCCGTGGCCGTGTCACAAAGCATAAGTGGGGTGAGCACACCTCACAAAGTTCTCAGATGGCGGGAAGAAGCAAAAATGACCCACTTGGATTAAGAAATGCACCTTAAATAATGTGTCTGTGAAAGAGTAACTCAAAAAGTCTGGTATAAAAGGATTTTGGTGTTTTTTTTTTTAATATCAGTTTTCAATATGAATAACAAGCAAGGTTAAATTCAACAAAGAAATGTTAAGGGCCCTTAGAATAATGATAAAGGCACAGTCTACAACAAAGAGCTAGCTGCCGTGGACCTCCATAAATCAAGTAACAGCGTCAAAATTTATGAAGCAAAAACTGCAGAAAATACAAGAAGAAAAAGTATTACAAAGTTAGGAAACTTTAACTCATTGCTGTTAGGATACCACAAATCAGAGGCAAATATATTTATATACACACACACATACACACTTAATATAGCATATTTGATATACTCATACATACATATGTCCATACATGTGCATGTGTATGACATATATGCAGAGAAAGAGAGAAATCCACACCCTGAAAATAGATTATACTTACCTTTTAAGTGTCCATGAAACATATTACAAAAACATACTTTAAGTTATGACTCAGGGGCCAGGCACAGTGGCTCACACCTGTAATCTCAGCACTGTGGGAGGCTGAGAAGAGTGGATCACCTGAGGTCAGGAGTTCGAGGCCAGCCTGGCCAACATGGAGAAACCCCATCTCTACTAAAAATACAAAAATTAGCTGGGCGTGGTGGCGCGTGCCTGTAATCCCAGCTACTCAGGAGGCTGAGGCAGGAGAATCGCTTGAACCGGGAGGCAGAGGTAGTAGTGAGCCAAGATCGCGCCATTGCACTCCAGCCTGGGCGACAGAATGAGACTCCATCTCAAAAAAAAAAAAAAGAAAAGAAAAGAAAAAAAGAAAAAGGAAATTATGACTCAGGGAAAAATTCGGTCATTTCCTAACTATAGAGTTAGTTCGGACTTTATTTTCTAATCACAGTGCACCCAACTGAGAAACAGTGCCCTCGCTTCTGTTTGTATTTACGTATTGTTATTAGATCCTGGCTGCCACTTTGATGTACTGGCACGGCCTTCCTGGTACTACTGGGGGTCCCCTGGCACCAGCTGAGGAAGGCGGTGCATACATGTGGGACCCCCCTGGGGTGAAGAAGGTAGTGCACACGTGTGGGACCCCCCAGGGGTAAGGAAGGCGGTGCACACGTGTGGGACCCCCCTGGGGTGAGGAAGGCAGTGCATTCATGTTCTGTCGCTCCCACACCATCTGGGGGGCCTAGGCCACCTTCTTCACTGCGGCACCTCAGCTGGTCCTTAAAAGTTAGTGCTTTACTTTCCAGAAGGGGGGACTTGAGCAAGAGGCTGGGCACTGAGCCAGGATGGCAGGGCTAGGAAACGTTCGAGGCAGGGGCAACCCAAGCCTGCCAGCCCCAGCCCAGCCTTCCCACCAGGCGGGGGTCCATTTAAGGTACATCTGCCCTGACTTGTTGACAACTTTACTTGGGCCTTACTCCAACAGTATTCTGGGCTCTTTTACTGTAGTCTCCACAGAGCTTTTTCTCTAAGTCCTTGCAGCGCCCCAAACCTTGCATCGCTTAACGGTTGTCATAGTCGCCAAGTGTAGGCACAGACAGACCTTGGAGGCGGTGGTGTCTCGCGAGTTGTGATGAGTCCTGTGGACTCGGAGAGGGAGCTGTGCAAAGAGTAACCGAAATTACTCCAGAAATGCAGAGAGGAATGGGCTGAAAATGCAGCGATTGAAGCTCATGGAAACTGAAGTGTCACTGGAGGTAAAGTCTAAGTAGTAGACTGAAGGACGAATCTCAAAAAGGGAGGCATTTGCTTCACGTGGAGAAGCACGTGTATCAAGCGTTTCAGAGAATGGGATTGGAGAATTCAACAGCTCCGCATCCACAACAAGCTCGGGCAGCCCCATCAGAAAGGTGTCCTGGCTCTTCTTTTTACAGAACTCCAGGGATAGGCTAGTGAGGGTCACGGACCCAAAGCCAGGTGGACATTCCACTCCCATTGCAGCCACCAGTCTTGGAAGTGCCACCCCAGCCTCTGTGGCTGTGGGCCCTGTGGGTTCCACGTGGCGTGGGCCACGGTGATTTTAGAACCAGGATGGACTGTCCTCACAACCGAAAGAGGGAAAATACAATAAGATAAGGGGAGCCCTCTGTGCCTCCCACCCCCTGCGGCTCCTCCATTTTTCCATCACTTTCACCTGCTTTGTTGAGTGTCTGACCCGCCTTACAAAACGCTTTTCCACTCTAAGCGTCTTCAGCTTCTCCTTCTGTGTGTGGGATCTCCAGTCTCCAAGCTCACGTTCCAGCATGGTTTTGAATTGGGGCAGAATCATGCAGGGGTTGGAACACAGGGCTGGAATTTAGGATGGATGATTGGACCTTCTGAGTCACACTCCACTTTCTTCACCAACTCCTAAAATGCAAACTGCTTTTACCTACTGAGTTATTCTGCTTATATTTCTAATTTTTCTGATTGTATTATATTCTGATTATATTTTGGTTCTGGTTATATTTTCCTACTGTATTTATATTTACTCCACTATGACATTCCAAATAAAGTGGACTATTTTAATGAGTCTATATGTGTGAAATGTGTACCTAAACATTTTGCACAAATGGTGGTATCCCTGCCGGCGAGGAAGCATGATAGGAATCAGGCTATTTTTGAGTCAGAGGATCTGGATCCGGGGCCGAGGCTGGCACCGGCTCCTCCTCTGAGCTGGCACCGGCTCCTCCTCTGAGCTGGCACCTCCTGGGGGAAGCAGCTGAGCTGATGAGCGAGGTTGCAAGGTGGGGCGGGAGCTTCTGTTAAAGTCCAGCTCTGCTAACTCTGCCGCCCGCCCACTGGGTGAAATGCTCCTGAAGCAGCTGTGCATCTTTCCCGTCCCCGAGACTCGGTCTTAGAAGGAGGGGCCCAGACGCAGACCCACTGCGATCACCCAGCACTGCCCGGAAAGCTGCCTAGCTTTACGAAGCTCTAGCATGTTCATCTGTGATTTTGTTCGTGAAACTAGAAAGTTTCTGTTAAGAAAGAGCCATTTGGAAAGCTTGATCTTCTAGAAGTTTTAAAATTCTTTTACTAGGCACCATCTGGTAAAATCTCTGGCAAGGGAGGGATGTGGCAATGGAGGGGGTTCAGCTGTGGCTGTGGCCACGTCAGGACCCAGTGTCTGGGCTAGGCCTGTGCTCCCGGGTCCTGGCCGTCAGATGAATTCTAAGTGTTGTCAGATGTAACTTTGCCTCTCCGGTATTTTCCCTCTCTTGTTGGAGGCTGCAGTCTTTTGAGGAAACCCATCCAAGCAGAGGAGACCCTCAGTCGCACCCCCGATGTCCCCCGCCTTTCCACCTTTCCTGTGTTATTTGTCCTTATCCATAGATGTTTTGATGTTAAACCATTTCATTAGACACACCAATCTGAGTGACAGATTTCAAGTAGGGATCCTCGTGAAATTGTTAAGAAATTAGTCACCTTGTAAAGTAACGATGGAGCACTTGCTTGTGTGAACTCAGGTGTTAAGAGGTACACAGACTAGTGGGGTCATTTCCATTTCCTGTGAAGTGTATGTAAGATGACTTTTAACTGTGAAATCACCCTTTAGTGTTAAACATGCAGCTTCTCAAAGCGTCTTCTCCTCAACTATCTGAGATTAAACACAGGAGCTCATCCCTGCTTCGTGGGAGGTTCTAGGCTCCCTGTGATTTAGTGGCAGCTAGGCAGGTACGGCCTTGCTGCTCTGCACAAATCAAACTCGCTGTGCCGGAGTTTCCTTCTGAGTAAAATAAGGGTGATTGGAATGGGCTACTCTGTCCATAATGAGGATATGATATGAATGTAAAATGCGAGGCACAAACTAGACATTTAATACACAGAGGTCATTTTTCTTATGACCAAGTATTTCCCTTTATTTAGAGTTAGAAATATGTTCAAACTATCTCAAAAAGTGAATTATTTAGTGCTAGTTTCTCATACAAGGACTTCCTAGATTCTTTGATAATGCCTTTCTTTCTCTTACACTTTTATTTTTGGGGAGAGATTTCTAGGTGGTGACTGACAGCTCCGTTTCTGCAGTCAGAGAGCCTTGGATTTTCATCTGGGTTCCTGGGTTCCTTTGGGGAAAAGAAGTGCATTGCAGATATTCTGTGTTCAATATCACCCATCCATTCTTTTATTTAGGTGACATATTTCTCCATTTATTATAATGATTAGAAACCTGTTCTTTGTAGTGAGCTTAGAAGATGAATAATGTAATTAATATGATGTTCCCAACTTATGAGTTTATAAATAGTGCATTCCAAGCACATAAGAGGAGCTCACTAAATGGTAGTTATTGTTGTATAGGGTTCACCAAAATTTGAATACTTATTACCTAAAATAAAATAGGAATAGGAATTTAATACAAAGATGCCCACTTTACAATGTTTTGTTGTTTAAAAGTGTGCCTTGAATTATTTCAATGAGGAATCCTTACATAAGTGAAAGTCTTATTAATAGTAATTATAAGAAATAGCACTCAGGGTATTTTGGGGCTTGAAGATTTCTGAATTGGGAATTTAAGCCAGCTAAAGGTTTAGAGTTAACTTCTTTCTCCCACATATCTCAAAGCTGCCACTCTTTCAGAAATTTGCCATGAAATTCCTTCTGGAAACTGTGGTTGAAAGTTGGCACATAGCATTTGCAAATTATAATATGAACATTCTTTATAAGATCTCCCAGATATACTCTAATCAGCATAACTAGGATGATGCTTGTTGGGATCAATGCAAGACTGATGATCATGCTCCCTTGCAGTTCCTGAGCCGAAAGTAGTCGGCTTTCAGTCTGAAACTAGTGAGATTGACTATCCCTCCGTTGATGAACGTTTTAATGATAAGTGAGTAGAGTTGGAGATGCATTCATTTAATCATTCCTTTGACATTTAATAATACATGATCAAACACTGAGTTAGTTTCAGAGTATCCATTGTGGGGTTTAAGAAGACCATGCAAAATAGATGTATTTTCATAGATACATCGTCACAGACATGTGTTGTTCAAAGGCAGTTAAAATGGCAGAGAAGGAGAGATTGCAGGTTACTTGTCTTTCCAAACAAGCTTAAATTCATTTAAAGCTCTCATTGATATCAAACCTTGCATACATTCTGGCTATGTGAGCTAGGGATGATTTTTACATATTTTAACAGTTGGAAAAAAGTCAAAAGAAGATTTCATGATGCATAAAAATTGTATGAAATTCAAATCTCAATGTCCATAAATAAGCATTTGTGGAAACCTATTCTTTGTAGTGAGCTTGGAAGATGAATAATGTAATTAACATTATGTTCCCAACCTGAGAGTTTATAAATAGTGCATTCCAAGCACATAAGAGGAGCTCACTAAATGGTAGCAATGTCCAATACGCATTCTAAGAACGCAGCCATGCACATTCATTTACGTGTTGTCTGTGGCAGTTTCCCCTGTAAAGACAGGGTTGAGCAGGCGTGACAGAGGTTGTGTGGCCCCAAAAATGTTTGCTACCTGTACATGTAGAGAAAAGTTTGCCGGCTGGTGCCAAGTATATTGGCCTTGTTGTCAAAGTCAATAACCTTTAAATGTTAATGTTTTTAATCCTTACTCATATATGCCTGTATACAGACACACAAATAAGAAAAAATCTAATGGTTAGACTTTTAACCTAATTAGCCTGTTCCACCCCTCTCTAGGTTCATGAAAAAGCAAAAGAGCTGTTCGGTGTGTTTAGAAATATTGGGATCTCACTTTTCATTAAGTTAAGGTCAGTTATTGAGACATAACCGATCTGAAAGTCCTGCCAAGTTTATGTCACCTCTGTGCACATGTGCGGGGCAGCTATCTTACACCAGCGGGTGAGATTTACAGATACGTCTGTATTGAAGTATGTGCTACTTTCTCGGGTGCATGTCCTCATTAATTCATGTTTGGGGGCCAAGTTATTTTAACCACTTTAAAGAGAATGTGTACAAATACTCGTGTCTTGTATTTTCAGATACGGTTGCATTTTATTGTATGATAAAAAAGTCAATATGTATTGGTTTAGATTTTGATATGGCCTTACAACTATTACTTTTCTTCAAACGAACATGGAATGCTTAGTCTTTTTAAGGGGAAAATGATCTCCAAAGCCTTTTCTGCCTTCCTGATGGATTAGTTTAGGGGTGCCTTGGAAACTCAAACAGCCTCACATAAGGCTGAGCATTATTTCCTACATCGGCACTGTGGGGACTAACCTCCCCCCATGCCAGCCTCTGATAACTGCTATCTGCCAGTCTGCATGGTGCCCTGTGCTAGATAAGACCTTCCCTAGTTCCCTTTGTGCCTGGAGCTCAGAAAGCTACTTAAGGGGAAGTGAGGGTAAATGTGCACAGTTGCTTTTGCCTTCATAGAAAAATGACAAATAGGGCCGGGCACAGTGGTTCACGCCTGTAATCCCAGCACTTTGGGAGGCCGAGGTGGGTGGATCACCAGAGGTCAGGAGTTTGAGGCTAGCCTGGCCAACATGGCAAAACCTGTCTCTACTAAAAATACAAAAATTAGCTGGGCGTGGTAGCGGGCACCTGTAATCCCAGCTACGTGGGAGGCTGACGCAGGAGAATCGCCTGAACCAGGAGGTGGAGGTTACAGTTAGCTGAGATCGTGCCATTGCACTCCAGCCTGGGCAACAAGAGCAAAAACTCCGTCTAAAAAAAAAAAAGAAAGAAAAGAAGAAAAAAGAAAAATGACAAATAATAAAACAATCATCGGCGAAAAATCTATAACAAATGGGCTTGCCTCAAGTACAGTTAATTGTGAGAGGCACCCCTGGTAAAATTTCTGGGTCATTTCAGCATGCTGACCTGTGTTTCTGGTGCACTCTGGATCTTAGAGAGATATGCACTACCACTGGAATCTAAAACTCGCCCTGGATGGAACGTGTGCTGTGCACCCCACTCCCTTCCAACCCCACGCTGCTCCAACTTCACCCGCGGGATCTGTCACTGCCAGTGGTCTGCTGAGCTCTTCCCTGTTAACATCCCAGTTTCCTTGGAACCCCAGCTCTCCTCACCTGGCTCCCACTTGCAAAATTCCCTGGCCTTCTTCCCATTCTCAGGGTGGCAGAGCAGAGCTGGGAGAGACTCCTGGTGCCAGTGTGTGCCCAGCGCCAGCCTCTTTGGCAACCATTCCTCCAGGCTGTGGCTGGTCTTTGGTTCCTGTTCTCTTCCATCTCCTACAGCGCACCTGGGCCATTCTGCAGCTCTCTGTTGCGGGGAATACACAGCAATGATCCCAGATGTTCACTGTTTTTGGTAACCTCTTTGCAATGCTCTGCTCCTTGTTCCCAGCAATGGCGATGCCTCCACCCCCTTGCAAAACCTGAGCCTCAGACGAACTCAGACTCCTCTTCCTTACCTGCTAGTTGCCCACAGACACACTCCACCTCCTTCCCTCTGTTGCAGAGGTGAGCGCGTGGCCTCCACTCGCAGCCTGTGTCCTGATCTCCCTCCCACATGTGTCCCAGCAGCCCATTCTCCATCCTCACTCCCTGCTCCTTCTGGCTCCGGATCCTCCTACACAGCCATGAGCAAGGTCCTTGTTCTCTTCCTCATTTGTGTGAGTTCTGTACGTGGAGCACTGATGCTTTGCATGCATGTCGCAAAACCTTTTTTTTGCAGTTTATTTAAATTTCGGTTACAGTGTTTTGACATCCGAAAGTTTTAAATTTAGTCATGCTTTACACTTGGAAAAGTTGTATCCATCAAAAGATGGCATAAATGATCACCCTTACTTTATTCTGGTACTTCCGTGTTAAATTTTCACGTTTGCTTTTGTCTTTTCTGACATTTTAGGTTGTGAGGTATATAATGAGGGATTTAACTATTTTTCCAAATGAATAATTTGTTATTACAACCCCCCTTTTCCATTCTGACTTCACAAATCACGATGTCTTAACCTCTTACATATGCAGCCGTGCAGTGCAGAGGGACGTTTTGGTCGCCAGCAGACCGCACATCTGAAGGTGGTCCCATAAGAGTATAATACGGTATTTTACCTGTGCAGCAGGTCCTCAAATGACGTCGTTTCATTCAATGTCATTTCGATACAGTGATGATGTGAAAAAGAATTGATGCCCGCTGGGATGATGTCCTGGCCAGGATGGGGGCTGCCTCGCAGGACAGGCTGAGCTGCCGGGACAGGCTCCGGCAACTCGAGACCCTGGCCTGGAGTCGGTGGGAAATCATCGTCCTATTTGTTTTTCTGTTTTTCTTAAATGTCCGCATAGCTTACATTTATTTCCATGTTCAATATTAGAAGCGGTTTGGTCTTTATTTAGAGGCTTGGTGACGGTTTTGTGGCTTGAAATATGCTGCAGGAATTTAACTCTTGTTGACATCAGTTAACCTGTGATAAAACTGGTTTAGTTATATGTCATTTTGCTTCAAGTCTGTTTCCAAAACCTTACAATGACTTGAAGTGAGGACTTACAGCTTTTCTTTCTTTCTTTCCTTCTTTTTTTTTTTTTTTTTTTTTTTTTTGATGGAGTCTCACTCTGTCAGCCAGGCTGTAGTGCAGTGGTGCAGTCTCGGCTCACTGCAACCTCCACCTCCAGGGCTCAAGCGATTCTTTTGCCTCAGCCTCCCAAGTAGCTGGGATTACAGGCATGCGTCTCCATGCCCAGCTAATTTTTGTATTTTTAGTAGAGACGGGGTTTCACCATGTTGCCCGGGCTGGTCTTGAACTCCTGACCTCAGATGATCCGCCTGCCTCGGCCTCCCAAAGTGCTGGGATTACAGGCGTGAGCCACCATGCCTGGCCCAGCTTTTCTATGTTTGGATACACGACCAGGAAGCTGCAGCTGCCTCCAGTGTTCAGCGCAGCCGTGTGTGTGCAGGCTCCGGCCTAGGAGCCATGGGCTACACCAGATAGCCTCGGTGTGTGCCAGGGCACTCTGTCATGTTCTCACAACAACAAAATCACCTAATGACGCCTTTCTCAGAACGTATCCCCGTTGTTAAGTGATGCACGGCTGTGCTTGCATCTGTTGTTGGATTTTTCTGTTCCATTAATTTGCCTTTTTGTGCTATTATTAATATCGTATTTTAGTATTTGCTAGGATAAGCTGTCTCTCATTCCTCTTCTCACCCAGCATTTTTTGGCTATCCCCACAATTTTGTCTCCTGGATAAGTTTACTCCTTTTTAAGAGGCAGCTGGCAGGAAGCCTGGTCAGACTAATTCAAGTGCCCCATGCAGGGAGAAGGCCCGGCTTCTATGGTGGCAGCTACCGTCCATGCCTCCCATTTGAAGACGCAGCTCCTTCTGCAGCGGAGTCACTAACTGACCCAGCCAAGTTGGAGGGAAGCCACCAGGAGGGGCTGTGCTGGGCTTGCTTCCCGCCTCGGGCTGCCTGGAGGGGTGCTCTGCAGTCTCTGGGGCCTCCCAGTGCTCCACCTGCCCACCCTCCACTGCCTTTCCTTTCTCACGTCTGCAAGGCAGAAGGCTTTGGTGAGGTTTGCTCCTCAGCCCCCTGCTTTGGATGTGTTGGTGTTTGGAGAGGGAGTTTCCTCAGGGTGAGCTGAAGAAGGAGCACAGGCCGGACGGGAAGGGAGGGTGCCCAGTACAGCCTGAGGCCTGGCCTGCAGCAGAGAGAACAGACCAGAATACGGGCCCAGCACAGGCTGCCAAAGCCAACTTGCATTTCTGACAAAAATTTGCCTGGGACCTGGTATTGGTGTCCTGGGGCTGTGGTAAACAAAGTTCCACAAACTGTGTGGCCAAGCAAGGGACTCTGTTCTCTCCCATCCAGAGGCTGGAAGTCCGAGTTGGAGGTGTGGCAGAGTGGGCTCCTGCTGAGGCGGGGAGGGACAGCCTGTTCCAGGCCCTTCTCTTTGCTTCTGGTGCTTCAGGCGGTTCGGGTGCTCCTTGGCTTGTGGACGCATTGCCCCGCCTCTGCCTCTGTCTCCAGGTGGCTGTCTTCCCTCTGTGCGTCTCTGTCTCTCCTCCTTTAGGGACACCAGTCAGGCACAGTTAGGGCTCACCCCAGTGACCTTGTCTTAATTTGCTAATATTGGCATATACCCTATTTCCAGATGAGGTCACATCACATTCACAGTTCCAGAGGTTAGGACATCAACGCATCTTTTTGAGGGTATACAATTCAACCATAAGGAACCAGTAAATAACTATTTTCTTTCACCTCCTACTGCCTCCATCTCACAGCTGTCTCTTCCCAGGACCCGAAACAAGAGCACCAGGGCTCAGCTCTGAGTCAAATGCCTTTTCTGTGTTTCTCATGAGAACCCAAGCACAATTCAAGCTGTTGTCTCTGTGTGAGAATGTGTTCTGTGTTTCAAACCAGTAGCACAGAAAGAACACTGGCCTGCACCTCTTCCCATCCCCACAGCGTGCTGGGGGTAACCCTGCCTGATACCCTGTGGGCTGGGATTAGGCTCGAAGTCACAGGAAGGAATAATTCATCACTGATGGCTGGCCAGGAGATGGACATGGTTGGAACAGGGTGTGGGGAAGCCTAACCCAACTGGGCTGTTGGCATAAACCCATAGGGAAAGGCGGGATCAGGGAGGCCATTGTGGAAGCTGAGGTATGAAGCACTGGGACTTGGAACTGGGTGATGGCAGCAGCGATAGGTTAACGTGGGTGACAGGGTGTGGTGACCGCTGACTATGAGGGGCGCACTAACAAGCCTGTCAGCTTCCTCCACGACGGAACTTCACACCATGACCCCAGTCGTCTCTGCAGATAACGTGGCCAGTGCTGACCCCAGGACATCACAGGCAGCACTTTCCTCCTCTGCTTCCCTCCGGATATTTCACAAAGCGCAGTTTTGTGTTTTTTACTTGCTAGAATAATAAAGCTGAATAAATGGCTGCATTAGGCAGGAATGGTTTTGCTTCCAGAACACATAAATCGTGCATCTGTGTTTGTTCTTCATGTGTTTTCAGCCAGTCATGGATATTTCTATTCTTTATTTTCTCTCCATATCATGCGTGAATGTTTTTGTATTTCTCCCCAGGGCTGTGACCCAGATATCTACGCACTGGTCCTTTAAAAGGAGAACAGAGAAAAAATCAGTAGCTGTGTCCTATAATTTTTGTGCACTGTCTATCTGCATAGATATCCCACCAACTGTTCACAACAATCTGCTCTTTCTTCTCCCTCACAATTCCTTAAATTTACTTTTCTCTCATTTTATTTAATCAAGCATGACTTTATTAAAACAAAACAAAACAAAACAAAATGAAAACCCCTCCCACCTCCTCCGGTGTGAAAACCCGGCTATGGGCCTGGCGCCAGTCTTCTGATACCCGGAGATCCAAGTGGCTGTGGGTCACCCTGGAGCTGGGTTTCCTCCGCCCTGAAAAGAGAGAAAGTGAGTTGTGTTCCGGGGGATGGGGAAGAGCTCTGCAGTGGGAAGGCACAGGTGGCCTGGCAGAGGAGGTCATGGAAGCTCATCAGAAACTGACCTTGGGAAGAAGCATGGGGAAGGACGCCACCTCCAGGGACAGACGTGTCATTTCCAGGGGTCACAACCCTGTTCTCCTGATCTGTGCCTGTGCTTTTTGGCTTCATTTCTAATGAGGCTGTCGGGAACCCAGAGCTTCACAGAGTGGTCTCCCTGTGCTCCCACCCAGGGGAGAGAGAGCGAGACATGAGGCACAGGCAGTGTTGAGCAAGTAGCACTAAGGAAGAGAAAGCTCGGGATAGACGCTGTGTTTCAGCAGCTCCTCGGGTGCTGTCTGCTTATCCATTGACCACGTGGCAACATCTAGAAGGGGGCGCCGGGAAGGCAGAACCCTGTGACCTCAATGTATGTTCCAGACATCGAGGGACACAGCCCACCTGTGGGCCTCGGTGGGACATCACACATCAAGAGATAGTGCAGGGGAACTGTGACCTCATCATGGCGTGAGAGGCTCACACTACTTCTGCAGGTGCATGGCACTCTCCCCAGGCTGCCACAGCCCGTCCGTGCGTCTCTTTCTAACCCCACACTGCATGCTTGGCCCAGATACTGAGTTATAGCAAGAACCCTCACAGATACTTGTTAGATAATGAAAGGAATAGCTGCAAAGCCTGCTAAGCCTTCCTGAAGGCTGTTAACTCTTGACTCCAGATCCTTAGTCGTCCTCTGTTTTGACGAGTGTTATCTCATTGGCAATGTCAAGAAAAAAACCATCTGTACTCAGCACAGTGTTTAGAGCTGGACCAGAGGGGCCCCTGCCCTGACGCTGAGCATTTGAGAGCTCCTTCTGCCTGCTGCTGGCCTTGCCCTCACCACCAGATGAGAGTCTTTGAAGGTCAGGTGATGTGCCTATCCACAGTTTGCACCCTTCCCTCCAAAAACATTCTCCAGGTACCTGGGCTGCCAGAATTTCCTCCCCCAGTGACCCTGAGCCTCTTTTTGAAACCCATGTGGACCTCTTACCTAGGTCCAGCCACTCCTGAGCAGGCTGCACCAGCAGGGTGGGCATCCCTACGTACATTCTGTCTGATTTATCAAATCCATGTGTATAGAGGTGTTCACAGTGTGCCCTTATTATCCTTGCCAAGTCTGCAGGATCTGTAATGATTCTCTGTTTCATTCCTGATACTGGTAATATATGAACTTGTATCTCCTCTCTCTCTCTCTGTCAATCAGTCTTGCAAGAGATTTGTCAATTTTATTGGTCTTGTTTTTTTTTAATCAGCTCATTGTTTCATGGGTTTTTTCTGTTGTTTTTGTTTGCAGTTTCATGGATTTCTCCTCTGTCTCTCTCTCTCTCTCTCTTTCTTTCTTCACTTCCTTTTATTTATTTATGTTCTTTCTTATGCTTGCTTTGGGTTTATGCTGCTCTTATTTCTCTGGGTTTTGAGGTGAGAACATCTGTTGCTTCATCCTTCATTTCACTGTTTCTTTCCTTTGTTCCCTCGACTCAGCTATTAAGCCCAGTCTGTGCACTTTTCATTTTGGTTTTGTATTTTTCATGTCTAAAACTTCCATTTGGTTCTTCTTTATATCTCCCATTCCTTAGCTGAGGCTCTGTTTCTCCATTGGTTTTAGGCTGGTTTGTGATTGCTTGTTGAAGCATTTTTATCATGGCTGCTTTGAAATCTTTGTCAGATATATCTAACATTCTGTCATCTTGGTTTGGCATCTTTTTTTTTTCTGTTTGAGATCTTCCTGGTTCTTTGTGTAATTAGTGATTTTTTTTTAAATTGGAACCTAGACTTTTGGGGCACTATGTTATGAGACTCTGGATCTTATATAAGCTTTCTGTTTTAACAGACTGGGTCTCACGTGACTCCAACCTAGGAAGTGGGGGCACCACCTCATTACTGCAATGAAGGAAGTTGTGGGGCTATTCCTGCTTTGTGGGGGTGGAGGCTCCAGCTCCCTCTGTGGCCTCCACTAATCCCAAGAAGACTTATGGCCTTGTTACCCCTGGGCAGTGGTCAGAGTCCTCAGTGTCCTCCACCACCACCAGTGGACACCACCCCTGGGGGGATGTTGGGGCACCTCCTTACAGACTAATGAGGGTGGAATTCTAGGCCACCCACACAGCCTTTACTGGCATGGGTGAAGGTGGGGCCAAGGTTTTTCTGTGTTGTTTGGCTAAAGTAGAGCAGTTATCATCTAAGAGTTTTCTGCCCCCTTCCCTGGTCCTGTGGCTAGAGGCTTTTGTTGGGATTTTATTTTGTCTGTGCCTGCTGGAATTCCTGGGTTGCTGATTTATTTGGCTTCAGGTCTAGTACACATGAGGCAAAGGAAAACCCAGGGAATTCTCCACCAGCTTGCTCCTCAAGTCCTGAGGCCCTTAGCTATCCTGACTTCTTCTCTCCTCCTGTCAGAGTCATCTTCCAGGAAGTGTCCAGGGTTTCCAACTGTACTTAGTGGGAAGAATAGGGAAATACATGCCTAGTCCATCTTCCTGGAAGAGAAGAAGGATGCATAACACATGCACCTCCAGGATGTAATCAAAAGAGATAGTATTTGATGGCATAGACACACACACAGACACACAATGCAAACACACATACACACCACACATAACACACACACACCACACACACACACACACACACACACTCACACAACACATACCATACACATATACCCCACAAACACCGTACACATACACACACACACTCGTGCATGCATATATACATATTTTACAAAAAAATATATCAAAGAGTACAGAACAAAGTACATTATGGTGGGAGGACATCAGGGTGCTGAGAGCAGTGTTTGAGGATGATCTGTCCAATATAACTGATTAAAGGCTAAAGCATGCTGTAGAGATTATGACTCAAGTGTTACTTTGAATACTCCAGATTTGAAATAAGTTTTAATAAGAACAGCAAAATTGAATGGAATCTTTCAGATGTTCAGGGATTTCATTGTATTTTTTTAAATTGACATACACATATACTTACAAAGGTAAACTATGAGATTTGTAAGGATAGGGAAAAAAGACATTGTGTGATAATTTAAGAAGTGAACAGGATTAAACCTAAGTTGCATCAATTTGATTATTATTCCATCAGGATTTTGAATAGTACTTCAGAGTGAAGATTCTGGTTCGATAATAGAATATGGCGTACATGAAAACTGAAACCCTCTTACAGTTTTAAAGATGTGCTTCCATTTAGAAAATCACAGTTGTTCTGCCCACAATAGGACCTTGTCAACCCCTAACTTGTTCTCAGCTGTGATCAGTCAAATAAACACTTCAGACACAGAGACTGAAGTGTTTATTTGAAAAATACTTCTTGATGGTAGTTAAAGCTGTCCTGGTGACGAGAAGGGACACTTACGCACCTATAAATCCAGGGGATGTCTGGGCCAGAAAGAGGAAATACAACTAACTGAGGAATGTGCCAGGACTTAATTTCATCCCTTTCTTCTTTTTATTTTGTTATTTGACATTTACTAATCCTCTTAACCCATCTGCACATCAGGATCTTGACCAACTTCCTTTGAGATTCTGACTTTTATGAAGAAAGAAAGATGATGTAAAGAATAACAATGTGATTTGAGATTAGGATAAAGCGAAGCCATCAAATAGTTTTTTCTTTTTGGTCATGTGTTTATTTATTTATTTATTTTGGTACAGATGGAGTGTCACTATGTTGCACAGGCTAGCCTCCAGCACCTGGGTTCCAGCAATCCTCCTGCCTCGGCCACCCAAAGTGCCGGGATGACAGGCGTGAGCCAACTTACTCAGCCCATGTGTTTATTTTTAAGGATATTTTGAGGATATGTTGTGTCTTTATTTCTGACTTCTGGGACTATTGTTCTTATTCCTCCATTAATAAAAGTAATGATTTTCTACATGCGTGCCCAGCTTGACAAGCACCCCACATCCGTTATCTTGTTACATCTTTATGACAACCGGTGAGGGAAGCAGAGGTGAGATGAACTTCAGTGCTGCTTTAAGGAGGAGGAAACTGAGGCACAACCCGGATAAGAGGCGTGCTAAAACAAGCCGATAGTACCCGGCTGGGGGAATGTGTATGGAACCCCACTGCAGGCTCACAGCTTGTGGCTCACACCTCTTCCTTGTTTCTCTACTTTGAATATCAACACGGAGCGGTGTGTCACTTCTATTTCATATCTCTCCCAGTTGTCTACATGACTGGCTTCACTTACTCCACAGAACTTAATACATTGCAATTTGTGGTACAATGCATTTATTTTATCATGTATTGCCCATGAAAATTAATGGTGGAGACTTCAGTTCAGAAGTATGTATTTCAAAAATATAATTACACTTGAAAGTGAGCAAGTTCAATTGTATGAGAAGGAAGTCACTGTGGTAAAACTTTAGAGAAAGTTATTTATTGTAACTGTAAATAGTACTAGTAAAGGCCTACTGGTAAAGCCTGTTTAGCAGTGTGCACTGCCTGGTGACGAGAACTCTCAGCGGGTGTGTAAGTACCTTCTCAGGACCTGCGAAACGTCTTGGAATGTCTTCTAACTTCTTAGCTTTTGCCAGGGTTCCAAGGCAGGAGGAATGGAAGTTGCAAGGAAGAAAGCATTTTTGTTTATACTGAAATTATTTTTAACATCCTAAATGTTTTCAACAACCTGATAAAGCAGTTTCTTTGGTGTGGCTTAGCTTTTTGAGAGTTGAGATTTTTCTGTGTCAAGTCCAGGTTAACTATTCTTAAAAGTGATTTCAAAAGCCAGGAAAAACCACTTTGCAGTAATCAGAATGTTATCCAACTGTATAATGTTTACTTTATTGTAAATACTTGTGAAGAGTGGTCAATAAATAGTTTTATGTTCCTTTATGCAAAAAAAAGATTTCATCCTGTTATTTGACATCAAGCTCAATCCTATTATGTTTCCAACAGAATTAATACATAGTGACAAAAATATATTGAATTAAATCAGGTTTTTTTCTAGATCCAATAAAAAACACAAATATTTTTAATAAATAAGTGTAAGTATATAGATTTAATTCTACCGGAGAATATTTTCCTTTTTTCTGTGGTTGTACAATATTAGCAAAAGAAATTATTCTCAGGCCAGTTGTGGTGGCTCATGCCTGTAATCTCAGCACTTTGGGAGGCTGAGGCAGGTGGAATACTTAAGGCCAGCAGTTCAAGACCGGCCTAGGCAACATAGTGAGACCCTGTCTCTGTAAAATATTCAAAAATTATCTGGGCACGGTGGTGCACACCTGTAGTTCCAGCTACTCTGGAGGCTGAGGCGGGAGGATTGCTTGAGCCTGGGAGGTCAAGGCCACCAGCCTAGGAGCCAAGATCGCACCACTGTACTTCAGCCTGGGCAACAAAGTAAGACCCTGAAAAAAAAGAGAGAGAGAGAGAGAAAGAAAGAAAGATTACTCTCTGAAGATAAGTAATAATGATCACCATAATTAAGGTACTATATTTATACATTTTAGGTCACTTGTTTAGTCACCTCCCAATCTGATCCAGGTGCACCTGTCTGGACCTCCTCCTTTATAATGACCCTGGGCCTTGATTCTGCACTCCTTCCATTACTGTCATCCATAACTTTAAACGTGCCCAGATATTCACTATCCTTAATTTATAAGTCATTTTCATTCCTCTGCCACTTCCCCACCACCCAGTCACCTGGTTTTGTTCCTCACTGCTCCATTGAAACTGTTTCTATTTACCTTTGTAATGAATCAACAATATTTGCTTACTAAGAATCATGCTGCACTTTGGAAACCGACCTTCACTTATTCCTGAAAGTCTCCCTGCCACATGGTTGGAGCTCCCTAACCGTGTGGGTGAGACGGAACTGTGCTCTAACCCGGCTCTGCTCTGCGGGCTGCGTGGCTGCCGGGCTGCCGTCCATCTGCACAGAGAGCAGAGCTGCCCCCTTCCCGGCAACCCCGGCATTGCACAAAGGGTTATCTGTCCAGTGCTGCCACAAGGAAGGCATCTAGCAGATGCTGGTTTTCTCTTCCTTTGCCTGCTAACTCTCTTCTCTGATCAGCCTTTACTCTCAAGTTTGCTGGGTACTTTTCTTCTTCCTGCACACTAATTATAGGTATGTTGGACTTTGTTCTATTTTGAGTAATATTCACTCCTAAATTGAACTTATCCATTTGAATGGCTGTCACCCTTCCACCAATAAATCTGAAGACCATTTACTCTTAATGTTTTTCAAAAACTTCCTATGCAGAGTTTTGTTACTACTATTCAAGGAACTCTAGCACAACTGTCAAAATAAGACTCTTCTTGTTTAATACTATTTTACTTTTCCTCCCGATCCCACCCTCTCTATATTCTTAGATATGAATGTATCCTTTAAGATACACAGTAACAGGCTGTGCGTGTGATATTTCATTTTGCACAGACAGTTGGCACGGGGCTTTACTTCCCCCTGGGTACTGTGCGTAAAGCCTGCCTAACTAGCTGTCCCCTTGCCTGGGTACCCATCCAGTCGTGGAGGGCTGGGGGTCTGGGGTCTCCAGGCTATGCAGCATGGGATGGAAAGAGCACAGATGATACTCGTTCTTCATCTTCATGACTGCTCAAGTGTTCTCCATGCAGTCACGGCAGGGGACGCTTCCAGAAGAATTGCAGGAGGCCCCAGATCTTCCTTCCCACGCTCACCAACTCTTGGTTGTATGACGCCTTTACATTTTATAAATATGATGGCTTGAATTGTCTTCTCCTCATTTTATTTCTTCTGGTTACATTGACTGAGTTGAGGAACTCTTCACATACTTGCCAGTCATTTACATTTCTCTTGCTGTGAACTGTTTTCATTCCTGGCCTGTTTTTTGGGTTGGGTTGCCTATCTTTTCTTGTTGATAGCAACATGAGCCATGTGGTCCTCTCAATTGGTACAGAGAGGTATTTGATAAAATTTCACCACTTAAGTTTAATAAAAACTGTAATTGGTTATTGCAGGTGTGTTAGTCCATTTGGGATGCTGTAATGAAAAACGATAAACGGAGTGGCTTATAAACAACAGAAATTCGTTTCTCACAGTTCTGGAGGCTGGAAGTCCAAGATCGAGGAACCCACAGATCCAGTGTCTGGTGGACACTTGCTCCCTGGTTCACAGACAGTGCCTTCTTGCCAAGTCCTCACGTGGTGGAAGGTGTGAGGGCCCTCTCTAGAGTCTCTTTCATAAGGTCTCTTTTATAATCCCATTCATGAGGGCTTTGCTCTCATGACCTAATCACCTCCCAGACCCCCCTCCAAATACCATCACACTTGGGATTAGATTTCAACATAAGAGTTAGGGGAGACACAAACATTCAGTCTGTATCAATAGGTGAGGATAATTGCTAGTAATTTTTAAGCCCACTGTAAATCCATCAACATCACTGAACTCTCGTTAGTTTTAATAGTCTCTATTCTGTTGGAGTGTCTATGTCTAGGATTGTGTCATCTGCCAATAAGGATGTTTTTTATCTTCCTTCCAAATCTTATACCACTAATTTATTTTGTTTTCTGACTCTCTCCTTCTTGCTTCTTTCTTCTTTTTTGTCTGTAAGGACCTTTAGTACCATGCTAAGCAGTTGTGATGTTAATGGGCATCTTTGCTTCTGATTTTAAAGTTTCTCCACTGAGTGTGATGTTTACTGGTTGTTTTTGTAATGTAGCCTTTACCAAGTTGAGCGACTTTTCTTCTAGTTCCCTAAGGGTTTGTGCGGAGGGTGGTGATCTGCTCAGATTAGTGTTTCATAGACTGCTGTGGCCAGGGAGGAGGCTGCTGCAGTGATTCAGGTGTAAGATGAAGGTGGCAGCAGAGACAAAGAGAAACGGACACATTCGAGAAACACTACTGGTAAAATTTAATGGGACATGATGATAGATTGGGTATGGGAAACGTCCCAGCTGGCGCCTTGCTCTTGGCTTGCACAATTGGACGGATACCATCTGTGGAGTTAGGAAATCCTGCAAGAGGTATTGACATGTTGACATGTTGATTCTCACATGTTTGAGGTGAACATCTCAGAATAAGATGTTGAGTAGATGTTGGATATGGGGACCTGGAGCTCAGAAGAAAGTACCTGAGAAGTTTGCATTGTGCAAAATCACCCACTGCAGAGAGCAAGGCTTTGAGAAAATATGGTGCTGGGATAGAACACCCAAACCTTAGAAATTCTGTAACCAGAGCACAAACCACAATATTAACAATCCTAATTTTAAATCCTGGCATAGAAGAAATATATTCAATTCCCAATAAATGGAATATGCTGCAGTACATACAGAACTTTACTGTAATAAGGAAAAAGAGGAAGGCAGCCTAGGGGAAGGACAGGTCAGGAAAGATCAGAGGACTGAGCCTTGGAGCCCAGAATGCAGACAGGACAGTTACAGGCTTTGCAAAAATGCAGTGACGCCAGCGAGGAGAGTTCCAGGTCACCATCATGTGCTCGTTTCTTTTGCGTGAAGATCCAGGAGAACCAGGCAATCTGGACACTTTCAAACCCAAACACATGGCCAGACAGGACCAGCAGAAGAAACCTGGGGCCGATGGGCATCCAAGTGTGTTCCTGGTGTCTTGCTGTGTTCACCTGTGTCACAGTCCTTTGTGTTATAGCACAGACCTGCTGTTACACGGTGACTTAAAACGTGAGTGCATCAGAGAAATTGGCTCATGACTAATGCAACTTTTATATTATCTTCACACCTAGTCAGTCGCTAAGTCTATCAGTTACACGTGTGTTTTAGAAAACATGTGCTCTGGAGCAAACCAGGCTGCATTTCATCAGCAGTATGCGCATGCCTCGTCAGTGTTCCTGTTGGGCCAGGTGTGTGGGTGGCGAATGCTAACTACCTGCAGATGCATCTAGAAGGAGACACTGACCTTGGGTCACCTTGGCTACATACTGCATGCTATCAACACCTCACAGATTGCTGTTTCATTTTAAAATCTCTTATAAGCATGAAAAGTATTTAAAATCACTGTGATTTAGGATATTGTTGAACTTGTCCTAATTTGGAGGGGAGAATTGTTCTTTTCCGGATATAACTCTCACCTCTGTTATACGAAGTCAAGTTCTGGCTCCTCAGCTTTCTGCAAGAAGTGTGAGCCAATATCTTCTTTTAAATGAAAATAATATCCAGAATTATATTTAAGCTCTTCTGAAGACAGCAGCTGGAAGAATTGAAATTGTCTTATAAAATATGTTACCTGAGAAAAATATGCAAATTATTCTATTTCATTGTAAGTCCCATTTCATATTTCTATAATTTTTTCCATTCTCCTTTTGTTTTTTTCTTGAGTGGAAAAAATCCCTTAAAGTGGAAAGGTACATATAAGGTTAATGAATTGCAGAAAGGACATTGGCAGCTGCAGCTCTTCTGAATTGTAGTCAGTCAGTGCAGCCTTGCATTCTTCTAAACAAAATCCTGCTTCCGTGATTTCGCCTGCTATGTATCACTTTATTTCCTTCATATTCCTTCTGTGAAGAAATGTTGAGCAACCAAGAGAAAGACTTCAGAAGAAAAAAAGATCTTTTTAATGATGCAGACTAAGAAGGAAATGACATCTCTCCTGTATGTCAGCCTCTTGGATGTAACACGCTGCTGAGCTGCCTTAGCTGTGATTATAAACTACACGGTATCTCTATCTGACTGATGTGGCAACCTGAGAAAATCATGTTCTAGGCTTCATAATGAAGACAATATGCATATTCTTTGAATTAAAAAATAGTCTCAGCTAATGTTAATTGAACCCCGTGTAGGAGGCAGAATGCCAATCCAAACAAAGCGAGCACCCCTCCCATGCAGTGACTGCTAATGTGACCCAGGTGTAACAAAAGGTAATTAACATTTGAAATGTTTCTAGCTGTTCCCATAGTAACATAATTGGGAAGGGAGTTTTAATCAATACATGTAGCCATTGACATCCATATACGAATAAGCATTCCGCAGCTAATAAAATTATAACATAGGTGATAAACACGACTGCCCCTGTATTGCTTGGTAGATGAGCATTATGGTTAAAAAATGACTGTGAAAAGTTAGCTCAATTCAAGCCTGGTGGATGCGTTTCGGTTGTAGCTAGGCTTTTTCTTTTCTTTCTCTTTTAAAACATATCTAGACAAGGAAAAACAAGCCTCGGATCTGATTTTTTGCTCCTCGTTCTTGTGCTTGGTTCTTACTGTGTTTGTGTATTTTAAAGGCGAGAAGACGAGGGGAACAAAACCAGCTGGATCCATCCATCACCGTGGGTGGTTTTAATTTTCGTTTTTCTCATTAATTTTTTTTAAACAACCATTCTTCACAATGAACAAACCGTATATCAGAAACCTCAGCGAGAACGCCGCCCCCTTGGACCTAGAAGGTATCTTGAAGGACGCCAAGATCCCCGTGTCGGGACCCTTCCTGGTGAAGATTGGCTACGCGTTCGTGGACTGCCCAGACGAGATCTGGGCCCTCAAGGCCATTGAGGCGCTTTCAGGTAAAATAGAACTGCACGGGAAACCCATAGAAGTTGAGCACTCGGTCCCAAAAAGGCAAAGGATTCGGAAACTTCAGATACGAAATATCCCTCCTCACTTACAGTGGGAGGTGCTGGATAGTTGACTAGTCCAGTATGGAGTGGTGGAGAGCTGTCAGCAAGTGAACACTGACTCGGAAACTGCAGTTGTAAATGTAACCTATTCCAGTAAGGACCAAGCTAGACAAGCGCTAGACAAGCACTAGACAAACTGAATGGATTTCAGTTAGAGAATTTCACCTTGAAAGTAGCCTATATCCCTGATGAAATGGCCACCCAGCAAAACCCCTTTCTGCAGCCCCGAGGTCGCCGGGGGCTTGGGCAGAGGGGCTCCTCAAGGCAGGGGTCTCCAGGATCCGTGTCCAAGCAGAAACCATGTGATTTGCCTCTGTGCCTGCTGGTTCCCACCCAATTTGTTGGAGCCATTATAGGAAAAGAAGGTGCCACCATTCGGAACATCACCAAACAGACCCAGTCTAAAATCGATGTCCACCGTAAAGAAAATGCAGGGGCTGCTGAGAAGTCGATTACTATCCTCTCTACTCCTGAAGGCACCTCTGCGGCTTGTAAGTCTATTCTGGAGATTATGCGTAAGGAAACTCAAGATGTAAAATTCACAGAAGAGATCCCCTTGAAGATTTTAGCTCAAAATAACTTTGTTGGCCGTCTTATTGGTAAAGAAGGAAGAAATCTTAAAAAAATTGAGCAAGACACAGACACTAAAATCACGATATCTCCATTGCAGGAACTGATGCAGTATAATCCAGAACACACCATTACAGCTAAAGGCAATGTTGAGACATGTGCCAAAGCTGAGGAAGAGATCATGAAGAAAATCAGGGAGCGTTAGGAAAATGATATCACTTCTATGATTTCAAGCACATTTAATTCCTGGATTAAATCTGAACGCCTTGGGTCTGTTCCCACCCACTTCAGGGATGCCACCTCCCACCTCAGGGCCCCCTTCAGCCATGACTCCTCCCTCCCCGCAGTCTGAGCAATCAGAATCCGAGACTGTTCATCTGTTTATCCCGGCTCTATCAGTCAGAGCCCTCATCAGCAAGCAGGGCCAGCACATCAAGCAGCTTTCTCGCTTTGCTGGAGCTTCAAGTAAGATTGCTCCAGTGGAAGCACCAGATGCTAAGGTGAGGATGGTGATGATCGCTGGATCACCAGAGGCTCGGTTCAAGGCTCAGGGAAGAATTATGGAAAAATGAAAGAAGAAAACTTCGTTAGTCCTAAAGAAGAGGTGAAACTTGAAGCTCATATCAGAGTGCCATCCTTTGCTGCTGGCAGTTACTGGAAAAGGAGGCAAAACGGTGAATGAACTTCAGAATTTGTCAAGTGCAGAAGTTGTTGTCCCTTGTGACCAGACACCTGATGAGAATGACCAAGTGGTTGTCAAAATAACTGGTCACTTCTATGCTTGCCAGGTTGCCCAGAGAAAAATTCAGGAAATTCTGACTCAGGTAAAGCAGCAGCAACAACAGAAGGCTCTGCAAAGTGGACCACCTCAGTCAAGACGGAAGTAAGGCTCAGGAAACAGCCCACCACGGAGGCAGATGCCAAACCAAAGACAGATTGCTTAACAAACAGACAGGCGCTGACCCCCTATCCAGAATCACATGCACAAGTTTTTACCTAGCCACTTGTTTCTGAGGACCAGGCAACTTTTGAACTCCTGTCTCTGTGAGAATGTGTACTTTATGCTCTCTGAAATGTATGACACCCAGCTTTAAAACAAACACACAAAAAAAGGGTGGCAGAGGGGGGAAAGAGAAGAGCTCTGCACTTCCCTTTGTTGTAGTCTCACAGTATAACAGATATTCTAATTATTCTTAATATTCCCCCATAATGCCAGAAATTGGCTTAATGATGCTTTCACTAAATTCATCAAATAGATTGTTCCTAAATCCAATTGTTAAAATTGGAGCAGAATAATTATTACAGGAACTTAAATGTTAAGCCATTAGCATGGAAAAACTGTTCTCAGTTTTATTTTTACTTAACACTAACATGAGTAACCTAAGGGAAGTGCTGAACGGTGTTGACAGGGGTATAAAACGTGCATTTTTACTCAACTACCTCGGGTATTCAGTAATACAATGAAAAGCAAAATTGTTCTTTTTTTTTTGAAAATTTTATATACTTTATAATGATAGAAGTCCAACCGTTTTTTAAAAAATAAATTTAAAATTTAACAGCAACAGCTAATAGGCAAATTAAGAATTTTACTTCTGGCTGGTGACAGTAAAGCTGGAAAATTAATTTCAGGGTTTTTTGAGGCTTTTGACACAGTTATGAGTTAAAAAAATCAAATGTTCAAAGATACAGAGCAGTGCCTTATATCTGGAGAGCAGCACTACCATTTATTCTTTCATTTATAGTTGAGAAAGTTTCTGATGGTACTAACAAAGTGGTGGCAGAAGATTTTGGAACGGCTGGTTTAAATGGCTTCAGGAGACTGCAGTTTTTTGTTTAGCTACATGATTGAATGCATAATAAATGCTTTGTGCTTTTGACTATCAATACCTAAAGAAAGTGCATCAATGAAGAGATGCAGGACTTTCAACTGATTGGCAAAAAGCAAGCTTTAGCTTGTCTTACAGGATGCTTAGTTTGCCAGTACACTTCAGACCAATGGGACAGTCATAGATGGTGTGACAGTGTTTAAAGGCAACAAAAGGCTACATTTCCATGTGGCCAGCACTGTCATGAGCCTCACTAAGCTATTTTGAAGATTTTTAAGCACTGATAAATTAAAAACAAAAAATTAGACTCCACCTAAAGTAGTAAAATATAGCAGGATTTCTGTATACTGTGCAATCAGTTCTTTGGAAAAAAAAGTCAAAAGATAGAGAATACAAGACAAGTTTTTGGGATATAATTCGAATGACTGTGAAAACATATGACCTTTGATACCGAACTCATTTGCTCACTCCTTAACTTGACAGCAAAGCCCAGTATGTACAATTGTGTTGGGTGTGGGTGGTCTCCAAGGCCATGCTGCTCTCTGAATTGATTTTGAGTTTTGTTGGTAAGATGATCACAGTCATGTTACACTGATCTAAAGACTTGTATATATCACCCTTTAAAAAGATCACTCTGCCTCATTCTTATTTCAAGATGAATTTCTATACAGACTAGATAATGTTTTTCTGAAGATCATATCAATTAGACATTTTGAAAATGATTTAAAGTGTTTTCCTTAATGTTCTCAGAAAGCAAGTTTTTTTTGTAGTTTTATCCAAAAAAATGCCCTTTTACCTTTGACTCTTCTCTCAAGATTCTTCTTGCTTTCCTTAACTAGGATCTGATGGCTCCTGAGAACCCACTTCCTTTGTGATCCTCTCAAGTGGAAGCAATTTGCTCTCTCTTTGCCCCTGAGACCTGAGTGCCAGGTCATCCTTCCTCTTCAGGTAGTTTTCTGACCACAGCCTTTCTATTAGCTGGACAAACATTTGCTTCTTTAAATCTCATGCAACCTGATGATGCCGCCTCTCCTCTCCTCTTAGTTGTCATCTACTCCACCTGTGTTACTACGGTGCACTCATAGGGGTCGCTGGAATCCATGCCAGTCTTCCTCATCACTACCATGCCTGCTATCTACTCGGCATCTTCCACATCCTCCTGAAAAACACATCTGACCACCTGACCTCTTCGTTCCTCGCCTCCTCATCTCCAGTGATGTTTATCTCTACTCCAAATTAGCCGTCATTCTAAACTTTGTCATCCTGGAAACTTAATCACTTCTAATTGACAAAATCATTGAGCACATTCTCTTGCCTCCATTTTCCGTCCTCCAACCAGGCTGGTTAAAAAGCCACAGTGCAGATGCCTGTCCTATCAGAACCTCCCGTCCGCTGACGAGTTCGCCACCTCATCCACCAGCCCTTCCTGCCAGCAGCTTCTTCCCTCTCCAACAGAGAGGCAGTAACTACTCTATTGCAATATTCAACGGAAGTTGCCCTTCAGCCTTTTAATTTTGATCATTGGGGAAAATCACAGCCCCAGAAGAAGTCGAGTGTTTCCTGTTCTCCATGTCTGTCTAATACCTGACAGTTGCTGGGAAAGACACACACTGGGCAGATGGTTACTATAAAAATGCATGGTACCCAACCTCATCAGCCTTTGAGAACTTCCCTTTATTCTGACCATAGCCCTATACTCACTTTGCTCTCACTCCACAATGACTGTTTTCAACCTTCTCCATTGACCTCAGCCTGACTTCCACTGGCCAGCATTCTCTCCAGAGGTTGACCTTGCTTCCCACCAGACAGAAGTTTTTTAAGAGTCATCACTCAGATACATCCTAAAATTCCTGCCTGTGACCCAACAGATTTTGCTGTATACCGACCCATCCTCTTCTTCCCTTCTGGTGATATGAAGAAAGTACTTCACCTGCTACACATACCAGGAAATTTATGACACTCTATTTTGTGTCGCAGTCCTTTCTCTTGTCGGATTTTTTATATTTTTGTGGAAATATGCCCCAGCATTTCCTATGTCACCCATGTACACACATGCCCATTGCACGGCACAGACAGGAATCCCAGCCGGACCCCAGTCCTTACAGTCACTCTCTTCTCTGCACAGCAAATCCTTGTAAAGAGATTTAACTATCGACTCTTTCCCCACTTCTTCACCATCCTTCTACTGCCAGTCTGTATTTCTTCCAATATCCATTCATTCCACATACAGCCGCCGAGTCCTCCCCGTGCCAGATCCTGCCTCATTTTCTGGGGCTACAGAAGTGAGCAGAGCAGGCAGACATGCCTTCTGTTCCAGTCGAGGGAACGGCCATCCATCCATGTTGCTTAGTCGGGTGTGTGTGTTTCCATGTCTGTTTCAGTTCAGTACAAGCCAAACAAACCCTGTAGCAAAGAGATTTCAGAATGTTGGGACTTAAATAGGAGAGATATTAGCCTCCCTTCTGGGATCCGGCCCACAGCTGAACAGTCCAGGCTGGTGTGGAAGCTCTGCTCCACCAGGTCATCCAGCAACCAAGGTTCCCTCCATCTTCTCGCTCTACCATCTTTTAGGGTGTGGTTCTTGTTTGCAGAGTTTAAACTGGGTCAGTTTCAAATTGGATATTCAGCCTTCAGAAAACAGAAAAGGAAGAAGTCTACGACAGTGGCTTCATCTTTATGGAGATTCCTTGGGAGTTCATCGATTCCCTCATATACCATTGATCTGAACCTAGCCCCATGGCTACACTTGACAGAATGGAGCTGGGAAATGTAGTCTCCATCTCCAGCCAGGTGGCTGCATGCCCAGGGGACATTCTGCCACAGTTCCAGCCTACTTGATTTGTGGTCAACTTCCGCTTTCATTTCTATTTCTTGGGTTGCACTATGGTTTATTTACAATGTGGGGATATCCTATAGCTTATATGAGTCTTTTTTTTAACTTTACCTTCTCCCTAGACAATATTATTTCCTCTGTAGCTGGTGTATTAGGGTTCACCAGAGAAACAAAACCGATAGGATATGTATCTATATCTATATTTGTATCCATACACACACACATATACACACATACAAATACACACACACACACACACACACATATATATACACACACAGATTTTATTGTAAGGAATTGGTTCGTACAACTATGGAGGCAGACAAGTCCAAAGATCTGTGCAGTTGGCAGGCTGAAGTCCCAGAAGGGCCCATGGTGTAAGTTCTAGTCTGAGTCCAAAAGCCTGAAAACCAGGAGAGCCAATGGTATAGTTTGAGAGCTGGAAGGCTCAAAACCCAGGAAGAGCTGGTGTTTCAGGTTGAGTCCAAAGGCAGAAAAAGATTGCTGCCCCAGCTCAAGGTGGCCAGGCGGGAAGGGGTCCCTCTCACTTGTGGGGGAGTTGGCTTTTCTGTTCTGTCCTTTCACTGATTGGGTGAGACCCACCCACATTGGAGAGGGCATCTGCTTGACTCCATTCACCAATTTAAATGTTCGTCTCCTCCCAGAATACCCTCACGGACACATTCATAATAACCCTGACCAGTATCTGGGCACCGTGCAGCCCTGTCAAGTTGACGTAGAAAATGGACCGTTTCAGCTGATAAACATTTGCTCGGTTAAGGAAAAATGGGGGAGGAACTGTTTTAATGGATGGTTCAGGGGCAATGATTTGAGCTGTGGATATGTTCACTGAGTTTCCTGGGGAATATTAGAATAAAGGTTTCTACCAGAGAGTGGAGATATTAGTCTGAAGCTCAGAAGGTAAGTCCAGGATAGAGATAAACTTGGAGAAATCATCTGAATACAAATGATGCATTTCCATCTACCTATTCAGGTTTCCGATGAGCATCTCCCATCTCTCATTTCTGATCACCCCCGTATTGATTCAGTCCGCACCCAGCTGATAGACTACCACCCAGATCTCACGTGGGGCTGCTTCTCCCCACAGCCTAAGTGCAGGAGACATCCTGCTGTTTCCTGGAGAGCTGCTAATCCCACTCCGGCTCTTCCCCATATCAGAGTCAGTTGCTGTGCAGCCTAAAACGGCCGTCCCCAACCTTTTTGACATCAGGGACCGGTTTCGTGGAAGACAATGTTTCCGTGGAAGAGGGGGGAGTGCAGGGAGGGAAAATGTTTGGGGATGAAGCTGTTCCACCTCAGATCATCAGCCATTGGATTCTCATAAGGAGTGTGCAACCTGGATTCCCGCATGCGCAGTTCACAGTAGGGTTCCAGCTCCTATGAGAATCTAGTGCTCCTGTGAGAATCTAGTGCTCCTATGAGAATTTAGTGCTCCTATGAGAATCCAGTGCTCCTGTGAGAATCCAGTGCTCCTGTGAGAATCCAGTGCTCCTATGAGAATCCAGTGCTCCTGTGAGAATCCAGTGCTCCTATGAGAATCCAGTGCTCCTGTGAGAATCCAGTGCTCCTGTGAGAATCCAGTGCTCCTAGGAGAATCCAGTGCTCCTAGGAGAATCCAGTGCTCCTAGGAGAATCTAGTTCTGTTGCTGATCTGACAGGAGGCAGAGCTCAGGCTAGAGAGGTAACACTCGCTTGCCTGCTACTCACCTCCTGCTGTGCGGCCTGGTTCCTACAAGCCATGGACCTGTACCAGTCTGAGGCCTGAGGATTGGGAACCCAGTCTAACAGACATAATCAGAAAAATACATTCTTCTAATTAAAACCCTGCAAGACCCTCACTGCACTTAGGATAAAACCTAAACATGTTAACAAGAGCTTACCCCATTTTCTGGCCAGTTCTGGCCATGTACGTCTCTGTGGGTCTCCTCAATGACACTGCGCTTTTCTCTGGCTCCGGGTTTGCTCCTGGGGGTTGTTCTGTTTGTGTTGTGTTTGTTTTGCCATTGGGTATTCTTCAAGCGGGCTGCTCTGCACACTTCTCTTTGCCTAGAGAATCTGGACCCACCTTTTGAGTTTCAGAGTTAGTGACCTTTTCTCAGAGAGGATGTTCCTGTCTCTCCAACCTGGGTTCAAGTCTTCCTGAGTCCATTCGCATAGCAACTCACTGCACAGCAGCCATATCAACTGTATTCATAGATTTGTCTATGTCGTTATTTGCTTAGTGACATTTTCTCCACCGGAATATTAGCTCCTTGGTGGCCAGGATAGCATCTCTCTTCCTCACCACTGTGTTTCCAGAGCTGATCCCATAGCCTAAGTGATTAATATCTATTTATTGAATAAATGGATATTACAAGCAGACTTATGTAAGCAAATAGCATATGGATCACATTGGTATCTAAAACCCAGCTGGGAGGAATGGTAAATACATTAGATGATGAAACGGCAAGCATGCTCAATCAATATTTCTTAAATGAATGAATTACTCTCTTTCTCTCTCAACGTGGAAAGATGCAGTAAGGGCTCAGGTCATTCAGATAATTATGCTTTGTGGTATGTTTCCCACCAACAACAGTAGATTCGACTAGAGGCACAGAATCACTCTAGCAGAATGCGAGTGATATTTAAAGCTACGGGAAGGTAAAGGGTTCTCACCATGTAGGGAGAGGTTCGCATCAGCTTCCTGGATCCTGCAATTGCGACTTTGGAATGCAGTGCCCCTGCCCAGTTACCAGGTGGTCAGAGCCTCAAAAAGTGTTAGACGAACTCTTCTGGGCCAGGCTTTGTTCTTCGCAGTTTCAGACATTTTTTTATCCTGGACGTTACTAGAAATCTCTCCACAATTTAGTTAAGGAATCAAGAATCACTGGAGTAGTGACTTTATTGTATTGGAAGACCGTGAATGGAGAGATGGGTGAACAGAAAGAGACTACAGAGTCTTCTAAACAATATGGGATGTTCCCAGCAAGTTCACCTAAAGGAGGAGAAGTGCCAGCCAGGCCGTCCAACTCCCGCTCCTCTGTGGCCCAGGTGAGTGCTTCAACAGGAAATAAAGCAGCCGGTTCCTGTGTTGGTCAAGTGATCTGCCAAGTGAAATTCCTTCTCAAGTCTCTGGGTATCCACATGGCAAAGAACCTCCGTGTGTGGGAGGCAGAGAGCATGTGGGCCATCCAGCCCTTTGGAGATATAAGGGCAGCGAGCCCCAGTCATAAAGAGGTTCGCCATCGTCTTGTCAAAAATGACTCATAAATTCCTGATGAGCTGCAATGTCACACAATGCACAATAGAGACATTCTATCAATTTTGTCATTTAACAGAATGGCGAGAACTATCGTTAAGGGAGAAAGGAATTTCTTTGAGGTAGGGGACAGAGGGATGTCTAAGGAAGAGGTGAGGTTCTGGCCTTCACCAGCAAACCACAGGAGTAACCTGTGCCTAAGGGGTGTGTCTAAGCTTGGTGAGTGGAACTTGTTTTTTATGAGTTACTTTTATTTTTGTGGCCTTTCTCCCTCAAATTGCTGACTCCAATTAAGCTGTTGTTTGGGAAAGCCCAGGACAAAAACCTAGTGGACACGGCTAGAGTTTCAAATTGGTGGCACACTGTATTCACAAGGATGCAAACGACATCATGTTAAATTGCGGGGGAGGGGGATATTAATGGTGCAGACTTTCTAAAAAACTGCTGGAGACATTTTATGAACAAATTGAGTGTACCCTCGATCTCCCTGGCCACAGACCAGGCGAGAGATCCTGGCTAAGTGGACTTGGAGCAGTCCACAAATATGGAACAGGGAGTCCTCCTGGGGCTTTGCGATGGAGGCGCAGGACCCTGAGTGCACGGCTGAGACGCTCCTTTTTTCCATTTCTTTAGTAGAGGCCCTGCTGATGTGCAAGGAAACCAGAGTTTTAAACTTACAAAAATAGAATCTCCAGAAAAGACACATAACTAAGGATATTAAAAACAACAAGAATCACTTCCGCGTGTTTAGCAGCTTGATCTGCAGCCTTCTCAGGAGTGGAGAAGGTCCCAGAACATCTGGATTTCACAGGCAGTGATAGGAGGCAAAATCCAATCGCTGCAGCACCTCCTGCGAGCTGCGGTGCCAGGTGCTCCTTCTGATTTAGGCTGGAGACAGGCAGACTTGCAAGGGAACAGGTGGTCAATTTCGCTAAACTTGCCACCCAACGGAAAGAGTAGCCCTATATTAAGCACTTGACTCTGAGGTGTTGGACTGAGTCAGTTACTAAAAGTGACATTGTCATATCCTTGCTGCAATCAACTGCCTCTTGCCCTCTCCTGAGTTTCGGATGATCCCGAGTGACAATTAGCCTGAATGTTTACATACTCCCGTGGAGGTTTGCTCTCTGAAATGTGGAGGAGTGAGATGCTCCATGCTTGAAGAGAAAGACAGTGTGGCTCCCTGGCCAAAATCGTCATCATTTCTAACTTAGGCGACATGCTCTCTCTCCTCCGCCAAGCCTTCTCTAAGTTCTATGGGATATTGTTAGTAAGTACCCTTGTTTACCTTGTTAAAAAGCACTTTGGAGCCTGCCGTGTTGTTTGGTTTTGTTTTTAAGATGGTTCCTGATCCGCTCTGGAAGCCAAACAGGCCAGTTAGTTATTATTTGGCATAATAACGGATGACATTTGTAACTTTTTTTTCCTTATTTCTTAATATTTTACTTAATATGCAGCTTAGAGTAGGTTTTTTTAGCATCCAATTTTCTCATGTTTTCTGTCCTTGTTTATTCTACTTTATTCTACTTTGTTCCTATGTATCTTTAAACTTTGGCTTGCAAAAGTTTCCTGCTCAGCAGAGCGTCTGCTCTCTGTCCAGTGTTATTCTGTCTTGTCCTTGAGTTTGCCATGGCTGGGTTTCCATCGTCCATCTCTGCACACGCTGGTCCCTGGGTTCGACAGAACACTTTTCTCACAGCATCTTCTTCTTGGGCATATATTCAGTAGGGGGCGATTTTAGTTTATAGCTTGAGCAGAGGTAGGAGGATAAGCGCTGTTTGCTTCTTTTATTTTTTTCTGACTACTTCTTTCCTTACTTTTCTTTTCTCTCTATCGCCTCACTTTATCCCTTTTACTCTTCTGTTCTTCCCTTATTTTATCTTCCCAAGACAACAAATCTTGACAGGGGACACTTGTGGGAGGTGGAGAACCCACACGTCCACTTCTCTGCTTCTTCCTCTTCCATGTCATTTAATTTTAATGCACGCTTGTGAATCTGCAGTTCTTTCCCCCAACACAGGACGCCCTGACCTGTAACTAACTCCAGAGGGAGGGAGGATTTCAGCTGATGGGTGACTGCTCCTGGGACACGGGGAATAGCTGCCCAGGAGCCTGTGGCCTGTGTGGCTTCCTCCCGGCCTCACGTGCTTCTTGAGCTCTCATTCTGGTCTTTGTTTTCTTTTGCTGGCATTTCAATTTCTCATTTCCTTTCCCCGTGTAAGGGTATAGAAGATGGATAAATAGATAATTACATAAATGCCTGCAATCTAGTTAGCATTGTTCTTTTGTAACATGCTTTTGCCTCAAACCAAAGGAGCCTCCACTCCTTTTGAAGATGAAATATTTAGATAGGGGCCTTAGAAAATGTCACATATGTCATGGCACGCATGGTACTAATGGTGGGGTGCAGGTAAGTCGTGTCAAAATGTGGAGTAAAGTTAAGAACACATCACGGAGAGGGTCGGAGCTCCCTGGACTCTGAGGGAGGAGGGCTTCTAACAGGGCAGCAGGGGAGGCCCGGGCTGAGCACAGTACCCTGAAAACCGGGAGGTGAGATGCGCTTGTGTGCAGGAGAGAGAGCCAGGAGCAGGGGAACAGAGAGCTTGGCGGGGAAGGTGTCGGGCGCCTGGGGCAGGGAGTGACACACGAGAAGAGTTATTTTGGGAATAGCCTGGCAGGTCTCAGGCTGGACTGGAGTGGAGAGAGATTAAAAGCAGGAAATCGTTTTGAAGGTTGTTATAGCATGAGTGAGTCATAAGATGAGGAGGGCCTAACCTGGCATGCGGGCCGTGAAAACAGAGAAGGAAAGAATCCAAGGAACTCCTGAGGTCAAGTCCTGGCAGCACTCTTAGTGGAGGCTAGAACCCGGGGCCGTAATTTTCAGGGCAATCAGATGGCAGAGTCAGGTATAAAAGGAGAAGCAACATTATGACAGAGCGCAGGTCTCCCGGCATGAGTTGGCAACGCTTGAATCTTCTAGAACCTACAGTTTTTCATTTTCTATTTTCGTTATGGTTTAAAACCATCAAGAATATATTATATGGACTGTGTGCTGTTGATTATTATGCTGTTTACTGTTGATGATCACATTAATTATTTATTTAATGCTTTCATGTAATTAATGTCCTTTATAAAACATTATAATCAAGATGGCATGCCACAGAGTAAGCCCTGTAAACACCTGTCCACAGCATGCCTGTTCAGGGTCTCCGTGGTCAGAGATTTCCCCTGAGAAAAAATGAGAATTCTAAGACTTGCCACAGTGCAGGGGCAGTGTTTGCTAAGTAGATGGTGTACGTCCGTTTTATAGCTGAGGAAACTGAGGCTTATCTAGCGGAAGGGACTTTGAGGAGTGCAACCCAGGGAGTCTCACTGTGGACCTGCAGAGCTGAGCCCCCGTCCCCTCCTGCCCCCAGGGAGCGGATGTGTCCTCATCCACAGAGAGGAAAACCAAGGCTCACGGAGCTGCATCGAGGTGTCAGAGGACGCCTGGAGTTCCGACGCGTGTCTTCGAGCTCATAGAGGGAGTTCTTCTCCCTTTGAAGAATCCCGAGAACTGTGTAAAGCTGTTTGGCACCTTGAGACATAATTCTAGCCACGCAGGTGGCTCAGACTGTCTGATCTTGTGATAGACACTTGATGGGAATCCTGTTGCCTTTCTGTGCTGACATGTCTGTATTTCCGTATTGCCTCTGGGGCTAGGATGCTCTGTCAAGGAATAGACCAGTTTAGCCCTGATGGTGTGGAATGAACAGGTCTCAGTGGTGGCCCTCAAGGACTCACTCTGGATGTAAGGACAGCTTGACACTCCCCTCCCAGAGCAGTGGATTTATGTGAAAAAGCTGTGGGAGAAAAGACCCCGTCACCCCAATGCTGGGTGCTCACGTCAGACTGGTGGGTTGTGATGTGGTCCCAAAGCAGCCTCACACTTCACCCTCCTCCCTCCACCCCTCAGCTTGGTCCTTCCCCTGACAGGCCACCTCCAGGGCTCCCAGAGCCCCTCACCCAATCCCTAGACCGGAGCCATGCGGTGGGATTGCGGGACCGTGCAGCTCTGCCACCTCCTTGGGGAGGGAACGCAGTGTGGACTCCTTGGCCACAGCAGCAGGACCAGAGGCCTCCTGGTGAGGTGGGTGGGCCTCAGCTTTGCTTCCTGCCACTTGGCCTGAGGGCCGAATATTAAAACTTTCATGTGGCTTTCTCTGGTCCTGGTGTCCTCGGTGTGTGCACAGAGCCTTGCAGAGCAGAACCCTCATGGGCACAGAGCTGCTTCCACCAGTGCTGTCTTCACTCAGCTACAGTTGGATGGTTTTGTTCAGGGACACCAAACTTTTGCCTATGAAATAGGGGGACATTTATTAAAATGCCCGAGGCTTCAAACAGCTGTCTGAGATGCCTGCACTCAGTCTCCCACACCTGTCCCACTAGGTCCCCCTGGCCTGCCTGGGGGGTATCACCTCTGACCACAGGGCCAGCAGAGCCCAACACCTACGAATCCAGTGGGGAGAAGCAGATTCCAGGATCCCCTGGAGGTTCTAAAAATCGGAACTGGCCATGCTCAGTTTAACCAACACTTTCCTCGGGATCCTTACTTATTTTTTCATTCAATTAAATATTTATTGTTTGTTCCACTGTGGTCATGTCTACTCTTTTCCTTGTATCACGTTGGGAAGCCACGCACACATATCCGTGGCAGGTGCCTGTGTGCAGAGAGTTCTGCTAACGCTGCAGGAGTGCCTTGGGATGCTACCTTCATCCCGGGCTCCTGGCCTTGAGTTCATCTTGGTGTCAATTCAGACACGAGTTCTGTTTTTGGGACAGGAAACCAGTCTTCTCTGCAGGGGTAAAGAAGTGGTGTAAATCCACATGGAAACATGGTGCTCGGCACTGAGAAAGCGAGGGCTTTGGTAGGGGAGCGCTTTTGGCGCAGCCTCCAGGCACAGGGCGGCCAGAGCCCTGCTCACCTGGGCGAGTGGGGAGGACCTGCTCAGGGCTGGCCTTCGGCAGGAGGTTCCCCTTGTACTCAGGGAGTTTCCTTTGTTTTCGGGGATGCTATTAAAGTTAGCCCTGAAGCAAGGGTGGATTTCTTTCCACTCCACTGAAATCTCTTGCTCTGCATTCAGGCTGTGCATGGTGAGGGCATTCTAACTTTGTTGCATGTAATAATTCACTTAGTCCTTGTAATTTTTTAGGAGCACAATTACGATCTCATTTTGCAGATGAGGAAACTGAGACAGGAGATGGCCCCACATGGGTTCATGTGGACATGAAGGTGTGGAAAGAGGGCTCCCAGGCTGCCCCCATGCGGGGTTTCTGTTGTTTGGCTAACCTTAGGCACGTCCTAGCCCCTAAGCACAACTGCGGTTTCAACGCTGTCTGTTGCCAGCCTCACGCTGACGCTGTCGCTCTCGCCTTCCCGCCCCCTACCTGGGGATCATGTCACCTCCTCATGGTGACACTGTGTGCCCCTCTCCTAGCCACCTGCTTCTTACCCTTTCATCCTCCAAACCCAGTGATTTTGTTTTACCCCACGGTTCTGCTCATTGCTAGGGGGCACACGTGGCCCTGCTTAATCACTTGGTCCTGACTTGTGAACCCAGCCACCCGTGGCCAGCTCCCTCTGCAGCTGCACTGGAGGTAAAAATGTGCCCCTGGCAAGGCCGGGGATGAGCAGAGGGGGCCGGGCAGGTGGGACACGAGTGGGAAATTGAGGTTGAGGACCCTGGCGGGGGCCCTGTGCAGTGTCCCAGTGGCAAAGCTTGTGTCTTTTTCAAGTTCCCCCTCAAAGATCCACCACACACGAGCTTTAGTGAGCCAGGGAGACACCCAGAGACCTCGGAGGCAGGCAGAGCAGACAAAAGAGCACCCCAGCTGCTCCACAGTGAACCTGGAAGCCCTGCCAGCTCCTTCGCCTTCCAGAGACCCGTCAGGGCCTCCCAACCCCACATACCCCTCCCACCCTGAGGTCTGCGGCCCTGTCTCCCTCCTCCTGCCTTTTGAATACTCACTCCATCTCCTCCCAGCCAATCCCTGTCCCGCTGTGTCATGCAGAGCAGCCCAGCTCTGTCCCTGCTCCTTCCCAAGCAGGCTCCCCCGTCCTGTGAATAGAACCCCCTCCCCAGTGGTGGTCTGGGGGCCTTTGTCTCATTGCCCATATCTTCCAGGTCTCACTCCTACCGCAGGGGGCTTAGAAGCATTCTTTGGACCACACATAACCCAAGATTGATTCTGGTAAAGGCAATTTTGCATCTCTGTGCACACGCATTGAGCAAATCCTGATAACGCTCCACACAGAGCCGCCGACGCAATGCTGCGCTTCATTTAAACGTGCCCAACTTAAATTTGTTTGAACGTTCTGTTTGCTCTTCAGCACAGAAAATCAAAGTTCAATAAGCCACATCTGAGCAAATTAAAATGACTGGATTCCTGCAATTCAAATAATTCAGTAAACCATCTTAATAGAAAAATAAATAGAGTGGAGTCAGCTGGCTCCCAATAGTTGAATTCTTCAGTCAACAATTTTCCCTCCAAACCACCTCTTCCTTTTCTTTAGCTTCTGGGTGAAAAACCCCGCTGGCCTCTACTGGTGTCCCCCTGCCCCCACTAGAACAGCAACAAGGCCACGCTCACAGGCAGGGAGGTGCCACTGTTGTTCTTTCAATAGTGAATATATACACAGCACCATGGACACTCAGTAATGGTGCCTTGTGCTATCAAGGCATGTGCGTGTCCAGTGCAGACTACAGCTGTGTGTTCCTCATTTGAAATTTGGGTCTAATGATCCCCTGCCCTGTGACCTTGTCAGGGTCAACGAAGCGAGGCAGGTATCGCACCTGCCATGGCTCCTGGCACGCAGGAGGAACTCTGCCCGCGGTGGCTGCTGTTGCAATGATCACAATGCTGCTACTCCCCACAGAGACCGTGGAGGCAGTTGCTGGGGCATTGCTGTCTGTGTCTGGATCTCCACGGCCCAGGCAGAGTCGCAGGTGTCCGTGAAGGCAGGGCAGATGCCTTGGTTGGCTTGTGTCTTCATATGGCTATCTCAATAGCATGGAGAATGGGCGCAGACAGAGCTGCCCTCTGCCCTGCACCCAGTCAGTCCCTCCGGACTTGTACTCGATCCTATTCTCCCCTCACCCCTGTTCTTTCTCCTTCAAACCTCGGGTGAAGGAAGTGGTGGTGCTGTCCTGGATTTGTGGCCACACTGTAATTGGCACATGTTAATCCACCAGGTATGCACAGAGCTCCTACCATGGGTGCTGCTGTGAGTGCTCTCGGCTTGGTGCAGGAAACAGCTCCTGAACAGGTCCTCAAAACATAGCACAGTTAAAAGCAGTGACATAGGTACCATGGAGATACAGGCATGGACCCAGCTCAGCCGGGGAGCAAGGCAGCTTCCCAGAGGAAGCCAGGAGGCTGAAGCATGAGCAGAAGTGAGCCAGTGAGGGGTGGAGAATTCGGGGCAGAGAGAGAAGGAAAGCTAAGCCACATGGGCTGCAGGATCAGATGCACTGATGGGCTGGGGCCTGTCAGCAGAAGCCACATGGCCTTGGGTGCAGAGCATGTGTGCTGGCTCCAGAGTATCTGGGAGGTGCTGGTTTGGCATCAGAGGTTTCAGAAGTTCACACCAACCTGCTTGGATTTCAGGGCTTGTTCTGGGTCATTTCACCTCCCTGCATACAAAAAAGCAGAAAAGTTGCTCAGGAGCCCACCAGGTGACATGGAGATAACCCTGGGCCAGAGGGTCCCACAGTAGGAGAGGTCGGGTTGCTTTGCACGGTCTCCACACATCCTTGTTCCCAGTGACAAATCCTCATGCCTGGTGCCCGATATGCACCCTGACTCCTGTTCCTGGCGGCAGGACTCAGCAGGACCGACCTTACATGAGCATAGGATGGCCCTTAGGTCAATGCTGTCCTGATCTCTTCCCATCTCTGTGGGGTAGAACTGGTGTCACTGCCAAATAAGATTCTCGATCCTTCCGTAGGTGTCTGGAAAGGCACCTGGCTTATCCCAGTCATTCGTTCTCATTAGCCCTAAGACCTGAGGCTGTGAATGTAAAGACCTCACAGCTCCTTCGTCTCAGCCCCTTCGTTCGCCCTCTGTCCCCCTCCCTCCTAGGGCATGGGCCCATCGTCCATCACCATGGTGCATTGTCTGCGGGATCACTCGATGGTAGGAGTTAAAAGCAGTGATGTAGATACCATGGAGATAGAGGCACAGACCCAGCTTAGCCGGGGAGCAAGGCAGCAAGGAGGTGGTAGGAGATGTGGTGGGAGAAAGGGCACCAAGTACCTGGCTGTGTGAACCCAGCTTGAACCTCAGTCCTACAAGGCTCTTTGCCATAAGAAACGTGATGCCCATAGAATTGTCGTGAGGGTGAAGAGTGGTGGTGCACGGGGAGGAATTCTTTCAAAAGCTGGGATGCAGTGGGAGCTCAGGAAGAGTCTATGGATTTGAATCCAAGATCTTCCCTAATCCTAGGGAATGAAACTGTACTCCAACAACTCTCAAAGATGCATGGCTATGAATCCATCAGTTCACCTCCATGAAACTAGGGCAGAAAGAAAGTCAGAGGTCTGGGATCCTTGGACTCTTGTCCCGAGTGTCTGAGGGAGGACAAGTGGGATGGACAGTGATAGAAATGGCCAACAGATCATTTTAACCATTGCCCTTCTCAGCCTCTGTCCTCCCAGCCTGCACACACACCCCACACTCCATCAGGGTCCTGCCTGAGCTTTCCTCGGCCTCTGTCCTTCCAGCCTGCACACACACCCCACACTCCATCAGGGTCCTGCCTGAGCTTTCCTCGGCCTCTGTCCTCCCAGCCTGCATACACACTCCACACTCCATCAGGGTCCTGCCTGAGCTTTCCTCGGCCTCTGTCCCCGCAGCCTGCACACCCACCCATACTCCATCAGGGTCATGTCTGAGCTTCCTTGTAGTGCTGAGCTCCGCCCACTGGATGGGGACTTCGAGGTTGGGGTGCTTCCATGGAAGCCGGTTGGCCCTTGCAGGGCTCTGGAGCTACCATCCCGCAGTGACATCTCCCTCTTCCTGCAAGGGCCTCCCTGCAGTGTGGCTCCCAGTACCACGCTCTCTCAAGTAAGGATAGCCTCTTTTAGCTCCTCCTCTGGCACAATGTTTCTTGTTGCTTTTCAGATTTGTAAGACATTCTCTTATTATAAATTGGAAAGAAGGAGAAAGGGCATTTAATTATTAAAAAGTAGGTTCAGAATTTTTCTTAGAAAACAAATCAAGTTGTTCAGGGGGAAGGGTGATAAATGTTCAAGTTGGGAGGTAAAAGCGATGTAGGCTGGAGGTGAGGCTTTCGGGGATGGAGCTGCACTGTGGATACATCCAACGGCATCTGCCGGATTCCTGGGGCCTCTGGGGCAGAGCAGAGGAGGGCAGAGAGCAGGGTGAAGGCTTGAGGATGACTGCACCCGGTGAGACCCCACCTTTGGTCTCTGGTCTTCCTGGTGATGCAGGACAGGTGAGCCTCAAATTGGGGCTTAGCCTTCAAAGGGTCTTGGCTTCACCCAGGAGAGAATTCAAGAGCAAGCAGACGGTAGGGTGGAAGAAAACAGCTGTGTTGAAGCAGCAGTGTTACAGCTCTGTGACTGCTCCTGCAGAGCAGAGTTACCTGCTAGGCAGAAAGTAGCAGCTCAGGGCAGGCCTGCAGTCATATTTATACGCACTTTAAATTACATGTAGATTAAGGGGCAGTTTATGCAGAAATTTCTAGGAAAAGGGCAGTAACTTTTGGGTTGTGGGGTCATTGCTATGAAAAGGGGCGGTAATGCCTGGGGGTTGCCATGGCAATAGTAAACAGACATGGCACACTGATGGGTACATCCCCTGACCTCCGTCCCTGTGTTAGCAGGGTCTCAGTTTGGTCCAGTATCTGAACCCTGCCTCCAGAGTCAAGTCCCGTCTCCTACCTCACTGGGGAGGTTGGGCCCTGTTTTCTGATCTCTGTCCCCAGCTACATCTAGATGACAACACCTCCTTATAGACTCCTCCAGTTATCTTGGGTTCCTACAAGAGCGTGTCTGGGATAGGGTCCAAGATGAACTCCTGCACGGTAGCCCCTTGCTGCTGCCTGGTGAGCTCTGGGTCCTGAGAAGGGAAGGGGAGGTGCCGTGGCTGTTGTAGGCCTGCCTGGGGGCTGGAACCTTAGGGACCACAGCTGCCGAACACCCCAAGGACCTCTCGCTAGCTGCTCTCTCCTGTATCTCCAGGCTGTCCCAGCCTCACCCACCATGTGGTCGGACGAGATTCAGCTACCAGCGTATCAGCGGTGGAGTGAGGCCCTGGATGCGAAAAGCTCCAGATGTGTTTCCCTTCTGTGTTCTCAGTCTGATGTGCTCTGACATATTTGCGCCTACCTAGTTATCCAGAGACATTGATTTCCTTGGCGGGGAAGCACGTTGGGAAAAGGAACATTTACTGATTAATGGAAGGAAATATTTGAGTCACACATTGTCCTTAGATGAATCATTGATTTATTCCCAGTAAAATCTGACTTATTTAAATGGCCACACAAGTAACTAATAAAGTAATTTAAAATCATAATTTAAACTAATGAGATACTTTAAAAACATATTTCTAGGTCTCTAGAGTGGAAGGAATGTGGTCTGTAGATTATAATTGATCATGGGGAGCAAACACTTTGCTTCCTGTTTACTCACTGCTTGCTTGGAAATACATTGGTACATTTCTGGCTCTTGCCAAAATGTAACTCTGAGTTAGGAGAGCATCACTTCATGTAATTGATAAAGTTAAAACTTTGTGCACTTTTGGACATCTGCAATATGCAATACTCTCCAACACAGAGGCACACGTAGGTATGAGTTGTCGTGGAAATGCATGTGTTTCCATGGTTAAGGGCTTGCCCCTGCCCTGTAGAAAGAGTCATGTTGCATGTTGTGACCCCTGAGCAGCGCTTGGATCTTCTCCCACAGAAGCACAGCTGCCAGCTGTGGTCTCAGGCTGGGCTTCACCGAGGGCAAGCGGCGAGACCCATCTGACGTCCATCAGCTGGTAGGCCTTCCCCTAGTTTCTCGTTGCATTTCTTCATTCATGCCTTCACTTACCTACTTCATTCATGCCTTCAACTCATTGGTTTGGGTCTAAGGAATGTGGTTATAAAGCTGGAACCCACATGATCACCTGGCCTTTGAGAAGAAACAGAGAAGGGGAAAAAGGGCTTAGGATGTGGTCAAATGCATGGGTTGTCTCTTTACTGAGGTAGGTGGTGGTCATAGGGCGCTCTGAGGACAGGCAGTAGGGCTGTTATTTTGCTGGGTGTGGGGAGACAGGTTCCATTTCATGGTTTCCGATGAATGAGCTTGTCCCGGCTATGAAGCAATCCTTGCTTTCTTTGTGTCGTTGTTGCTAGTGTTTATCTCCACACTCCCACCCAGTTTTCTTCTTGGGATTCCACTTATTCGACAGCTAATTATGGAGTCCCTCCTCCCTCTCACTCTGTTCTAGACCCTGGAGTTCAGCAGTAAACCTGACATGTTGGCCCTGCCCTCGGAGCTTGCTCCCTGCCCCTGCCTTTCCCCAGGGCTGTCTCACCCTCTCTATGCTTCCCCTGTGCTGCCCACACCGGACCCCACCTGTGGGCATTCTAGGCTCCGATGAAGTAGGGAAAAGACACTCCCCATGGCTCTGGATTTATGATGTAAGCCAAACGTGGATACTGAGCCAGACACGGAGCAGTGACTTTCCATTTTCCTACGACACCTCAATACCAATGTTTTATTAAATTGAAAGGACTAAAAACAACTAAGTGACGCATGAGTCTTTATTTTTAATTGAGCTTTTATGTTCCTCAATTCATTAATGAAGAAGAAAAGGAGAAAGCTGGTACATTTTATTGCCTGTAATTTTCAAGCGGAAGTTTATTCTGAAACATATTTCAACATCACATTCCTTGGGTAAATTGCCTGTAGCTTAAACATAACAGCAGCATCTCAAAACCCTCAGAACTCTACTTACGAATGAACCAGATTTTACTATTAATACATTGGTTAGGCCAGTTTTCTTTGTATATTCTTGCTGGGCATCAGAAGACTTAAACCTAAGCTGTCTGTCATCTCTGCGGGAGAACAGTGCGGTGGTGGGTGGTGTCGAGACTCACAGAAGGAGCCGATCAAGGGATCTCGGCAGGAGCTGCTGGTGGACAAGGCATTCCCAGCAGAGGACAGGAAAAGTTGGTGGCATTAACATTCTAGGCACCTGCTGCAGGTGTCAGGCCCCAGCCCTGGGCCACAAGGGTCAAACAAGGGTCAAGACAGGACTTTTCATCTCTGGGAGACAGGCCACCAAGAGCAAGATCTTGGGCGGGGGCGGGGGGGGGGGCGGGCAGGGGGAGATCCAGGGAGAGGCCTGGTCCTGTGAGCTGGAATCACAAAAGGAAGGAACTGGGACACGGGAATCACCAGGAACAGTTTTCCCTTCGGGGCACAGAATCCTGGTGCAACTTGCAGGGAGAGAGCTCAGCCTTCCTGGGGCCACCGATCAGCACTGGTCACACTGGTCAGCCGTGGCTGCAGGTGTCAGAGAGGAATTAGGGGTAGGAGATGCCGTGTGGAGGGTGCAGATAAGAAACTTGGACCTTATGTCAAGACGGAATCTAGAAGAAGGGCGTGGTTTCCAGTGGAGCAATGAGTTGGTTTATAATTTTGCATCCTAGGCCATTGGCTATGCCTCGTATTTTTCTTGGGAAATAAGCATCATTTGTATCAGGAAATGGTACAAGTCCATTGTGCAACCCACTTCTTTTTGTCGTGGGGTATGGCATCTATTTCTTAAGCTCAGAAAATTTCTAAGATACAGTGTTGTAACCTGCAGTTTTGGTACATCCTTCCTTGCATTTTCTAAACGCAGTGGGGTGGACACGTTGTGGCTAGATCTGTGCTCTGGCGCTGCCTCTCTGCCCTTTCCACCTTCTCCAATTTTCCCTGCTTTCTGTGCTTCACTAGGGAACAAAGCCTGATTCAGAGCAGAAGGGGTGAGAAGATATGGGAGAGACAAGCGGCTGCTGTTAAAAAAGAGCAGTCCTCACTCGATACGCCAAACAGGTCCCTCACAGGCCTTTCCAGAGTCAAAAATGGGAGGAGAGGGGCAGCAAGGCTGAAACTTTTCCGATTCTGCATCTGACTGAAGTTTGAACTGTGCCTCTGGCCTCAGCAAGTCTCCTTTTGTGTCCAGAATTGGTGGGTTCTCGGTCTCCCTGACTTCAAGAATGAAGCCACAGACCCTAGTGATGAGTGTTACAGTTCTTAAAGATGGTATGTCTGGAGCTTGTTCCTTCAGATGTTCAGATATGTCCAGAATTTTTTCCTTCTGGTGGGTTCATGGTCTCGCTGACTTTAGGAATGAAGCTGCAAACCTTCACAGTGAGTGTTACAGTTCATAAGGTTGGCACGTCCAGAGTTGTTCGTCCCTCCTGGCGGGCTCGTGCTGTCACTGGCTTCAGGAGTGAAGCTGCAAACCTTCGTGGAGATGTTACAGTTCACAAAAGCGGCACAGACCCAAAAAGTGGGCACCAGCAAGATTTACTACAAAGAGCAAAAAAACAAACCTTCCACAACGTGGAAGGGGACCAGAGCAGGTAGGTCTCCTGGCTGGGGCGGCCTGCTTTTATTCCCTTATCTGGCCCCACCCACATCCTGCTGATTGGTCCATTTTACAGAGAGCTGATTGGTCCATTTTACAGAGCTGATTGGTCCGTTTTACAGAGAGCTGATTGGTCAGTTTTGACAGAGTGCTGATTGGTGTGTTTACGAACCTTTAGCTAGACACAGAGTGCTGATTGGTGTGTTTACAATCCTTTAGTTAGACACAAAAGTTCTCCAAGTCCCCACCAGATTAGCTAGACACAGAGTGCTGATTGGTGCGTTTACATACCTTTAGCTAAACAAGTGCTGATTGGCACGTTTACAAACCGTTAGCTAGACACAGAGTGCTGATTGGTGCGTTTACAAACCTTTAGCTAGACACAGAGTGCTGACTGGTGGGTTTACAATCCTTTAGCTAGACAGAAAAATTCTCCAAGTCCCCACCCATCCCAGAAGCCCAGCTGGCTTCACCTCTCACTGGCACTGCCGAGGGACTTTGCGGCACCTAGTCCAGGTACTCCTGCAGCCCAGAGGGAGCTCGTCCCCCATCAAGCCCAGCAGGCGCTGGCCAACCGCGCTGAGTGCGGGGCTTGCCGAGCCGCGCTCACCTGGAACCCGCGCCAGCCAGTGAGCACCACTCGCAACCCCAGCTCCCGCCCGCGCCGCTCCCTCCACACCTCCCCACCAGCAGAGAGAGCCGGCTCCGGCCTCGGCCAGCCCCAGAGATGGGCCCCCACAGCACAGCAGCGGGCTGAAGGGCTCCTCGAGCGCGGCCAGATCGAGGAGCGCCGCCAGGTTGAGGAGGTGCCGAGAGCGAGCCAGGGCTGCTAGCACGTTGTTACCTCTCACTTTCACGTTCAAGCTCTTTTTGGCTATGTCCTACACATTATCCTTCATCTCATGTTTTCTAGATTTGCACTGGCAAAAATAAGTGACAATATTTATTTATTATTATTATTATTATTGAGATGGAGTCTCACTCTGTTGCCCAGGCTGGAGTGCAGTGGTGTGATCTCAGCTCACTGAAACCTCCACCTCCCAGGTTCAAGTGATTCTTCTGCCTCAGCCTCCTGAATAGCTGTGATTACAGGCACCCGCCACCATGCCTGGCTAATTTTTGTATTTTTTTTTTTTTTAAAGAGAGTTGGGGTTTTGCCATCTTGGCCAGGCTGGTCTCGAACTCCTGACCTCAGGTGATCCACCCGCCTCAGTCTCCCAAAGTGCTGGGATTATAGGCATGAGCCACCACGCCCGGTGACAATATTTATTATTTTTTTGTTGTGACTTAAAAAGCAACATCTCCTACTGAATAGCCTTTCTGTTCACAGTTTCTTTCTCCAAACTTACTATTTAGTTCTGTTAGTGCTGGTAATTGGTCAACCAGGTTTTGTAACGTGAACTAAATCCTATAGAATTAATATTACTTGTAAACAAATACGGTTTTATCTACTAATGACCATGATCAAAAAAAGTCATACTCAAATTTATCTGGGGAACAGATATCTAAATACACACTATTTCTAGAGTTTTTAAATCCTTTTGCCAAATTTTAGAAATTCATCTGTGGTCAAAAAATACCTGCTTTGCGGTTGAGAGCCCAGCCCCATGAAGCACAGGGGGCTCAAGGCGCAGCAGAAATGCGGGGGATCGAGACTTCAGAGGCCACGTTTTGAGCCCCCTTTCTTTGTCGCTTGCCAGCCATGGTTGGACAAAGGTCACCACCTGGCCTTTCTCACCCCACCTTGCTGCTTCTCCAGGCGTGAGTCACAGTCATCTGTAACTCTGAGGGTGACGCAGAACAGCAAACATTGAGAACTGTAAGTAGACGTAAACGATCTTATCTGTTGGGAAAGACATGCAGAGTGGAAGCCTTATTTAAGAGAACCAAAGTTCCTTCTGTGAAATAAAAGAGAGAAGGATTGAAGGCAGGAAACTGAGTTTTTGTTTATTTTGCATGGAAGTAAAATACAACTTTATTTAGCGAAAAGAAGGTTTTGAGCTAAGCTGTTGTAGAAGGCAACCTTCTGCGGTCAGTGGGCTTGCAGGGCGGCTTGTGGAATCCAGCTTTCCCATGATTTGGTTCCCCGTGGAGGGTGGAGGCCCAGTCAGGGGGATGAGAGATGTTCTGAGCCAGGATAAGCGTGGAAGAGCCTCGTGAGGAGCAGAGAGGATTTAGACCCACCTGGAGTAAGAATGGGTGCTGGGAAGTGGCCGGAAATAAGGTGGGAAGGTAAGGAGGCTCTGGCTGGCAGGAGAAATTGGTGCTGGTTGCACAACTTGACGGCTGGCATATGTTCTTGAGCCGGGCTGTTGGTATGAACACAGCACAGGTGTGGATCCATACCGGAAACCAGCTTTATATTTTCCCAGGATCACAGCTACATCCCACACCAGCTTTAAAAATGACTTATTTTATGCTGTTCTGGGAGTGATTTTAATATCAGAAGCATTTTAAAAGTGACAGTCACACTCATTTGCTTGAGAGGTTAAACCCCTGCTTTAAAAAAGATGAGTTTTATCATAAAAAATGCAAGCACATGTGGAAGCAAAGAATGTAATAAATCCCCACAGATCTGTCTCAGATAATTTCCAAAATTACCAGACCAGGCCAGTCTTGTTTTATTTATGTGTCCACTCCCTCTCCTTCTCCACCTACCCACACAGCTCCAGGTTATTTTGTGGCAAGTCCTAGGCATCATATAATTTACTTTTAATTTTAGAATAATCCAAAAATATCTTCCTTCCCCTTTTCAAGGATAAAGATGGAATAGCATTAATACCTACTCAGGTTGGTAAATACATGCCTGTAATCCCAGCACTTTGGGAAGCCCAGGCAGGCAGATCACTTGAGGCCAGGAATTTGAGACCAGCCTGGCCTTGTCTCTACTAAAAATACAAAAATTAGCTGGGAGTGGTGGTGCATGCCTGTAGTCCCAGCTACTCGGAAGGCTGAGGCAAGAGGGTTGCTTGAGCCTGGAGGAGGAGGTTGCAGTGAGCCGACATCATGCCACTACACTTCAGCCTGGGTGACAAAGTGAGACCCTGTCTCAAAAAAAAAAAAAAAAACTGATATGAACACGTTTCTTATTTTTAACTACACAGTAGAAGGTATTTGTATTGTATAGTATCTTCTACTATTTTATATCTCTATTTCTCAGAATCAGGCGGTTCTGCCTCTTAGGTATAAAACCTAACCTTGGCTTGATGCCCATGTCCTTCCGTTCCGTCTTTCTGGAAGGTGTCAACCTCTGACCTTCCATCCTAGTACTACCTCAAGCTTTCTGTTGTGAAGACACCTGGTAGCCCTTGAAGGTTATAAATTTTCAAAATACGCAAAACAACTATATATAAATTCACCTAAATTTGGTAGAATTGAGCATACTGGAAACAGAAGATTTCTCCAAGTTAACTAAAACTCCGTTGAAGAGAAGCCCAGGCTTTCTCAAGAGAACATCACGACACACTACTCCTATGTGCTGGACCATTAAAGAAATCCTTTCTCAGTTCCAGTTTCTCCAATAACTAATCAGTCAAAACAAGAAGGACAAGAGAAAAAATTCAATTCATAATCATGAGCCTCTTTGAAGTGTAGTAAATTGTGTTTGGTATTGTAGGATACATACAAACATGTAGATTGAAGGAAGTTTAAATCTGGTTGAGCGTGAATATGTAGACGTTGGGAGCAGTGTTCGCAGCAGAGTGTGGTAAGTGCTGTGGAAACATGAAGCAGATGGCTGTGGAGTTTCAAGGGGAAAAGTCTTATTATCTGATGCCCGGCCTCACGGGAGGGCTCAGCACAGGGACACCTCCAGGAGGGGACAGTCTGAAGTGTGTGCCTGGAACGGTCCTGGTTACAAGTTCTACATGGAGATTAGGTGAGATCTGATCATGGCTGACTTCAAATCAAGAGGAATCTTCCCGTGTAATAGGGAGCCGAGCCGCTAGAGGGTGAGGCGTGGAATCACAGGGTGGACTTGCGCTTCCGGAGATCAACCGGCCACACTTTCTAGGGGAGACCGGCCTGGGGCAGGGCCAGCCCTTCAGGAGAAGAGAAGTGGATAAGGCAGTTGTGCAGGCTGCACCTCCCAGGACATTTTTTTTTTTTTTTTTTGAGACAGAGTCTTAAGTCTGTTGCATAGGCTGGAGTGCAGTGGCATGATCTTGGTTCACTGCAACCTCCGCCTCCTGGTTTCAAGTGATTCTCCTGCCTCAGCCTCCTGAGTAGCTGGGATTACAGGTGTATGCCACCACGGCCAGCTAATTTTTGTGTTTTTGGTAGAGACAAGGTTTCATCATGTTGGCCAGGCTGGTCTCCAACGCCTGACCTCAAGTGATCCATCCCCCCTCGGCCTCCCAAAGTGCTGGGATGACAGGTATGAGCCACCGCACCCGGCCTCCCAGGACTTTTCATTGGCGAGCCAGTGAATCCCTTACGGCGAAGCCTGTTTACACTCAACTTTCTGTTATGACGATTGACAGCTTCCTTACCTGCCCAGAGAAAAGCAAACAAATGGTGACCTCAGAAGCAGCATATAGAACTCAGGGAACAGAGACCTTTAAAAACCTAGAGAGACTGTGAAGATATGACACAATAGCCAAAAAACAAACAGGATGAAACAAATAAGGAATAACTGGAAAAGTGAAAGCATTCCTCCCGATTTAAAATAGGAGTGCTAAAACACAAAAACAAATATTGGGACAGTGTTGAGGAATTCTAGTGAGTGGAACTGGAAACAGGCACAAAATAGGATTGAAATGAGAGGAAACTTTACTAGATCTTCATATTTCCTATTGGTGAGTTCCTTATGTCTTAACCCACCGAGAAGGAAGGAGCCTGCATGTTGTCCATGGCTGTGGAGGGGACCACCCAGCAGGGCTGATCTCAGGAGCACGTCGCGCTGGGGCTGGGGAGGGGATTTTCCAGGGCCTTGCCGGGTGTCACAGCCTCTCTGCTCTTGTGGGATTGGTTACCTTTGCAGGTACGACTGTGCCACGAACATCTTTAAAGGCAGCTGATTAACAGCGTGGAAACTGGGGCAGGACCAGGGCTGAGAGATGGCAGGTTGGGCTGGGGGAGAGGGAGAGAAAGTGGGACTGAAGGAGCAGGGGTAGGTGGGCTGGAACTGCAGGGGCTTCCCCACTGGGAAGGGGAGGCCGGCCTCCTCCCAGGCATGAAGATGATATGTGGGAGAGACCCTCTTCCCTTTGGCTTTCGTCCTGTTTTCTTTTAAGCAGAAGACTTGGGCCCTGTCCCCAGTGTGAGTGCCCTCCGCTTGCTGGCAAGCTGGGCAGAGGATCCCTATGCAGAAAGCCCTGGCCATGGCACTGGAACCCAAGGAGAACAGAAGAACCTGAGAACCACAGGACCTGATTCGTTTGGTGCACTGCAGCTCACTCTTTATGTGTCTGTGTTGGTGGCAGAATATTTCGTAGAAATATGAAGTTTAAACATTGTCTTTTCGCCAGGCACAGTGGCTCATGCCTATAATCCCAGCACTTTGGGAGGCCCAGGTGGGTGGATCACCTGAGGTCAGGAGTTAGAGACCAGCCTGGCCAACATGGTGAAACCCCATCTCTACTAAAAATACAAAAATTAGCTGGGCGTGGTGGCAGGGGCCTGTAATCCCAGCTACTTGAGAGGCTGAGGCAGGAGAATAGCTTGAACCCGGGAGGCGGAGGTTGCAGCAAGCCCAGATTGCACCATTGCACTCCATTGTGGGCAACAGAGTGAGACTCCATCTCAGAAACAAAAACAAAACACTGTCTTCATCATCATGATGCTTATTTCTGGTTCATGTCCCATATCTTTGAAGTAAGAGTTTTCTTATTTCCATAAACAGCTTCTGAACACATTCCTTGATTTCCTATTTTGTATTTCCTAATTCCCAAGCCCTTTCCTCACCCGGTCTCCCTCTAAAGATATCGACCTCTTGTCCTTGGTGCCTGCTGGGTTGCGTGTCCTGCTGTTGCTCAGACAGACCACCCCTGAGCTGCCTCTCCCTGCTCCCAGGGCAGCAGTCCCACGGTTTAGCGTGGTCCCCATCAGAACGGACACCACAGGCCTCTAACATGCCTGTGTCCCCCTCAGCCAGGCAGCAGCCTCTGCCCAGCGCCCACCTGCCATGTTCAAAGCACTACTGTCCCCAATCAAAGTCAATAACTCTTTCAAATAAGAGGTTTCCTGTTCCCACAAATAACTTCCTGAATGCATTATGTTGCTTTCCTTTTTAAAAATAATCTATTTATTGACATGGATGGCTATAAAAGATTGTCTTGATGAGGAACTCAGCATTTCCTGTTTGCAGACTCTCCAGGGCTCTAAGAGTACCAGTACACAATTTTCTTGATCAGAAAGAAGAATCAACAATCTTGCCCGAACTCTCTTTCCCCAGCGATGCAGCTCTCTTCAGGGCTGTTGACACGCTTTGTGAAGATAGCAACAGCTCCATAGAATTTCACTGAGGAGAAAATGTTCATGGCTCTTTATGTATATTTATCTGATGGTAACTCTTTAGAACGGCACAGTAGGTCTGGATAACAAATCAAAGCTATTTTTAACAGCAAATGGTAAGGAAATTTTGGATGCTTTGGCATGTCTTACGGCAAGCTTAGTTTGGCAGGGCTGCCCAATCTTTGGGTTCTCTGGGCCACACATAAAATACACTAACAATAGCTGATGAGCTAAAAAAAGAAAAATCACAAAAGAAATAATATTTTTAGAAAGTTTACAAATTTGTGTTGGGCCACATTCAAAGCTGACCTGGGCTGCGTGCCGCCTGCAGGCTGCGCTTTGGACAAGTTTGGTTTAGAGTTTGCAAACTTTTGTCCTGTTTTGTGCCTCCTGAGCCATGTGGACCCTCCATCCATCAAATAGCAGCTGGCCCCATGGGCTCAGGGCCAGGTGCTCTGCAGCTGGGAGTCCGTAGGGCTGTGCAGAGTTGTCGACAGGGCACCAGGAGCCCCCCAGGGACAGCGACTCAGTCATTTCTCCTCCAGGGTCCTTGTTGACTGACTGGGCAGCCAGACCTCAGTGCAGCCTGGTCCTGGGCACCCCCTTATGGCAGCTGCAGTTGGAATGACAGCTCTGGGGGGACAAGACTGCTCTGCACCCAGGATCAGTGCTTCCCAAGACCCTCCACAGCACAGAGATCCCTAGAGCCGCAGCCTGCACCCCTGGTCCTGAGAGGAGGCCTTCCTGGGTCTGTGTGCACGTGGAGGAGGGTGGCTCAGAGCGCTACAGTGTAGAGAAGGTGCCCTTCATCCACAGGCACATACGTGACACAGGCCAGAGGGACAGGCAGCGGGAGACTGAGGTTCTGCATCTCCCTTTACAGTGAGTGTGCACCTAGTATAGCAGATGGGAGGAAGTGGGGAGGGAAGGGCAGCTCTGGGGAGGGCTGGGAGAGGGCTCGGGGGCCCACCCAGAGCCTGCAGGTCAGGCTGCTGCACATCAGCTGGCTGCAGCAAGCCCACGCCAACATCAAACCCACGCTCCAAGCCAGGGACGCGGAAGAGTGCGGAGCCTCCTTCTGCCGAGGCTTAAGGCTTACGGCAACTGCCTCTCTTTCAGCCAAGGGGAAGGCTTCCTTCCCTTTGGAGAGGCAATATCTGTGAAGGAGGCAAGGATTTCCTGTCCCCACTACACACAGAAGCAGCAGGCTCCCTGGGACACAGGGGATGGTGGCATCCTCAACTGCTCTCATCCGGTGAGCCGGCCCCCCTCTGAGATCAGCCCTCTGTCCAGTACAATGTCATTCCTTTCTCTCAGAAAATAAACCTTGTAAACAGTATCGCAGTAGAGGAGTAAGCATTTTTTTCTTACTATTTTGGATGGTAAGACTCAGAAATCTAGAAACCAAGAAAAAGAATTGAAGGTATCCAATTGAAATTGCTGCCTGCAAATAAAGCGATGGGTACTCTGCCTCCATGGCACCCACAGAGCCCAGACGATGACTGGAAACATTCTGCAGTGCTAGTTGGAGCTCGAGGGGGACAGGTCAGGAAATCAGTTAAGTATCTTTTTAATTAGCATCCGTGGGTTGACTGGTTATGCTTGTTATCTGCTGTGAATCTAGCAGATGAATAGTATCTGCCGGCTTTCCTTCTCTTCCCTGAATGTTGGCGGCTTCTGGTTGAGTATCGCTTGTGGTGCAGGAGGTATGCAGCACTCAGTGTGTGCGTGGGACTTGTTCCCCGTAGTGTTCTCCGTCCCCACATACCTGGAGCAGTCCCTCCCTCATATCCGCCCTGGGTCTCTTTAACCTCCCGATAACATTTTAACCCAGGGTTTTCCTTGGTGTCTGTACATTTTTTCCAAGTAGACTTTAGAATATACACACAACCTCTAATCCAGCAGCAACTAGCGGGACCCACAGGAAATGCTGAGGTCGTGCACTTGGCTATAACTCGTAAATCATGACTAGGTGGAGACACGCCTGGTTTGGCCACAGGTGTCAGACCCCTGGACTCCTCCCTCTGAACTGAGAATGGACCTTCCTAATCCCCTGCTGTCCTCCTGCGAATCTGAACCTCGGTGAGCTCTGCCCCACCCAATTTGCATCTCTGAGGCTGCTGACTTACTGGTGTGAGATGCTCTGAGATCCCGGCTCTGGCCAGCCCACTGGCCAGTGTCCAGCTCCACCCTTCCCTCCCATGTGCTGGGCAGCCTCTGCTTGTCCCTGTTACCAGGTTTTCAGACTCAGCCTGATATCTGCACCCTGACTTTGCATTTTTCCCTGCGCTGTGTAGATTTCAGAGCACAGAGAAGAAAGTGGATGTTGACAAATTACCCACGGCAGCTCGCTGTCAGATTGCTGACCTTGCCATCTGAGGCTGTGTTGAGTCTTTTCTTACTGGAATAACTTGGCTGGGCTGGTGTGGTTGAAACTGAGTGTCTGTACTTTGATCATGAGAAGAGTCGTGTGGTGGAGCGGCTCCCCCTCCAATATACAGGTCACCAGCGTCAGTACACCATGGGGGCTCCAGGAGTAGTGAATATGACTGCCTTGAGATTGTTGCTATTTAGACCCAGCAGTCCCAGGTGTTAATAGGAAATGCTTTCGACCCAATGCAGCCACAGGTTGGCGTGTCTTGTTTAATTCTGAATAGAGAGGTTACCAGACACACCATCTTTGCTGTAATTACAACAGACCAGGACTAGTGACAAAATGAGATTCTTGTTCCCTCAGCCTGAATTTTAATGACTATCTTCAACTTTTCCAGAAGTATCATTCTACTTGTCTGAAAAATGACCATTTACTCTGCATGGCTCTCATAAAACAGGCAAAAGGAACATTGCATTTAAATAACATGTTGGGGCCAGGCATGGTGACTCATGCCTAGAATTCTAACACTTTGGGAGGTAGAGACGGGTGGATCACTTCAGGACAGGAGTTTAAGACCAACCTGGCCAATGGGGCGAAAACCTGTCTCTACAAAAAATTAGCTGAGCGTGGTGGCACGAGGCTGTAATCCCAGCTGCTCAGGAGGCTGAGCCACGAGAACCACTTGAACCTGGGAGGTGGAGGTTGCAGTCAGCTGACCTCATGCCATTGCACTCCAGCCTGGGCGACAGAGTGAGACCCTGTCTAAAAATAAATAAATAAATAACGTGTTGGACACTTAGTGGAATTTTAGCTGACATTTGAGGGTAGCCTTAAGAGTAGAGAAACTCCCATCATCTGTAGGAACTATCAATTGTTGCGTTTCAAATATGAGAATCAAAATTGTGAATACAAAGGCCCTGAGAGGTGAGGGTCATATTCTTGAATGTTATGCAAAAGCCCACTTTACCTGGATAATCTTGATGTCTAAAATTAAGATCACACTTATGTTTTAGGAGGGATACTCATTGAAGACTAATCACTTCAAAGTGTGGCAGTCATGTTACTCAGAATGAAATAGTATGTTTCAATTTTTTACGAGGTGTACTAACTACCTTTAGTACATAACAAATTACCCCCAAACTTACTGGCATTAAAAAACAAAAGAGGCATTTACTGTCTCACCATTGCTGTGGGGGCAGAAGTGTGGCTGCAGCTCAGCAGTTCTTCATGAGGCTACATCCAGCTGTCAGGCAGGGCTGTGGTCTCATCCGAAGGATGACGTTGGGGAATCACTCCCAAATTCACTCATGCGCGTGTTGCAGGGCTTACAGCCTCACCACATGGACCTCTCACCAGGCTGCCGAAAAGGGCAAGGCCGCACGGACCGGTGAAGGATGAGTGTGATTTTCCACTCCCTATTACCTTTACATAGGGAAGGGCACCCTGAACGCAGCACCTGAGCTTTCCTGTGACTGGAAGTGTACATTCTCCACATCCTATTCAATGTGTTGGCACTGCCATTTGCACCTCTGTGAGGCTCATGCCTGCAAGGCCCTTCTCCTGAGTGCCCTCATCTCTGGATGCCCTGGAAAGGCTGCAGTTCTGAACCTGCAAGAGGGAGGAGCAACCCTCAACCCACAGTGGTTGCCCCTGGCAACTCCTCCATAGGACTTCCCGGGCCCCACGTGGGTTCCTCCTTGCTATCACACCTGCAGGAGGGTGGCTACCCTCAAACCATAGTAGGTCTCCCCATAGGCCCTGGCCTACCCTGGACCTCGGTAGGAATCACCAGTGAGGAATGAGGAGGGGGTGAGGCAGGGAGCAGCCAGAATCTTGTCTTTCACCCACTGGGATGAAGCATCACAGGCATGAGCTGATAAACCAAGAGCAAACGCGGTGGGTCAGGCTGGAGAGTGAGCTGGCAGGGGATGGGGAGGAGCAGGGATCCCAGAGGCAGCAACAGGGCTTTGGCCACACCCAGAAGGCAGCGAGACTTGGAAGTGCAGGCTACTAGACAGTCTTGCAGCCAACGGTGCTGGGCCCCGTGCAATTCCAGCACTCAAGGGAGACTCTTTGGAGCCATCATGAAAACGCAGTAGGACCTGACTTGGGGCAGGTTCTCAACCCCCAACAGAGGCGAGGGTGAGGCAGAATCCAGGAACATGAATTTGGGATCAGACAGTGTGTTGACTACATAGCTGTCCTCTCTCAGCTCCAAACCCACCCTCTACACATGGCCTGGGGGAGCAGATGGGCTGGGAGCCTCGTCCATGTTCCATGTCCACTGCCCCATGCACCCTGTGAATAGAGGGTGCCAGAGAGACAGGCAGCCCGGGGGAAGGAGCAGGTGCTGATCCCCCAGCTCTGCCTCATATTCCTGTCACTGTCCCCATTAAGACCTCCTAATGCTGGCCAGGCACGGGGGCTCATGCCTGTAATCCCAGCACTTTGGGAGGCTGAAGTGGGCGGATCACTTGAGGCCAGGAGCTCAAGACCAGCCTGGGCAACATGGTGAAACCCCGTCTCAACCAAAAAATACAAAAATTAGCCAGATATGGTGAGGCACACACCTGTGGTCCCAGCTTCTTGGGAGGCTGAGGTGGGAGGATCACTTGAGCCTGGGAGGTCGAGGCTACAGGGAGCCGTGGTGATCACATCACTGAACTCCTGCCTAGGTGACAGAGTGAGGCCCTGAAAAAAAAAAAAGAAAAGAAAGAAAGGAAGGAAGGAAGAGAAAGAAAGGCGGGAGGGAGGGAGGGATGGAGGAGGGAGGGAGGGAGGGATGGAGGGAAGGAAAGAAAAGGAAAAGAAAAAAAGAAAGGAAACCTCTTAATTCTGGCAAAAGCTATTGGAACCAGTTTCTGGTTTTCATTTACATGTCCATTTATTTTGCCTGCTTCCCAGAACCAGCCTCCCTGTGCCTCTTCAGAGAGGCTCCCAGCAGCTGAGCACTGCCTCCGTTCTCAGTGTTCCCAGGTTGTCACGACACCACCCTCTTCCCTCGGTCTAAGGAGCTGCTTCCCTGCAGTTACCATCTTGGGGTTACTGGGGGTTCCTCTGCCTTTCCAGCCTTCCAGCCTTACTCAGCCAATTCTTTGTATGAAACACTTTCTGTGAAATAACTGCTGTGGTTCCCGCTCTCCTGATTGGCCCTGAGTCGTTCAGATGCCGAGTCCCTGCCTGGCCATGAAGCACAGCCTCACGTCTGACGCTCTTGTGGCTTGGAATGGAAAAGGCCACAATCTGGCTGAAAGCGACGGGCTCTCAACACTACCCCACCATATGAACTGAGGGGTGAGGTGCCAAGGGCCCCACACAAGGGAAGGAACGAGGGTGGGCTTGGATTTGGGACTTCACGCCTCATGCTTTGTGTTCAGGAACGCTGTCTTCACTCTGCATTTCCTTCAGTTTCTCCAAATGCTCAGGGAAACCAAACCTCGCTTGCACTGCTCGGTGGCATTGCAGTCCTGTTCCTGCTCGTTTGTGTCACTCCAGCTCTCCAGGAACCTGGCATTGTCCTTTCCCTGGCCCCACCCTGCACACTGAGTGCTTTAATCCAGGAGACTGTGTTCTGTATATGTGCCCATCAATCTCCAAACATCTCATGAGCTCCCGCTGTGTGCGGGCTGTGCTCTTCCCCTCTGGCATCTGTGTCTTTACTTTCTACCAACGACGCAGGCAGGAACTCCCTCTTTTCTTTGTACACTCAGGGCCCAGGGGTTTCAGAGTCTGGCAGGCACTGGCTTGAAAGGTTCCTTATGACACCAAGGGCTGTGGTTCTCATTATTCAGATTGTCTTCAGGTTTTACCTCATTCAAAACGCCTAGCTGTAGTGTTAAAGGTGTGATCCCCTCCCTCCAAAAGTTGCTGATTCTACCCAGTTTATCCCGGTTACCTTCTTTGGCTCGTGATTCTGAGTTTCCACAATTGCAGGGGGTCGGGGTGCACAGTCACTCTCTTAGACCCACCCAAGTGGTCCTCAGGTGTAGAAAGTTTGAAAGCTGATATCTATGAGAAACTGCTTTCCTGTGACATTTTTCCTGACTAAATGACATGAAATCCGGCCTGTACATCTCATCTATGGCGACATTAGAAGGATTTAGGTTTTATTCAAAGGCAGGCACAAGGTATCAACAGGTGTTTTGAGCTTATGGTTCAAGCATGTTAAAACAAAATAGCAGGCAAATTAGTAATTTTCATTAGGTATATTTTCTGTAGTTTAAAATGCTATAGAATAAGAAATTATCGACATAACTATGTGTAACTATGTGCTGTTATATATCATGCACATATACTGCAGTTACATTTATCCTTACACTTAAAAATTTTTAATTATGAGTAAAACATGTGACGTTAAATTTACCGTCTCAAGCATGTGTCAGTGTGCAGTTCAGTGGTATTGGGTACACTCACATTGCTGTGCAACCATCACCACCATCTTTCTCCAGAACTCCGTTCCTTTCTCAAAACGGAAATGCTACCCTTTAAGCAATAACTCTTTTTCCCCCTAATCCTCATCCTCTGGTGCCACCATTCCACTCTCTGTCTCTATGATTTGAGTATTCTCGGTACCTCACGTAAGCGGAATCATACAGTATTTGTCTTTTTGTGATCAGCTTATTTCACTTCACATAATGTCCTCCAGGTTCATCCACATTGCAACGTGCGTCGTCATTTCCTTCCATTGTGTGCCTACACCGCACTCTGCTACCCATCCATCCACCAATGAACACTGAGGTTGCTTCCATCTTTTGGCTACTGTGAATGATGCTGCTATGAATGTGAGTGTACAAATGTCTCTTTGAGGCTCTGCTTTCCATTCTTTTTGGGTATATACTCAGAAGTGAAAGTTGCTAAATTATATGGTTATTCTATGTGTAACTTTCTGAGGAATGGCCATACTGTTTTCCAGAGCTCCTGCACCGTTTTACATTTCCACCAACAGTAAACAACAATTCTAATTTTTCAGCACCCTCGCCAACACTCATTATGCTATTTGTTTTGATGTAGCTATCCCAACAGGTGAGAGGGGGTATCTTATCGGGTGTTGATTTGCTTGTGGTGTTGATTTGCATTTCCCTAAGGATTAGTGACTGGCGTTGAGCATCTTTCCATATGCTTCTTGGTCATTTGTATATCTTCTTTGGTGAAATTATCCTTATATTTTATAAACAACACATAACAGCATTTGAAATGGTACTTTCTAGCATTTTGACACAACTGACAAATGTCAGGATCTGAGTACCTGACTAGCTAGTGGAACATTATTATTGATGCGCTAGGAAGATGGATGGGTTTACACATCATCCCCTGCTTTTACAGAGTGCTCCCTTGCCCCCTACTTTGCTGGGAAGATGCCAGTCCCGCCCCCTCTCTCTGATGCACAGCAGAGCACTCACTAGATGGGGCAGACCCCGTGACCCAGGCAGGCCTTGCTGAAAGAGTCTCCAATTTTAGACACCAACTTCTGAAGTGAGTTCAGCTTTTTCCTGCCATCATTTGCGGATCAATCAGCTGGGAGAAGATTGGCTTTCAATAACTTTTCTATTTCTAGATTGCTAATCTCTGCTCCTTCAGATCGCAGCCTGTGGTGATGTGGGCTTTTCCACTTGATTTAAGCTATATATACATGATTGGGTTCATCATCATGATGTCAAAGAAGGCTCCTGAGCCTCTCAGAAACTGGATTTCACATGTGAATTTCCTGCCCAGGAAGCAGGCTGGGGGCCGTGCTGAGCAGAGCTGCACCTTCTTCTGATCCAGCTCTGCCTCTGTGAAGGTTGCTTTTCTCATCCTCACTCGGCTTCCTTCTCCGTGACATGAACAACCAAGTTTCTCCCCAAAACGAGGTTCAGAACAAGCTCTGCAAGTGGGGCTCATTTCATGGGACCTAAGCTTGGTCAGGGCCGCCTGCAGCTTGCTGGGAGACCTTCAGTAGCAAACTTCATGTCTCCGGTGCTTGTTCTAATGAGGGTCGCACTGGCTCTGGAGTCTTTCAGAAGAGAACACGTTTCTGAAAGTAGTTTGCATCTGTGCCCTGGCTGCTGTCCCTTTGTTCTTTCCTGTACTCTTCATACCATGCGCCACAAAGGTGGGGAAGTCACATGGGGGTCTTCTCAGAGGGGAGGGTGGGACTGGGCTCCTGGAGATTCGGCTTTGTCCAGCAGCTTTGTGCAGCTGCTGCTGCAAACCCTTCTTTGGGTTTGGGTGACATTGGGTATAGGCACACCAGACAAAGCCCAGAGGCAGCTGCAGAGAGACTCAGTTCATCCTTCATTAGTATTCTTAACATCAATTTAGGGACACTCTTATACACCTCGGGGTGCTCCTGTAAGTCACACCATGGTGTGTGTACCTGAGGATGAAATCTCACAATCTTTCACCTGAGTTAGTATCTTGGGGGGCATTCCTCTGTCTGTGAGCCCTGCAGATGTTGTTCTGTATGGAAGGCAGAACTTGAACACCCTGACAGCTATGAGACTGAAGGCTACACGCCACCATGCCTGGCTAATTTTATTTTTTGTAGAGATGGGGTCTCACTATTTTGCCCAGGTTGGTCTCCAACTTCTGGGCTCAAGCAATCCTCTTGCCTCAGCCTCTCAAAGTACTGGGGTTACAGGTGTGAGCCGCCACACCTGGCCAGACTTGTTTTCTCTTATCCTCAACTTCCAGATGTTTCCAATGGAGCTCATGTTCCTAAAGGAGTCAGGAGGACTATCTGTGTTCAGGAGGCGAAAGCTGGCTCTCTGCACCTCATATCCAGTAGGGGCCTCATCCGTTGTATCATCTTTCTTTTCTTTTCTAGCACACTCTCTATTAGAATAATCTCTTGCAAATACCACTTAATAGAATATTTTCTTGCTCAGTAGGTTCTTAATATATAATGTATAAAACTGAATTTTGTAACTAAAAAACAGTCAAAAGTTTTGCAATTCTCTGTGGTTGGCCTAATAATTTGTTTATGTTACCATTCAATATTTTTTAAGTTGAGCTTTGCAATCTCTATTCTTACAAGAAACAACATGTAAACACACAGAAGCAGAATACAAGTGTGAGTGTGTAGAAATGTTTGTGTGTGTGTGGATTCCTCCATGCCGCAAGGGGCAGGCACAGTTTCATCTTCCTGATGCCCTTAAAATATCTTCTGAAGCTCACATTTGGTGTTGAGTGTATATTTCAGTGAGTGGTTCCAAGAAAATGCGCCTCTTAAATGAGTGTGCTGACATTGACCATGACCAACAGTTATCACCCGGAAACTTAAAGTGTTTACTTTCAGTCCCGTGGAGCAGCGTTCCAGCTGTGAGCTCACTGGGCTCAGTAGAAGGAGGGATGATGATGCCCTTTTGATTGCCAAGGTTCACTTAGAGTGGGACCAATGGAAATGGAAACAGAAACTTCAGGGTAATGTTTGTTATGGTCTCAGAAGGTGAACAGAGCTTGGGAAATTAAATCAATTGCAAAGGCAATGCTAAAAAGAATGGCCTATCCTATGTGCAATGTGCAGATGGACACATAAGTTATTAACGCTTCTAACAAATTTCCTCTATGACACTTAATGTTTATAAAGCACTTTCAACCATGACTGAACTGTCAGAAAACCTATGAGATGGGTAGAGGTGGCCCTGCTTTACAGATAATAAAACAGAGACATCTCAAGTCTAAGTGGTTTGTGGAGTCCCACAGCTAATAATCAATTTTGAACTTAAACTCAGGTCTTGCCATTTACCCTCATGCTCTTTCTGATACCATATTTCCTCTTTCTTTAACATCAAGTGAGGCTTGACTGTCAGCTCCAGGTGGGTGCAGCGCCGAAGCCTGTGTCCCAGCAGTTGCTGTGTTCATCCTCCCATCCACCCTGACCCTCCTCCTCCTCCCCAACTTCCTTCCTCTAAGGCCCTTCCGGGATAGGGTGGGGCCTCTGGCGGCAGCTTCCCAGCAGGTGTTTTCCCCTGTTGCATGTTCTTAGAGGGATGGTAGGAATAGTTATTCGACAGGAAGCCACGCTGTTGGGGAAAATAAGGTATTCCTTTTGGAGAAGGGACAAACCAAAGACCCAAAGAGGGGAATAACCCTGTTTATATTTTTCTATCCAGCCACTCACAGAGTAGCATCTTCCCTGAAGAACTCCTTGGCCGTGGTGGAGAACCCGCTCTCAGTAGAGAAGTGGACTGTGCTTTGTGCTTTCTCAGGGTGCAAAGCCTGGGTTCTGGGGGCTGGGGTGGGCTGCAGAGCACTATGAGATTCACGTTCATTGTCACTCGCAGGTTTTTCTGCCCTCCTGGGAGCTCTCTTTTCCAGCTGCATTTAATAGCCCTTGGGTAGAGCAAAGCTGACCTGAGTGAAGATTTTCATCCTTGCCTTCTGGGATGATACAGTAGGAAGATTATCTATTGGTTTTTGTTTCTTGGCCACCTTTCAATTCTGATCTTTGATGAGAGAAGCAGTAGAGACAGCTCAGTTTTCTGTTAACATATTAGTCTGCTCAGGCTCCCCTAACAATGGATTGGTTCATCCTTTTAGAAGTAGACTGGGCAGTTCAAACAGCAGACCCTTAATGTCTCTCAGTTCTGGAGGCTTGAAGCCCAGTTCGAGGTCTTGGTGGGGCTGGTGTCTTCCGTGGCTCTCCTCTTGCTTGCAGATGGCGCCTCCTCCCTGTCCTCGCGTGGCCGTTCCTCCATACACAGAGGCGGCCCCGGTGTCTCTGCGTATTCAGACTTCCTCTTCTTCTAAGGACAGCAGTCAGAGCGGATAAGCACCCACTCCGAGGCCTCATTTAATGGAATTCCCCTTTGAAAGGTCCTCTCTCCACACAGTCACAGTCTAAGTACCAGAGGTTAGGACTTCAACATATGAATTTGGAGAGCACACAATTCAGTCCATAATAGTTAATTTGGTTTACTGGATTATGATGAAATATTGGGTTTACAAGCTAAACCAGAGAATCCAGGTATATGATACACAAGTCAAATTCATATACTCCCAACACTATATCTGAATCTGTGTCCATATTTTCATATTGAATCTCTTTCCTGGAACTGGTGCAAACTAACTGGTGTTCATAACATAAATAACCCTCATAATGCTAAGAGACTCTTTCCAAACATAAAACTGCACTCCTGTAACATAGGCATTGGATTTGCAAGCAGAGCTGTTCTTACGTCCCCAAAGAAAGCAGATATCTAAAGTGTCTGTAATTTGGAGTAAGTTTTCATACCTCCTGCGCCAACCCATCTCTTACCACCCCTGCATCAAATACGTCCTTTGCCTGCCAATGGATAGCTAAATTACCTTACTGAAAAGACTGTCACCCCGTAATAGCAGCCAAATCTTACAATGGCAATATCCCAGAAAAAAGAATACCAGTGAATTAAAGGTACATGAAGCAGAGAATTCAACACCTACGATAATCTTCAAAGATTAAAAAGAATAATTTGATAACATTTTAGACAGTTTCTGATTTTAAAATATTAAGTAGGTAAAAATTAAGAAATATTCATAATATGATAAACAACCCCTATCTTTACTCACTTAATACTGTCCCATTAAATCAGGAACAAAGCAGGGATTCTCACTAGTCCCGTTAAGAATTTGTGTTAACGAGGAATTGAACTGGAGTAAAACATCCTGAAATAGTTCTTCAATATGTACTGTGTTATAAAGGGAGAGATATGTACGATTCAATACAACATGTGGGAAAGTTGGCTATGGGTAAAGAAGCTCCTCCCTTCATAGTGTACTCGAAAACAACTTCCAGATGGGCCACAGTCAAATAAAAATAACTGAATTATAAAAAAAGACAAAATACTCTAGAATATTTAACCGATTTCAGAAAGAGAAAAGGCTTTGTAAGCATGCATGCAAAGGAAAGAAAATCTCACAAAAAAAGAAGCTATTCGATTTGACTTACTAAAATATTGAAAACTATTAATATGTCAAAATTTAAAAATGATAAGGCAAATAGACTAGAAAATATAAATGTAGATTTTATATTTATTATATAGGGAGACTATGATAAAAAGTTAATTCAGTCATATACCAAAAACTCTTAGAAAACAATAAGAAAATTGCTGACTCTGCAATAGGAAAAATGAGGCAAAGGACTCGGACATAATTTACAAATAGAAAAATAATACAAACAGCCATCAAATATTTTAAACATGACTACTAATCAAATAAATGCAAATTAAAATAGTAAAAGATTTTGGCCATACAGCGGTGGCTCATGCCTATAATCCTAGAACTTGGGGAGGCCGAGGCGGGCGGATCGCCTGAGTTTAGGAGTTTGAGACCAGCCTGGCCAACGTGGTAAACCCTGTCTCTATTAAAAATGCAAAAATTAGCCATGCGTGATGATGGGCACCTGTGATCCCAGCTACTTAGCAGGCTGAGGCAGGAGAATCGCTTGAATCCAGGAGGCAGGGGTTGTAGTGAGCTGAGATCGCACCACTGCACTCCAGGCTGGGCGACAGAGCGAGAGCCTGTCTCAACAACAACAAAAAGAAAAAGATTTTGGCCATACAAATTGGCAGTTTTTAAAGGGCAATACTTAATGTTAACAGGCATTATTTGAGAAACACGAGGTAAGATTATGGATTGGTTCACCCTTTTACAAAGCAAGTTGACATATGTCTCATTAACCTCAAAATTTTTATGACTTTTAACTCAGTACTCCAATTTGCAGGAACGCATTTTAAGCAAACCATAAGGAATTAACTCACGATTTACGTTCATGAATGCTCTGTGCTGTTATTTTTTATTTAAAAAAAAATCCATCAATGGGGGAGTAGTCAAACCATGCCACCCAGGTAAAGAGGATATTATGCAGCCGTCAGAAAACCCGAGGAAACGCCTGCTAGACAGCACTAAGGGAAGAGATTGGGCTCAAGAACAGCACATACTGTAAAGGCTGTTTGGTGGGTGTTCTGTTACACACTCTCATGTAACCCAAATGATTCTTTGAAATACTGATCCTTTTTGTGATTACACTATTAATTGTGTAGGTAATTATTCACTTTATGTTTCTTCAAATAGAATTTATCCTTATGAGGCAGGAGCTGTGTTTATCTTGGTTGTCACTGTGTCCCTAGGAAGGCTATGCCTGGCATGATGTCTTGTGTGACAGGCAGACACTCAAATATTTGTTCAGTAATCTCTCTCCTCCCTCCCTTCTTCTCTCTCTCTCACACACACACACACACACACACACGCACGCATGCCCATACACATGCACACACATGCACACACGCACGCACACACCAACCCGCACACACACACATGCACACACACACACATGCACACACACAATGAGATACAGGAGGCAGACTTACACATTAGAAAAAATGGACCAGAACAATAGCACTGATTACTTATGGGCAGTACAATTATGGATTCTTTAGTTTTAAAAAGTGGCATCATGTATCCATCTAATTTATGAAACAATGAGCTATTGAAAGTAGTGGAAAAAAAGTAAAACAGAGTTTAAAATTCCTCAGTTCTCCTAATGGGAAATGTTTGTTTAACACTTTCCAGTTTATAGAATTAATTATTGGCCAGGTGTGGTGGCTCACGCCTGTGAGCACAACACGCTGGGAGGCTGAGCTGGGAGGATTACTTGAACTCTGGAGTTCAAGGTCAGACTGGGCAACATAGAGACCTTGTGTCTAAAAAAAAAAAAATACAAAAAATGTATTAGTTCTTAAACATTCTTAATTTACTTGGATTCTTACAACCAGCCAGTGAGATAAGAGCAGCTACCACCGCATGCTGTCACTGAGGGAGTGGGCTCCCGAGGTTCGCTGGTCCCCCATCCCGCAGTCGGTGCTAGAGCTGTACGGCGGCAGGGCCAGCCTGGGCAAAGGACGTCAAGCCACCACGCCGTCCAGCGCTGGCTCCCACCCGTGTCCACTGACCAGTGGCAGCACTAAAAATAACTACAGACTCCCCCAGCTCTGAGTTCTTGGTGCCAGATGACTCTCCTTCTCCTTACGCTCCACTCCCTGGAATGATTGATAACCTACTATGCCTTGCACAGAGTAGATGTTCAATAAGATGCATATTTATGGCTACAGCCTCTGTTTGGAAAACAAGACAAAATTTGGAAGCAAATACTTTCTTTCCAGGTTAGTGAAGTAAAAGCAACAAAAGCCATCCTCCCTGAGTGGCCTTGGCTCTGTCCTGCACGATCGTCTTCCTGAGGATGGCCCCCTCTCCCCTCCCCGGCCACCCCTCACCCAGAGCCTTCCAGAACTGTGCAGAGGTCAGCAGGGAACAGCTGGGGGAGACTGTTAGTGCAATTAGTTTTGTCAGCCTGTGTTTAATTTAAAAACATAATGAGCGATTCCACACAGTTTTAATTTTGGTTTTTAATTAATAGGGCTGAAATTGGGAAATGGCACTTTTTGTCTTAATTTTTTTTAGCCTGTCTGACTTCATGCTCATTTTCTTCATGCTCATTAGTGCTTCATTTTGGACACCTGTCCAATTTGCACAGTCAGTTGGTGACTCTGTGATCCCCATGTAAGCGCCACAAAAGGGGGGGTGTTGTGGGGAGCTTCTTACCTCCCAAGGGTCACTGGGACCACAGTTTACCGGAGAAGCATGTATGATTCTGGGGAAGCCTGTGGATGTCATTGGTCGGGGTATCTAATTACTCAGTCACGTGTCGGGGCGGGTTCCCAGCATGTCTGCCCTTTGCCCAGAGCTCTCCTCACCCCATGCTGACCCATGTGTCTTGTACAGAGCAGGGGCGAGTTCCAGAGAGAGTCTCTCTAGTGATGCCGTTGAGGAACACGGAGGGTTTAGGGCCTTAAGTTTCTCGGACTTAAATAGTTCAACAAGTTTCCCTTGCACAGATGAAGGTCAGAATTGCCAACTTCAACACCACAAACCACTCTTGAATTGCACAGGCGAACCCTGGCACTCCCATCCCGCATGTTTTTATCATTATCAGTGTCTCCTACTCCCCGTGCCCTGGGCTGGCTCTGCCAGGGTGTCCCGGTACATCCTGACATGGAAGATGACTTTTATCAAGTAGTCTGGCCTTGTCTGAAAAGTTTTCAGTGCGTGGTTTTGAAGTGGTCTCTGACCCCCGATGCTGTCCCACCCCTGCCTTGTGTCATTTGTGGGATTTGCATAAAGTGAAGTATCCATGAAACACCAGAGAAGGAGAGAGCAGCTGACAGCTGAGTGACACGGCGACCAGCTCCGCAGCTGTGAGATCCTGAAGGGTTTGGCTCGGGAAGCCTTGTGATCTCTGCGTACAGTGGGCCAAGGCTGTGCACAGGGCTGTCGGGCATCACATGCAGCGTTCAGCATAGTCACGGATGCACCCTGGGCTCAGCAGGGCTGACCCTGCTTCCTCACCGAGGCCATCAACTTGGTGCCACCCCCAACACAAATCACGCCCAGGAGTAAAAAATCCTGGGCTGGCCACAGTGGCTCATGCCTGTACTCTCAGCACTTTGGGAGGCCGAGGTGGGCGAATCACCTGAGGTCGGGAGTTTAAGACCAGCCTGACCAACATGGAAAAACACCATCTCTACTAAAAATGCAAAATTAGCCAGGCATGGTGGCACATGCCTGTATCCCAGCTACTTGGGAGGCTGAGCCATGAGACTCGCTTGAACCGGGGAGGTGGAAGTTGCGGTGAGCCGAGATCTCGCCACTGCACTCCAGCCTGGGTGACAGGGTGAGACTCCGTCTCAAAAAAAGAAAGAAAAGTGAATTCCTCCCAGCCAGGTTTTCTGCAGAAACACATCTGCAGTTCAGGTTTTCGGTCTTCAGGCCTCTTGTCCGCATTTGTATGACTTCTGGCCTCAAAAGCAGAACTCGCCCTGCTCTCAAGTGAGCGAAATCTGCCTGCACCTCTGAGGCAAATTGGCACCAGGGCTCAGCCTCTTCCCGTTCTTCTCCTTCCAACGCCTAGCACACTCTCCTTAGAAACCACAAGGCCCAGATGTCCGGCTCCTGTCCTTTTAATCATCTGTCGAATGCTCTGCAGAACCTTCCTACAACTTCCTAAATTAACCATCATAATAACTGCTCACCAACACCTCCCTCCCCTGGTTCCCACAAGGGTTCCGTGTCGTTAGTTTCAGGCAATGAGGACGTATTCCTCTTTTTCTACAACCAAGGAATGTTGTTATCATAAATATTTGAGCTTCATCTGTACCATCTTTTGGTGAATTTACTTTCATTTTTGTCGTTGAAAATAAGACACTTTTCTCTCGTATCTGTTTAAAGCTTCCCTAAAGTTTTTTTTTTTGTTCTGTTTTGTTTTTAGAAAATCGTCAAAAGCAGGACAATTATCATCTAACACTGATTTACCCCTCACAAGGACTCTCATTCCCTTATCTAACTTTGCTTGTTATTCTGTGTGTTTCCAAACAGAAAGAAATGCCCTCGCCCGCCCAGGCAGTGGGTTTCCTAGCCCATGATGAAGTTCTCCTTTTCCTCGTGTGGCTCCTGGGACCTGGCGCCAGGTGCGGCTGGTGCTCCGCAGCTCCAGCCCTGCTCCCCACCGTCTCTGTGTTGGGGGTGGGGCTCTTCCCGTTTCCTGGGTGAGGAAGCAGCTAGGAGAGTTCAAGGTCTCGACCAGGTTCTGGCAGGGAGTCAGAGACTCAGATTCTAGGCTTGGGGCCCCAAGGACAGAGTGGCCATCCTGCGTCATTTCTCTGAGTCAGAGAGAGTCTCACCAAACCCCAGTGCCGCAAGAATAGTTCTGTTAATTGGGCACCATCTGTTTGCCCGGGCTTTCACATGCACCGCGGTGAATCTGGACAACGGCCCTGGGAGGCGATGGCACCTACCTGAGCCAGGGGCTGGGGATCGGGGCCCTTCCCATCCTCCCTTTTCCACAGGGAATTCTGGCCTGCCGTTCCCACAGCAGGTGAACCGCGCAGTGCTGCACTTGCTTCTGTTGCCTGTGTGGATGAATGCGACCTCAGCTGGGAGCTCCGGGAAATCGGGGCTGCTTCATATGGTCTTTCCATCCATCTTCGCATCCCAGAGACCAGGGCTGGAGGCGGAGGCAGAGTCACGGGAGCACCTGCCGGGCCCACCTGCCGAGGCCCTGCTGGAGGGGAATGGCTGTTCCTCATTCAGGAGGCACAGGCCTGTGGGGAGATGCCCCTGTGTCCGAGCCACACCACTCAGGCAGGGCAGGGGAGGCCCCTGGGGTGAACCGAGTTCCACCCCCGCCCAACCCTTCACAGAGGAAGACGCCTTTGGGTTGGGGCGAAGAGCATTTCCCAGACCATCGTCCTGCCCACTCCCTCTCTTGTTTCTCTCCTCCCCCTTCTTCTTCTTCCCTGCCTCTCCCCTCCCTCCCTTTCATCTCCTCTCAGAGACCGCTAACGCCAGACCCCTCTGTCAATGATTTCCTTGTTTTCTTTATATCTTTACCCATGTAGCATTTTCTAAGCAATAAGCTGTGTTTTACCTGTTTTTGAGGCTTATGTAAATAAGAAGCTCTCGGTGAGCTTCCACCGTGTCTCTCTTCCTTTGTTCACGGTTCTAGGCGTGAGCTTCCCCTGTGTTTAGAGGTGTGTGCTGTGCACACTCAGGCAGCCCATGCTCACTGTTGTGTAGTGTTCTGCCACGTGTATCTACCGCAGGGCGCCTGTTCCTTCCACCATTGCTAGAGATTGTGGTGACTTCTGGCGTGTGGCTATCCTGCAAAGACAGCTACAGGTATTCCTGGGCGTGTCTCCGAGTGCACCTGCTGGGGCTCTGCTCCATGTAGTCCTGAGGTGGAGTCGCTGAGCCGTGGGCCTGCACATCTTCAACCTGATGAGATTGTTGTTTTCCAAACTGGTGGCGCCCGTTCACACTCTCGCCAGCCCAGTGTGGGAGTCCTGGCTGCTTCATGTGTTTCCAACCTTTTATAGTCAGTAAGATCTTACTAGCTATGAGATATTTTGAATTATAACAAGAAAGACATATGCATCTTGGTTCTGATGGAGAGTTTTAATTTTTTATTTGGTACCTTATGTGAAGCTAGAACCTTTCCAGCCTGGTCTTCAGTTACCCGCCCTGCTCTGTCTCAGATCCACCAGCCAGGTGTGTAGCCTCCAGCCCAGGCTGTGGCAGAATCCTCTGCAGACCGGCCTGAGTTGGCAGCCACTGGAGATACACGTGGTTCCCAGGAGTCCGCTCTGTTTGTTCCCTGACCTGTTTGTACTACTTTGCACACATGACATCATTCACCACATTTCACTGACTCCGGGTGCAAATATTGTGTCTGCACGTTGTCACCAACATCAGTTGTGGGTGGTGCAGTGATGCTTGTTATGTGTCCTTGGTGTTTTCTTCCTGTAGGGCATGTAAACTACTGATGTACCTTGTAGTCAGTCTTACCCTAGATACACTGAAGTATGATCATTAATTACTATGATCCGATGAACTTTGAGTAATAAAAAGGAGCAATTTCTGTGGAAGGTAAATTGAATAGTTTGGAAATATTCAATATATATGAACAAAAATGAGAACTTCTGTTGAAAAGAGTTGGGTGAAATAGTTGTAAAGTTTGGGGTTGCGGTGGGTTGTCAGTGTCTAGAGGGATTCTGCCATCCAGGTGCTGTTCAAAGTTAATTAGATTCTTCCCCCACCCTCAGCCTTGAAAATGGACACCTGATATTTTTTTTTACATTTTTTATAAGTGCTAAAGCCATGAGGGGAAAGGTTGAGGAGCTATTGCCCCACATCCTACTTATTAATTACGATGGGAAAGGTTATCTTCACAAAGGCGACCCGGCAGGCAGAAGCGAGTGTCTCCCACAATGGTGCAAGTTGACATGACAGGTCTCCTAACGTGATGTACAGCAGCTAAAAATATTTTACCCTAATCTAATTATGAAGAAACCACGAAATCAGTCCAGACTATGAAACATTCTACAGAGCAGCTGCCCTGAACTCTTTGTTCATAAATGTAAATGTCTAAACAGCAACAAAAACTGGAGGATACTTCATTCAAGAATACTGTTGAGATTCGACAAATAAGTGAAAAACTTTGTGATGGAATTGTGCAGAATAAATCAGTTTAAGGATATTGGGGGGAAACTGGGGACATTGTGTACTGAATCTCTCAGGCGAGTAAATTATATTGTGATTGTGTAGGAGCTCGTGTCAGTTTGATGCACACTGAAGCATTTTGGGTGAAGTATCTGCTAGAATTCACCCGGCTGGCAGTGGGGCCCGTCTAGAATTCACCCGGCCGGCAGTGGGGCCCGTGCCCTTTCATGCTCGATGCAGCTATTCGAGGGTGCTTGTTTCACGTTCATTACTAGATGTGAAGCATGATGATAACTTTTATTGTGGTTCTGTAGTATTATCTGCAGAAAAATATCTAATTTTCAAAAGAGCAAAATGCAGCTGTGGGTACATTGTTCTCTGTCATTAATTCTAAACCTTTTCTTTTCAATGGTTCTGAGGCAAACATTTGTTAGAGGATGCTGAGAATCTTTCGCCCTGAAGTATAGGTAAGTGTTTTTGAAAGCTTGACCAATATGATGGAAGAATAGTTCACTTTCGATCAGAATACAGTGTGCTATCACATCTGGTTAGTCTTCCCTAGTTTCACAGTTGAGAAATGATTTTTCTTTGGGGAGTTCTGCTCAGTATCACAGTGAGAGGTGGGAGAGAAGCCTGTTAAGACAGATTAAAAATATTCATGATTTTTGCACAGCCTCCTAAAATCCACAATTGTAAGCATTTGAAAATATGTTTAAATAAAACGTATTAATGAACATGTTTTGTTTGCATTTTGTGCAACAAATTATTCCTCTAGAAGTTATTTTCTGTTTTCCGATATTTCTCTTGTGTGTGCTACTTCACTTACTTCTGTCCTGTAACCAGGGAGCCGCTACCTGGAATTCATGTGCCGCTGAGATGGGATTTCAAGTAGCATTCCTTTCTCTTTTCCATCCATTTAGTTTATGAGATAAACCAGGAGTCACAGATAGAATGCTATTAGCTATTTTTATCAAGTGATACAAAATATGTGCAGGGCCTGGACAGCTGTATTTCTGGTTATTAGTAAGAAATCCAGGGAGACATCTGTACTTTTCTGGGAAGAGAAGGTGATTGATGGCAGCACTTAGTAGCCTGTCTAAATGCTGATTGCCATGTCGATTCCGTCTTCTCGTGTCTGATTCAATAACTGTGTGGGCCTGGCTCTGCTGGACCTAAATCTCTGGGATGAGTTAAGTCGATGGGAATTATTCACCTCCTTAAAAACATTATTAGGGCCAGGCAGGGCGGCTCACGCCTGTAATCCCAGCACTTTGGGAGGCTGAGGCGGGCGGATTACATGAGGCCAGAAGTTGGAGACCAGCCTGGCCAACATGGTGAAACCCTGTCTCTACTAAACATACAAAAATTAGTCGGGCATGGTGGCACATGCCTGTAATCCCAGCTACTTGGGAGGCTGAGGCACGAGAATTGCTTGAACCCAGGAGGTGGAGGTTGCAGTGAGCCAAGATCATGCCACTACACTCCAGCCTGGGAGACAGAACGAGACTCCCTCTGAACAACAACAGAAAATCATTAGGAGAGAAAAATGGAATAATGGGCAATGCCTAGTGGCAGGTTCTGTGGCCCGGGGCTACCCTGGGAAGGCAGAGTGTCCACAGTGGGTGCCCTGGCAAATAGCCTGCTGCTGGGCCCAGCATGATGAAGACAGCCCAGCCACCCAAGGCACGAGGCAGGGAGACAGGCGGCTGAGTTGCACCCTGATGGAATATTGATGACATGCGAGTTTAATTATAGTGCTTGCCTGCTGAATTTAAAAAAGCTTCCATTATTCTACACTGATTAAGATGGAGCTTGAAAATCTCGGTACGATTCACCACTACCCGCATCTCTTCCATGATCTCTGGGCCCCGCCTGAAATTACTAAGGACTCAACTCTCGCCTAGCTGGGGGAACCCAAGCAGGTCACCGGGTGGGATTTTAACAACAAGAGATCAGAGTTGAGTTGGTCAGAGGGTGCTCTGACACTGACAAATGTACACATTGGCTTTCAGTGACATAAAGATCAATACGGGCAAAAATAGGACATAACTTGATTAAGTCAAGAAACGTGTCCAGTTCATGGTTGCGCCATCGAGAAGACAACCTCCATGTGGTTTTTCCTAAGTTCCCCGAAGAGAATAAGGTGCAAACGATCAAACTCCTCATGGGAAACATCGCAAGGAAAACAGGTTAATTTATCTTGTGTTGAAGACAATGCATTTTCAGCCATCCTTTGGGTAAAACTAGTTGTATACTTCCCAAGGACAGTTAATTTAAGATTCTGAATAAAATTGTGAACTGGGAAATAAAACCAGAATATAAAATGCACAGTGAAGCGAGTGCTTGGTGAGATGCTTTAAAAGAAAACAATAGCAAATGAAGAAGATATAATACCCGCGAATGGCTCATGCCACATGTAATGCGAAGGTGTTTTTCTTCTATGAGATAATCCGAAGCTCTATCCTCTGACTTTTACTCTTCATATGTGAAGATGTTCAAAAAACAGTATTCTCATCATATCTATTTTAACATTCTTAAATTCTTCTAGCACTCAGTGGCGTTGAAAGTCTACTAGCAGAAGTAAATAAAGGGTTAGTGAAAGCACGGCAGTGCCGAGAACTCACTTGGAGAAGGCGGATGCTCCTGCATCCCGGCTCCACGTTGTCAGCCGTTGGGGGGCACAGTGCAGTGTGCGTCCACAGTGCGTGTGCACCTGAACTCATACAAGAGCAATAGCTTACACGTGGATTCCTCAGGTGTGATATCCTTCTCCAAATGGGATCAGATGGAAAGCTCTGATGAGGTATGAGATGGAAGAGTTGATGGTGTTGTATACGTGCCTGTGAGCCACACATCACTGCATAAACACCATCGTCATCAGATCGAAGCATCCTGTGTAAGGGCTGCTGTCCTCTTTAAGGATTCTAAACAAGATTAGTGGCATGTGGCACATTTAATCACTGCCAAAGGATGTCACTAACACTTCAAAGTGACAGCTAAAGTGCTTCGAGGAAATTTTTCTCTGATAACAGCCTTCGTAGCTTTCCTTGGATTTCCGTTGTCTTCCCGTGAAGAATTGTCTACTTCTGAAAAACGTTAAGCTAAGCAACAAAAGAGCCCACTGGGTATTACAAACCCATTGCCAAGTTTAGAAATACATAGAAAACCAATCAACTGCAAATCTCTGACTTTATTGCTTGTAATAACCTGTTTTTTAGATACTCTTACATAATCCTGTGCATTGAGATAATTGCATAATTTGGTTAAAAAAATCTTTGAATTGCTGCCCACATGATCCAACACTTTTCTGTACTTGCTGAATTGTACAAATGCTTGCAGATGGAGCCTCTAGAAGTAGAGAATATGTTCTGCTTTTTACCAAATTATATATATATGATATAAGTATGAGATAAAGTAGAAAATACCAATTTTAAACCAAGAAATCTGGGTTCTTATCTAAATTGTGATCCTCACACACTGGAGTGATCTGAGCAAGGCGCTGACATTTTCGGATTGACAGCCTGGCTTCCACAGCTGGACAGGCAGGGTCTGGGTAACACAACCACATCACGGGGCAGGTCCTTGTAGTCAGGGGACCTTTGCATGGAGCTGTCCATGGCCATAATTTTAGGTGCTGAAAACAATTTTAAAAAGTGATCTATTCCTATGTTCAGGTTCAAAGTATTAAACCCAACCACCTTGAGCCTCATGGGTTCTGTTCAGTCACCTCAAATCCCTCTCACCTGCCCAAACGAGACCTGCAGTCTTCAGGGTTCCAAGAAGAGCCTTTCTTACAGATGGCTCCAGAAGTAAAAAATCACTTAGAATTTCAGCCAGGACTGGAGACAGAGAGAGAACCAAGTGAACTTGAAGCCAACAATTTGAGTTTTCCTGAACCAGCAGAATGCCACCTACTTGGGCAAGCCTGACTCAGTTCACCCTCACATACAACACTGCAAAAATATGGATGCCGCTGGCTGGCCCTAGTGAAGGCAGGACACAGGCCTGAACAGTCATCATCATTTCCTGACCCGGAAGTGATGGCCGTGAAAAGAGGACAGTGAACACGGACCCCTCCTCCTTCTCTCCTCCAGCTTAAAGTGATGGCCGTGAAAAGAGGACGGTGAACATGGACCCCCCTCCCTCCCACCTCCAGCCTAAAGTGATGGCCGTGAAAAGAGGACGGTGAACATGGACCCCCTCCCTCCCACCTCTAGACAGCTGGAGAATGCCCCCTCTTCTTGCTACCCCAGTTCCTGGTGCAAATTAAATGCTAGTATTGTTTCAATGTCTATGAATAAGAATGTGGTGATGAAAGGCTTCCTGTGGGAGACCCCAGAATAGAAACCCCAGGGGAGGCCTTATCTCATTCCCTCCGCAGTAGAGAGGGGCTCTGGCTCAGCATCTTGTGGTACAAGTTAATTGTGCTTTTTTTTTTTTTTTTTGTAATTCCCAACAAAACAAATGAGCCTGGTGCTGAGGGAAGTTTCCTCATGGTATATAAATTTCCAGGTTTTTAAGGAATGAGAGCCTAATGTCACCCCATCTAACATTTCTGAGGCCAATGTTCTTTTAAGGGTAATAAAGATTTGTTTTAATAAGACTAACTCAGAGACTACTTCTCTCTACCCTCCGCAATGACCCACTACTTATCGAGATCATGTTGGGCATGCAGTTCTGAAGTTTCTGCTGGCGAGCCTTTAAACCTCTGGTAATGAAAGTTCGCAGAAAGACAGCCCTGCAGTCCTGGTAGCAAAACAATCGTGCCAGGTTCTCTGTGCTTTCCAAGGAAGACAGCCCGTGGTCTCAGCTCACCTGCTTGATGTGGAACGAAAACCCCCCGGGGTCTGGTTTTTCTTCAGCTCACTGGGTCTACAATCCCATCCATTGCATGGTCCTTTACTGAGCACCTCCTGCCTGCAAGGCCTTGCCCTGGGAGTGGGGGTTGCATGAGTGAGTAAGGTATAATTCCCAAATAATTATCATAGTAATAATTCTTCATTACCCCTAAAAGACCATTGGCCTCAGAAATGTCAGATAGGGTGACATTAGGCTCTCATTCCCTAAAAATCTGGAAATCTATATACCATGAGGAGGATTCCCTCAGCACCATGCTCATTTGTTTTGTTGGGAATTACGATACATAGCATGGGATTTAACAGGGAGGATGACCCGGAAACAGATTCTAGTTAGAACACAAGTTATACTGCAGTGGTTATAAAGTGCTCAGGGTTTCACAGGAGAAATAAGTTTTATCTTAATGGGAAATGAGGAAATGCATGAACAAAGGTCCTATTTAAGTTTGGACTTAAAAGATGGATAGATGATCTAAGAAGAAGGAAGAGGGGAGGGCAGGGGCAGGAGCGCAGACGGGCGCAGGGGCAGGAACGCGAGGGGCAGATGTGGAAATACTACCTGGTCCTGCTGGGTTTGGTGTGGAGCAGACTCTGAGTGGTGCGAGATGAAGCTTGAGGCTGGTGTGACAAATGAGGCCACGTTTGGAATAGCAGCTTGAATTTATTGAGTCACATTTTGTGGTACAGATGATTGAAGGGCAGAGCAGTGGAGAGGGATAATGCTTTGGTAACATATTGACTAGACTGGAGGAGGGGCGAAGGAAGGAGCCCATTAGTAGGGCTGGCATGAGGTGCCAGTGGCCTTAGAGAGACAGGTGAATTGGTGAGACGCTGCAAGGTAGACTCTATGGGCCTTGGTGATGGGTGAAATGCATAAGGGGGGTGAGGAGAGACAGAATGAGATGCTTCCTGTGCCAGGCACCGATGTTTTGAGTCGGACAGTCACAGATGGTCGGTGCCATCCCAAAGTTCAGGACCTCAGGACGAGATGCAGACGCCGGAGTAATCACTGTAATACAGATCGGAGTGATGCGCAGATGGAGTCGGCTGCAGAGAGTTGGAGACGGGATTCCAGCTAGTGAGAGAGGGCAGAGCTGGAAACAGATTAAGAAGTCAGCTGCGTGGCGGTGATAGGTGAAAATACTAAAATGGCGAGTCATTCAGGAATATACGAACTCACTCACGTGTTCAATCCAGAAACATTTATTAAATGCCCGTCCCCTTCCCGTGCCAGCTGCCTGTTTGTCAAATGAGACATGGCTTCTGCTCTCAAGTAATTCTTGCCCAGTCTCAGGTACAAAGGCAGATTGTGCAGCAGTTGTATATGGTAAGATGGAGGCGTGCACAATGTTCTCCAGGCCCTCAGAAAAACAGCATAAAAATCAGGGAGTGAGGAGAAGCGTGTGCATGTATGTGTGTGTGCATGTGTATACATGCGTGTGTGTGCATACTGTGTGCATGCGTGTGTATGAACATGAGTGTGTGTGCCTGTGTGAATGTGTGTGTGTGCGCATGTGCGTGTGTGTGCATGAGTGTGTGTATGAGCATGTGTGCATGTGTGTGAGCATGTGTGCATGGGTGTGTAACCATGTGCGTGTGTGCATGTATGTGTATGAGCGTGTGTGTGCACGTGTGTGTATGAGCGTGTGTGTATGACCATGTGCGTGTGCATGTGTGTGAGCATGTGCATGTGTGTGAGAGCATGTGTGTATGTATGTGTGTAAGCATGTGCGTGTGTGAGCATGTGCGTGTGTGTGAGCATGTGTGTATGTATGTAAGCATGTGCATGTGTGTGTATGAGCATGTGCGTGTGTGTGAGCATGTGCATGTGTGTGAGCATGTGTGTATGTATGTGTGTCAGCATGTGCATGTGTGTATGAGCATGTGCGTGTGCGTGTGTGAGCATGTGCATGTGTGTGAGCATGTGTGTATGTATGTGTGTAAGCATGTGCATGTGTGTGTATGAGCATGTGCGTGTGTGTGTGTGTGCATGTATGTGTGTCCTGTGGGTATAGGAAGCCTCCTGGAAAAACTTAAAAGTTTCAAAGGATGAGAGGCAATTGGCTAAATGGTGGGGCTATTTTTCAAATGTGCTACGTTTGGATAATTTAAGAGCAGTAGTAAAGAGTTCCTGTTAGGGAGCGGTATGGAAAGAGGTGGAACGGGCATGTAGAACCTTGCGTGGTCAGCTGAGAGATGTGAACTTTATCCTTAAAAGTACAGGAAATTATTGACGGTGTAGAGTAGGGAAGGGCTTGACCAGACCTGAATTTTTAAAACACATCTGAACAGCGGTGCAGACAGATTGGGGAGGAATCCTGGAGGCCCACATCCCCACCAGCAGAGAACTGCACTAACCCGGCAAGAAGAGATGAAGCCATGCCTCTGGCCATTGCGGCCATGGGGACGAGGCGGGCGTGTGGTGACAGAGCGATCAAACGCACAGGATGCAAAGTGTGGATAAGGGGCTGGGCTTGGGAGGGCCGTGAAAGGGGAGAAATCAGGATGATTTGAAGAACTGTGATCATGATGACATCAGTGTCATTTACTGAGTGGTTTAGAGTTAAAAAAAAAATAGGAGAACACTGGGGCAAAAAAGATGGTGAACTGGGAGATCGGCATGACTCAGAACGATTTCTGGCACATACTGATATACAGATATTTGTGGAATAATTCTTCCCTGGCAGTGCCTGGAGGACATCCACGGAGGCTTTGGGACCTGTGGCTCTGAACTGGGGTAGGAGGTCTGGAGGGCTGGGCGTCAGCCTGGAGAAAGGACAGAGTGGGAATGCGAGCAGCTGAGGGAGGAGTGGCGGCCGAAGGCACACAGGGGAGCGGCTCGCACAGAGGCCCACACCCACCACGGCCTGAGAAGCAGGAGAACTTGCTGGAGAGGGGAAAGGTGCCTGAATTAGAATGGAGCAGGAGATGCCTACCTCTGAGATCTCAAAGGAGATTCAAAAGGGGTGAGGACAAAAGGGTTTGCTTGGTAGGAGTCAAGGATCCTAGGAACTGAAGGGGGCTTAGGGGTTCACTTCTTTGGGGTAAGCTCTGGTGTGAGGAGCCCCTGGTGAAACGAAGAAGGTCCCTGAGAGCTGCACCGTGGCCCAGAAGGGCCAGGCTGGGACGCGGGTGACCCCAGGAAGGAGCGTGTCAGGGGCCCCAGCCAAGGCATGCGGCTGGACCAGGTCTTCCTGGCGGGGCCCTTGCGCTGCACAGATGCAATGTCATGAATAAAGAAGACTCCAGGCTGACCTCGACTGGCTCCTCCGTGGCCTAGGACTTATCCTGTAAGGTTCAGTGCTGCTGACTGGCTTGTCCAGTCCCAAGCTTGGCTGGTTGTGTTCTTTCTCTTTCAGGGCCTCTTGGAAGGTTTGGCTCTCAGGGCAATGGCCGTGTGGGCGTGTGGGTCCAGGGGGGTCCCTGCTACCTGGGTCTAGACTTACCTCTCCCAGCCGCCGCTTCTGTTCTGCAGCCAGGGTGTCAGAAGCTGGTCCATGTGGAACCGATCAAGAGATTCCACGTGATCTGAGAGACTGAAATAGATGCCCTCTGATCAACTGAGATGGGC